>NC_000001.11:111372016-111675047 GCF_000001405.40 Homo sapiens | reverse complement strand
GATACTACATAGCTCGGCATTTGTCATGTTAAAGAGCTCATATTTTATCTAGTAAATAACGGGGAAAAGACAAAGTGATTTAAAAACAATTAATATGATTAGATTTGTATTCTGGAAAAACAACTGACAGTATGCAAGATGGACTGAAGAAAGAAGAGACTAGAGGCAGGGAGAATAGCTAGGAAGCTACTGCAGTAACTCGAGTGAGAGATGACACGGGCCTGTACAGGAGCAATAGGGCTGAAGAGGGGCAATGCTTTTCTGAGGATAAAACTGACAGGACTCCATAACTGATAAGCTACTAAAAGGAATGAAGAAGAGTCAGTGATAACTCCTAGGTATCTAGCTTGAGCAAGTAAGTGGTTGATAGCCTACCTCCAATTAAGACAGGAAATACAAAAGGAGGTTTAAAAAGAAAGATAATACTTTCTTCCAAAAATTAACTATGAGATTCCTATGGGAAGAACAAGTAAAGGTATCTGATAGATATTTTAAAAGCCAAGTCTGGAGGTTCTGTAGAAACCAATGGACTAGAGGTACAGACTCGGGAGTCAATGGTGGTCAAGATGGTAGCATTGAAACCATAGCAGTGGATGAGGTCAACCAATGAGAAAGAGAAGCAAGGTAAGAACTGGGTGAGCCTTTAAAAATAACCACCACATTTTTGAAAAGGTAGAGTGAGGTGGGAGAGTTTTGTGTGGGACACTAGGCATCTTATACCTCTATCTGTATTAGGTGATTCCATGAAAAAAAAAAAAGTGATGTCCATGAAAAGAAAAATACTGACAGCTAAACACAAGAGCATATATTTCACGTAAAAGGATGCCTACATCCCTACCCCCTTTCCAGTCTGGGGATCGCTGACATTTTAACAAGATGTGAATTCATCATCTCTCTAATCCAAAAATGCGTATCTTTCAAGACAGAATCCTAATATAGCATGGATCATTTATATTCCCCAAATGCCTCCAGCTTTTCTACAGCAACAGAAACTAGGGAAAGAACTCAGAGATGGTCAAATTATTTTGGATATTCTGCAACAACAAAATATTTGGCCCCTGTTCCTCAACTAAAATGGCAAGACATTCAAGTTCCAAAGCCATTTTTCACAGAGTATGTATAGAAAATTTTATTTACACCTAACAAACACCATGGGTCACGAATGTATACACACAGGTACACTCACAAATATAATAAATAGGTCACACAAGAAAGCATACACACAAATGAACTCCCAATAAGAATGTAAGTTAATTTTTCTTTCTAAGGGGAATTAGTTCTAACTCATTACTGCCAAGTTAGAAAACCTCTATGTTCTTCCAAGCAAATCCCATGCCTTTTTATGGAAATCTCTTGTGCCCTGCACTCCCGACACAGCACCAGAAAATTTCTTACTCTGGTTAAGATTCCCTGACAAATATGGAAGACAGGAATAAACATTACACTATGTTTAAATTTTAAGTCAATTCTGAGTCCCTAACATTATGGTCCAAGTTATAATCTAACTCTTCATTCTTCCTTCAGGAAGCCTACTTCTAACATTTACAAAAATAATATGACTTGATTGTCTTTGTGAATTAAATTGATCCCAACTTTGTTGTTTCTGCAATTTTTAACATAAATGAATGTATTACAGACAAAAGTTTCTCCTGTAGAACTGAACTTATAAAACAAAATTCATTAAAGGAAATTTAGTGATCAGAAACTTTGGAGAAAAATTTTTTACATTAAGGAACAGTGAAGGTAGTTTCTTAAGCAGTATATTATTAGTTATCTTTAAATATTTACAGGGATCATAAATATTTAAAACTGGCAACTCACCACAACATGCTGGTGGGGAGGGGAGTGAATATGGAAATCATGGTAAGATTTAACTTTCCACAACAAAGGACAGTGCTCTTTAGAGTACATCATAAGAAAAACTGTACTTTTTGGTAATGTGAAATCACATAAATATACCAATACACAAACCAGAGAGTGCCGAACAAAAGAGCAGAGAGATGGAATGTATGAAAGACAGAGGTAAGGAGGATACACCCAAAGGTTTCACCAGCTATCTGATGGGAATGTAGAAAGAACACCAGACCCAAAGTAACAGCAGAATAACATTTCCAGAGGTAAACTAAGAAAAGTTAGGAATCATCAGATTCAAACACCCAATGAATGCCAAACACAGTGGGAAGAGGAAAGAAAAAAGATTCTTGCACCTGAACATATTGTAGTTAAAATTCCAAACCCTAAAAACAAAGACAAAATCCTAAAAAACTTGTAGAAAGAAAAAACATATTCCCCTCTCCTTGAATACAGGCAGGGTTAGCAATGAACAAAATCCAGCCAACATGGTGCTGCTGTCTGAATTCTTAAGCTAGGTTAGAAAAGGCATCAGAGCTTCCTCCTGAATTTTTTCTCTTTGGGGATACCTATCTATGGAGTCCTAAGTGTTAGGCTGCCGTGCAGTCACCACTTTGGAGAGACCACAGAGAAAGACATGGTTGCCAGAGTCCCAGCTGTTTCTGTCTTCCCACATCTGTGAATAATAAAGGCTTCAAGATGATCCCAGACAGCAACCATCTTACTGCAACATCATCAGAGATTTAGACTCGATTCACCCAGCTGAGCTACTCCCTAATTTTATACCCAAGACATTATGAATTTCTTGCAGTATCCTAAATAACAATCTCAAAGAAACAAAGAACAGATCAACAAACTGAAAATAAATGGAAAGATGTCAGACAATCCATGTATATAAATATGTTAATATTAATTTATGTTAATAGCACTCAATAGAAAAATAAAATTTAAATATAAATTAAAGCATACAAAGCAAAACTTGACAGAATGGGAATCATGAATAGAATTTAACAGAACTTACTCAGTAAATGACAGAAAGGGAAGACAAAACCAGGAAGGATATATAGAAGATTTGAGCAGATAATGAATCAACTTAAGAGACATATAGAACACCACACCCAACAACTGCAAACTATACATCCTTTTCCAGTGTACATGGATAATTTACTAGAACAGACCATGCTGAGCCATAAATCAAGTCTCAAGAAATTTCAATGGACTGAAATCATACAGAGTGTAATTTCTAACCAAAATGAAATTAAACTAGAAATCAACATAAAAATATAACCACATTATCCCCAAATGTTTGTAAATGAAACAGAATTCTAAATAATCCATAAGTGAAGAAAGAAATCAAGATGGAAATTAAACAATTTGAACTAAATAATAATTAAAATGTAACATGTCAAAAATTACTGGAGCTGGCAGGGCGTAGTGGCTCATGCCTGTAATCCCAGCACTTTGGGAGGCCAAGGCGGGTGGATCGCTTCAGGTTAGGAGTTCAAGACTAGCCTGGCCAACATGGTGAACCCTGTCTCTACTGAAAATACAGAAATTAGCCACGTGTGGTGGCATGTGCCTGTAATCCCAGCTACCCGGGAGGCTGAGGCACAAGAATCGCTTGAACCAGGGAGGCGGAGGTTGCAGTGAGCCAAGATCACGCCACCGCACGACAACCTGGGTAACAAAATGAGAGTGCCTCAAAAACAAAAAAAAAGAAAGAAAGAAAAGAAAATAGTATACTTGACTTACATGAGGCAAACTTTTTATGAATAGCTGATTTTGTGTTTTCTTGTTTTAAATGAAGTCAGTATTTAAAAACAACAGAATTCCTGAAATACAGCAACTTTCATTTGTGGCAATCCACTCTAAAAACATATCTAGATATGGTCATCTAGCCCTTTGAATTCTATCTTCACACAACAGTATGTTTTAGTTGGGCGTGGTGGCTCTCACCTTTGAGGCTGGAGGGTCGCTTGGGCCCAGGAGTTCTATGGGCACAGGGAGCTGTGACTGTACCACTGTACTCCAGCCAGCCTTTTAAAAATACAAGGTTTCCACAATTTCTCAGGTTTACGCATTTCCCCTCATCTTCCTTATGTATTAAAAGGGAACACATATTCTACTGTTTTAAAGAAATTTATCCATATCTATATCCCCAGATAAATCTTTACCACAATCTTTAGTAAAGTATAACTGAAGCAGAGTTATGTGATTCATTGCACCTTTGTAACTCTCCAAATATTCAAGTAAAGGATTAAAATATTTAATCCAACCATCTTACATATTCAAGAGTAAAATTTTTGGCAAGTTTGACAAGTCGTCTTGATAGACTTGATATACTATTATGACAACAGATACAATAATCTACCATCTGAAATTATTCCCTGCACAAAAATGTGTTAGTGTGTGCACTTTTCTCTCTTTTATAAAAATCTGCCACATCTTTAGTTATATCTCCTTTTTCATTCGGATTGTTTATCTGTGCCCTTCCTCTTTTACTTCTGGTCATTTTACCAGGTTTGTTACTTTTATTAGTCTTTTTCAAACAACCAACTTTGGCTTTGTTGATGTTTCATTGTAGACCTCTTTTCTATTTCTTTAATTTCTGCTTTTATGTTTATTATTTCCTTTCTTTAGTTTATTCTAATGTTTTTCTAACCTAAGTTGGATACCTGCCTCAATAATTTCAGCCATTTTTGGTTTTTTTGTTTGTTAGTTTGAGACAGAGTCTCAACTCTGTCACCCAGGCTGGAGTGCAGTGGCATGATCTTGGCTCACTGTAACCTCCGCCTCCTGAGCTCAAGCAATCTTCCCACTTCAGCCTCCAGAGTAGCTGGGACTACAGGTGCATGCCACCACGTCCGGCTAATTTTTTTGTATTTTTGGTAGAGACAGGGTTTCGCCATCTTGCCCAGGCTGGTCTCGAACTCCTAGGCTCAAGCTATCTGCCCACCTTGGCCTCCCAAGGTGCTGGGATTACAGGAATGCACCAATGCGCCTGGGACCATTTTTCTTTCCTAATTAATATTTCAGATCCTCCATTAGGGGTCACTTTCCTTCTACCTAAAGTATATCTTTTGGAATCTTTCTTAGTGCTGTGCAAATAGTGAGAACAAAAAAAAACTCCCAGTTTTATTTATCTGAAAACTTTGCTTCACTCTTCAAGGATATTTTAGCTTTAATAGTTATTTACTCTGAGTACACTGTAGTTACTATTCTACTGTCTTTTGATTTCTACTTTCCTTTCAATAAGTCAGCTGCTAGCCTAATTGCAGAGCTTTTGAAAGTGATCTGTGTTGTCCTTCTGGTTATTTTTGACATCTCTGATCATCTGCAAATTTAACTATGAAGACTTTAGGTTTACATTTCTATTCACTCTGCTTAGGATTTGACTTCTTGAATTTGTATCTTTTTGCAGTTTTGGAAATTCTAATTGTAATCTCCTTAAATACTGTATCTACTTGATTTTTCTTCATATCTGAAATTCTGGTTAGACAACTATTAGACCTTTTCATGCTCTTCTTGGATTAGTTAAGATGTAGACACTGGCTGCTGTTAATAAGAGACTCAAAAGTGGCTTAACCAAAATTCAGGGTTATTTTCCTCTCACATGACACTCTTGTTTGGCAGCTAGGTAGTCTGAGAGAGCCAAGCTCTTATGTCTTATTGCTCTGTCATCCTTAGAGTATTGCCCCCTTCTACACAGGCAAAAATATCTCATTGCCATGTTTACATTCCAGTTCATGGGCAGGAAGAAAGATAAAGAAAACGGCATATCCCCTTTCCTCTCACAGGCATGATCTAGAAGTTACACACATTTCAATTTGCACCCCAAATTACCAAAGCCTTGTCACATAGTCAAATCTCACTATCAGGAAGGCAATGAAACAGAAGTTTTAGCTAGGCAACAGAGCATCCAACTAATATATCCACTACTTATTAGACACAGAATGGTATCAGGGAAAACTAGCAATTTAGGCTATGGTTGTCCAATTTTCTTTTTTCCTTTTTACATATTTTCCATTTCTGTCTCTTTATTTTGGTTAACTTATTTTTCAGGTCATCTTCCAGGTCACTAATTATAATCTATTGTTAAGCCTGTCCATTGACTTTTAAGATTTTTATTTATACATTTCTTTTCTTTCTTTTTTTTTTTTTTTTTTTTTTCTTGAGATAGGGTCTCATTCTGTTGCCCAGGCTGGAACGCAGTGGCACAGCTCACTGCAGCCTTGACCTCCTGGACTCAAGGGATCCTCATACCTCAACCTCCCAAGTAGCTGGGACTACAGGCACACACCACCATGCCCAGCTAATTTTTGTATTTTTTTGTAGAGATGGGATTTCACCATGTTGCCCACATTGGTCTCGAACTCCTTGGGCTTAAGTGATCTACCTGCCTTGGCCTCCCAAAGTGCTGGGATTACAGATGTGCATCACCGCATACAGCCTATATATTTCATTTCTAAAAGTTCTCCCCCTAAACACAAAAAAGCTATTTGTAACTTCTCATAACCTCGCTATCTTTCTTATAAGCAGTATAGTAAAATGGTTAAAAGCCTGACTTTAGGACCCATACCGCCTGGCTAGAATCCTGGTTCTACTACTTTACTAACCTTGGTCAAGTTACATCCCCATTCTGTGCTTCATTCCTTCACCTGTAAAATGGGGATAATAATAAACCCTACTTTAGAGTTTTTGTGAGGATTAATTAACATGTAAAGTACTGAAGAGTTCAAGGTTCATAGGAAGCACTACAAAATGTTAGCTATCATAATCCCATCATTCTTATATTTTTAATCTTTACCTCGCTAAACACACTGATTTTAAATTCCTGTCTAATAATTCCAAAATATGAAGTCAATGGGGGTCCAATTCAGTTGTCTGTTATCCTGGATAATCCGTATTTTCAGTCTCTTTTTCTTTTTGAGTTGTGTGATCTTTTACTGTGATGTGCATTTGCTTCTGCAAGTGCCTGGAGTTACTAGTGGCCAGAATTACTTTGAACCATAGTCAAATTTTAAGATACTTTTGGGCTAACCCAAAAAGTGTGATTTAGATATGGAAACATAAAGGCTAGGTTGCAACTATAAAATGTCAAAGAATAACAACCCCCAAACCTGCACCACCACTTCAACTTAGTGCCAACATTTGTGACAGTCCAGTTTCCTCGGAGTTGGCAGGAGTAGGGGTGGGGAGGGGTGCACAGACACTCGGTGGAGTCTCCTCATAGACTGAGCTTAGTCTCCTATCCTCTATGTCTGCGAAGGCAATGAAACCATAAGCCCAGGTTTAGCTGGTTCAGTAGGTGCCATCAAGACAAAAATAGGCTCTGAGTGCTGAGTCTAGCTTTCACTTACTTTTTAGCCTCTGAGCATATCTTATGTCAGTTCCTTGATACTGTTCCTTTAGGTTTCCAGTTGTAAAATGGGACCTTCATTTAAAAAATCTTAAATGGCCAATATGCACTTCTTCACAGTGAGAAGTCATGAACCCACATTTTTTTTTTTTTTTGAGACGGAGTCTTGCTCTTGTCGCCCAGGCTGGAGTGTGATGGCGCGATCTTGGCTCACTGCAACCTCCGCCTCCCAGGTTCAAGCAATTCTCCTGCCTAAGCCTCCCGAGTAGCTGTGATTACAGGTGCGGGCCACCACGCCCAGCTAATTTGTATTTTTAGTAGAGACAGGTTTCGCCATGTTAGCCAGGCTGGTCTCGAACTCCTGACGTCAAGTGATCCAGCCGCCTCGGCCTCCCAAAGTGCTGATATTACAGGAGTGAGCCACCATGCCCAGCCATGAATCTACATTTGATGAAAACATTTCTTTATAATATTCTCAACATAAAATTATGAATATTAGTTATCAAGAATATAATCTATAATAAAAGTGTGATAATTTAATCACAGAATACTACTTTGTATTTTCTATCGCCATTTTTTTAAAGAGTGGAGAAACAGGAGAGGAGGGTAGGAGTGTCAGAATGACCTGAGCAAAGAACCGTTACCCTCCAGGCAAAGAATCTGTCAGTTCCTTTTCTTTTCCACTACATGACTCTAGCCTAAGCAACCTCCTGGGACTACTGAAATAGCCTCTTAACTAGTCCATTGTTGCTCACTTGAGTTCCTCTACATTGCAGCCAGAATGATCTTTTCAAAACAGAAAATTAAATGATTTCCTTTTGCTCATAGGGTAAAGATTAAACTCCAAGTTCTCAAAGCTCCTAATGATTTGGCCTGTATCCACTTCATCTTGCTCCATATCCCTATTTACTCTCTATGACAGCCACACTGGCCATCTTTCAGTTTCTTAAACCTGATATGCTCCCTTCTGCCACAGGGCTTTTGCAGAAGCTATTCCCTTTGCCTGCAATGACTTCTTCCTTCTCCACTTAGTTAATAATGCCTGCTCTTTTCCTTGGATCTGAGCACAAGTATTAATTCCCTAAGATATGCTTCCCTGACCCCTTTGAGTCAAAACTTTATATACTCTTATAGTATCAGGCATTTTTCCTAAGCAATACTGATCACAAATGCAAATCAATGCTTTTTTTTTTTAAATCTCTGTGATTTGATTACCTAAATTAGACTGCTGAATATCATTCAAATTATTTGCCACATATAATAATCTCAGAATTAGTGTTAAAACCTAATTTACATTCTATTTTTAGAATATCTGCAATGTGATCTGAGTTCTTACATTCAATGACTACCATGTTGTTATAAATAAGGAGTTTTTAATCTAATTCTTCATCAAAAAAAGTCTAAGACAGATTGTTTCAGTAATTCCAGATTTTACATATGGAAACTAATATATGCACATGTTGCATGGCTGAGTGTTACCACATAGAACTGTACAAATAATCCCTAAATGACAGTTTTTGCAGGTATTAGTATAAATACTTAATTTGAGAAGAGTCATCATTCTGAATTTTTTTCTGAAGGATAACTAAGAAAGTAAACATTTTTGTGAAATTCAAATATAATAGCTTTGTTTACTGTGAATTTTCATGTCATGAGGCAAATAACACTTGTACTGTTTTGAAGACTTCAACAAAAGATTATACAAAATTATATCTTTCCTGTATGCTTTGTCTCAATGCATTTAAAAACTATTCTCCCTTTATTGATTTCAGTTTAAACTGTCAGTCATCACGGTTACGTATGTCATCAGATTGAGCCATCTTCTCTCTTCAGAGAAACAAGTATTTTAGAAACAAATGAAATGAAAATACTTTCAAGACAAACCCAAAGGTTACTAAAATTGTTACTTTAAATCATTTTAAAGCTCTAAAGTAAAATATATGCTTCATATTAAAATGATTTAAAAGAAAGAGATGGTCTTCTTTGACTATAACTTTTCCTCCTAAATGTTTAATACTGGGAATGCTTCTAATTACCAGAAGAAAGGGGGGAATATCACAGTATCCAAAAATATCCTATACTCTGTGCCTTTAGGAACTACATGTGCTCTTGGATCCATGAGCTGTCAAAAAACAGTGAATGCATATCCTGTTTTAGCAACATAGCAAATCATCAAAAGCACATCACCAGTAAATGTTTGACTAAGTGAAATGGAAATGAAAGACTGCTTTTTAAATGTATTACCATCTACTTAAGTAAAGTGAATATTCTTCAGTATAACTATTATCATTGCAGACAAACAAAAAATTTGTAAACCATGCAGAAAAAATTTAAGGCCATGACTAATACTTTCTAGGTTGACCAAAACATTATTTTCCTTAAAAGATACATTTGGTCAGGTGTACTAAATTATGCCAAGTATAGCTAAGTTTATCAATTCTGGAATCTTGATACATTTCCATAAATAGAGGTATTCACTCTCTAACTTTATTCCCTTAACAGCACTGCCACATAAACTATATATGACCAAAACTAAAGCATGCCAAAGCTAATGAAAAAGTATAAATTTGGAATAATTATAAGTAAAAATGCATAATTATAACTAAGTTTCTGATATCTTTGTTTTTCAAACTATTATCCAGCTAAAATGTTATAACCTTTCCTTGAAGGGAAAGTAAAACCGTGTAACCAACAGCAACTAAACTTTATATAGCATTCTGTCACTTACAATGCTCTTTCCTTTTTATTTTTTAGGTAATCAAAACCAAAACTATATGTCATTACCCCCACTATAAAGAAACATACAAGGCTTAACTTGGATTAAATGACTTAAGCATAAAGTAATTAGGAAGCTGTATTCAAACCTATGTCTCTAGATTTTAAATGTTGCTCTCTTTTGAATATATTATGCTGTTATATAACAACAACACAACAATAGTAATGGCAAACATTTACTGAGTGCTTACCATGTGCCAGGAAGTGCTGTAAGAAATCCTCACAATAAGCTTACAAGGCAGATACTAGTAATATCCCCAAAGTCACATATCTAGGAAGAAAAGCCACGATTTAAACTCAGGCAACCTGGTTTCAGGGTTCACAATCTAACATGCCAATCTGCCTGTATTCATTCATGTACATAAAACTTGTATATGCATAGAATACCTTTGGGAAGGAAGCTGAGGAATGACAGGACATGGAAAGAAAAGAGATTTTTCACTGTGTACTTTGTATGTATTTCTTGAAGCCCAGGGAGAGGAAGGGGGTGTAGGTAGACAGAATGTTATAGACATGGAATTCCAGAAAAAAGGCAGAGACTCAAGAGACTCTGTGATGATCTAATAGAAAACTTATATTTAAAAAAAAGTCTAGGTGGCCTGAGCATTTACTGTGAAAGGGTGAGAGAGGAAAGGACTTAGTACATATGTGGTTTTGTTTTTTGTTTTTTTTTTTTTTTTTTTTTTTTTGAGACGGAGTCTCACTTTGTTGCCCAGGCTGTAGTGCAGTTGCGCAATCTCAGCTTACTACAACCTCCGCCTCCTTGGTTCAAGCGATTCTTCTGCCTTAGCCTCCCAAGTAGCTGGGACTACAGGCATGTGCCACCATGCCCGGATAATTTTTTTGTATTTGTAGTAGGCAGGGTTTTACCGTGCTGGCCAGGCTCGTCTTGAACTCCTGACCTCAGGTGATCCACCCTCCGTGGCCTCCCAAAGTGCTGGGATTACAGGCGTGAGCCACCGTGCCTGGCCCATATATGGTTTTAAATAGCAGGCTATAAAAGTTCCTCTATGACATCCTATGAACTTGAAACTTTCCTATCAGATGAGAAAAGCCATCTAAGGCTTTTGAGCAAGAGTTTGAAGAGAAAAAAGAAAGCTCTATGAGTACTCTGTAGATTGCAACAGAGGAATGAAAAACTAGAGAAGGAAGATCAGTTAGGAGGGCAAGGAAGCAAACCTTTTTTTTTTAAGTGCCTTTTTCTTAGACTTTAGCAACCTTCAAGGCAGACATTATCTTCCCTTCAAAATGCAGATAAAAGATGCCATTCCTAGTGCTCAGAACAATAGTTGGAAAATAGTAGATGCTCAATAAACATTTATTGAATGAAAGAAAAAAGGGGTTGACCTTGGCTTCAAAGCTAGGTGTCGTCTAACACTAATGCCTAAGACCTTTTCCACTATATTCGGTAATTCAATTAATCCAAGCAATCTTTAAAATGTGGTGAGACCATTTAGATGGAGGGCTAATCTTAAAGTAAGGGACATAGTTCAGCAATGTTGCTGTGAACACCAAATTAGATAATGCATATGTAGCACTTAGGAGAGTGCCTGGCAATTATCCACTTAAAAATACTACTATCACTACTTTATTAATGTAACTAGAGTGTTATTGATATTTTGAGAAGAATTTTGGAAAGGTAATGCAAGACAAGAATGGAAAGCACTGTCAGATTAGGAACCCCAAATCAGGAGGCAGTATAATCAAATTTATTGATTCTTAACTTTATTGTATTCCTTAATCCAGTAAATCCAGTTATTTGAAAAGAATATATACACTGGGGGAAGTGAGGGAAATGTTGGAGACCAGGGAACCCAAATTAACAACCTCTGATCAAAAACAAAGAGCCTTGGCCAGGCACGGTGGCTCACGCCTGTAATCCCAGCACTTTGGGAGGCCAAGGCGGGTGGATCATGAGGTCAGGAGATCAAGACCATCCTGGCCAACATGGTGAAACCCTGTCTCTACTAAAAATACAAAAATTAACTGGGCATGGTGGCTCGTGCCTGTAATCCCAGCTACTCAGGAGGCTGAGGCAGGAGAATCACTAGAATCAGGGAGTCGGAGGTTACAGTGAGCCAAGATCATGCCACTTGCTCCAGCCTGGCGACAGAGCAAGACTGTGTCAAAAACACAACAACAACAACAACAAAACCAAAGAGACTTTTGCAGGAATATCTGGGTCCAAAATCAGGATCTATAAGTTGTGTGAGCCAAGACAAGTCATTTATCCTCATTAATATTCAACTTCTTTATTTACACAACAAAGCTGGACTAAGATACCTCACTGGTTTCTGTTAAGTAAACAACATATTTAATAACATATTTTAGGTACAGAAGCTTAATGCTTTTTTCCTTCCCAAACTAAAGTGAAGAGAATCAATGTTTTAGTTGATAAAAACACTGCCACATTAGAAAACTATTAGAATCGCTGTTTATTAAATCTGTTTGCTCATATAAGAGCATCAAATCTCTCTTAGTATGGCCAGAGTGTTATGAGTTTCCTATCCTCGTAAGTGCTACAGTTCTACACAAATTTTTTGTTCCCAGAGCTATTAATTTTGTGAAGAGAAATAACACCCCCTAGACACCTTTGTTTTGAAAACATCTGATTGAGGAACAATCTTAGCCCTGATCAAGTTAATTTTTTTTTTTTTTTTTTTTTTTTGAGATGGAGTCTCGCTCTTTCGCCCAAGCCTGAATACGATGGTGCTACCTCTGCTCACTGCAAGCTCCGCCTCCCGGATTCACGCCATTCTCTTGCCTCAGCCTCCCGAGTAGCTGGGACTACAGGCACCTGCCATCACGCCCGGCTAATTTTTTGTATTTTTAGTAGAGACGGGGTTTCACCATGTTAGCCAGGATGGTCTCAATCTCCTGACCTCATGATCTGCCCGCCTCGGCCTCCCAAAGTGCTGGGATTACAGGCGTGAGCCACCACACCCGGCCAATCAAGTTAATTTTTTCAGATGAGAGAAGGTTGGGAAAAACAAGGAAATTAGTTAAAGCCCTGCCTTCATGAGAGATGAATCAGTTTGAACAGGATCTAGAAGTGACCATTAAATAATAATTGGTTTAATAAGGAATCTTTGATTTTGTGCCAAATGCTAAGAAATACACAAAAAAAGATACATAACTATTTGACTAACAGAATTTCTAGGGTTTATTCTGAAGAATTACGTTGGGAAAGTCATTCTACTTTCTTACCATGGAACCAAAAAGAGATCCTCTCAATTGGAAATTGCTTTTTTTTTTTTTTTTTCTGGGACGGAGTTTCGTTCTGTCGCCCAGGCTGGAGTGCAGTGGCGCAATCTCGGCTCACTGCAAGCTCCGCCTCCAGGGTTCAAGTGATTCTCCTGCCTCAACCTCCTGAGTAGCTGGGATTACAGGCATGCGCCACCACGCCCGGCTAATTTTTGTATTTTTAGTTGAGACAGGGTTTCACCATGTTGGTCAGGCTGGTCTCGAACTCCTGACCTCATGATCCCCCCGCCTCAGCCTCCCAAAGTGCTGGGATTACAGGCATGAGCCACTGTGCCCGGCCCCTAAATTGGAAATCTTAACCTGGCAATCAGGAGTTATGAATTGCTGACCACAGATGTATATAAATACATTACTTCAGAGAATCATTCTTTTTGTATGGCCATCAACCATAACAGACTAAATAAGCTACCATCAGCTTACACCTGGATCCCTATAATAGCCTCTCATCTGATCTCCCTACATCCAATCTTTTCCCCCTCCAATATATTCATAATGAAGCTAAAATGAACTTTGTAAAATGACAAATTTAATCACTTAGTGACCTCCTCCGAATCCCTCCAGTTCAGATACTTCAGTGATTTCCCATTTCCCTTAAAGATAAAGACCAAAGATGTTAACATGGCTTACAAGGGTCTGCACAGTTGGGTCCCTAACTCCCATTCTGGCTTTATTTCACAACAGTGCTCCCTTCATTCTCAACACTCCAGCCAACTGGCTTTCTTACATCTTCTCCAATGCATCATGCACTCTCCTGCCAGAAACAAGTCAGCTGGTAAAGTGTTCCAGAAAACAAAAAGCAATGGGGAGATCGTAGTCCATATGGCATGTAGGTTTATAATCTAGAAGAGTGATGTTTGAGTAAACAACTAAAGATGATGGGCAGTTAGAGGACAGAGTTGGGCAGACATCTGAGGGAAGCAGAAAAGCCTTGAGATGCCTGGTGACTTCGATAAGGAACAAGTAGGGCACTATAATTGGAGGACAATGAGGAAGTCATTAGGAGAAGAGAAGGTAAGATATTAAATAGAGAGCTAAATACAGGCTTTTAGGCCACGGTAAGGACTTCAGCTTTTACTTGGTATGCGTGGGAAGCCACTGGACAGTTTTGAGCAGAGGATGTCAAGTTTCCACTGAAATTTTTAAAAGGTCTCTCTGGTTGTAAAAGAGAAGGTCAAGGGCAGAATCAGGAAGAACTGGAAGGCAACTGAAATAATGCAAGAGATAGGAATGTTGACCAAAGGAGTAGCAGTGCAGGTAGTAAGAATTGGTTAACTTCCACATACATTTTGAAGACAGGGCCAAACGAAGAGACAAGTTGGGAGAAAAAAAAGACTGCTAAAAAATAAAGAGAGGATAGACACCAAACCACAGACCCAGGAAGTTCAGAGAACACTAACCAAGATAAATGCCAAAACATCTACACTTAGGTATATTTCAGACTGCATAAAATCAAGGCAAAGAGAAAATGCTGAAAGAAGCCAGAGGGGGGGAAAACATCTTACCTATAGCAGAACAGAGACAAGAATTGCATCAGACTTCTCTTCAGAAACCAGGAAAGCAAGAAGAGAGTGAAGTAAAATATTTAAAGTGTTCCCAGAAAAAACCACCAAGTTACAACTCTGTATTAAGTGACACTATCCTCCAAATGAAGGAGAAATGCACACATTTTCAAACAAAAATGGAGAGAATTTGTCACCAGCAGACATGCCTTGCAAGAAATGTGAAAATTTCTTCAGAAAGAAGGAAAACTACTTAGGTCAGAAACTTTACTTTTACTTGTCTTATCCTTTATCGATCTAAACATATACAGTTTGTTCAAAATAACAGCAACAAGGTATTAGGTGACTATAGCTTATGGATAAGTAAAATGAATGACAGCAATGTTATAAGGGACTAGTGTAAGTAATTAAGAATATTCTGTTCCAAGGTACTTGCACTACCCATGAAGTGCTATGTTATATGAAAGTGGGCTTGGCTTAGTTGTAAATGTATACTGCAAATTCAAGGGCAACTAGTAAAAAAAAGTAAAAACAAGTATAATACAGTAAGTGAGGAGAAAAAATGAAGTAACATAAAATGTTCAATTGAAATCAGAAGGCAAAAAAAGGAAACAACAAGGGAGGGCAATGAATAGAAAACAGTAACAAATATGGTAGATATATATTAATCCAACACCAATTAAAAGAGACTGTCCAGCATGGCATAGGTATACATATGTAACTAACCTGCACAATGTGCACATGTACCCTAAAACTTAAGGTATAATAATAAGAGAAAAAAAAAAAAAGAGACTGTCACAACGGACTAAAGAAACAAGACCCAACTATATGTTGTCTATAAGAAACCCACTTTAAATATAAATACAGTAGACCCCCCCATCCATAGTTTTGCTTTTTGCAATTTCAGTGGCCCAGTCAACAGGTATCTGAAAAATATTACAATATTGAGAGAGAGAGACTACTTTCACATAACTTTTAATAAAGTATATTGTTAGAATTGTTCTATTATTAGGTATTGCTGTCAGTCTCTTACTGTGACTAATTTATAAATTAAACTTTATTATAGGTATGTACAGGAAAAAATACAGTACATATAAGGTTTGGTACTATATCCGCGGTTTCAGGCATCCACAGAGGACACTGAAATGTATCCTCCATGGGTAAGTGGGGACTACTGTACAGAGATTAAAAGTAAAGAGATGAAGAAAAATATATCATGCTAACACTAATAAAAAGAAAGTTAACAGTAGCTATATTATTCTGAGACAAAGCAGGCTTCAGAGTAAGAGAAGTTATCAGGTATGAAGAAGAGTATTACATAACGATAAAGGCATCAATTCTCCAAGAAGACATAACAATTCTTAATGTGCATGCATCTAACAACAGTGTCAAAATACATGAGGCAAAAATGGATACTGCAAGGAGAAACAGATGAATCCATTATTATAGCTGGAGCCCTCAACACCCTTGTCAGTAACTGACAGATCCGGCAGGCAGAAAATCAGTAAGGTCGTAGCTGAAGTAAACAACACCATCAATCAATTGGATCTAATCAACATTTACAGAATACAGCCAGGTACTGCAGGACATTGTTTTAATCCGCATTGTTTAGACCGCATATGTGATGGTGGTCCCATAGGATTACAATGGAGCTGAAAAATTCCTATTGCCTAGTGACATCTTAATGATCCTGAACCAGTGTAGGCCTAGGTGAATATGTGTGTTTGTGTCTTAGTTTTTAACAAAAATGTCTAAAAAGTAAAAAATTTTAAAAATAGAAAAAAAGTTTATAGAATAAGGAACTAAAGAAAGGAAATTTTTTTTAACAGACAACAATGTGTTTGTGTTTTAAGCTAAGTGTTATTACAGGAGTCAAAAAGTTTATAAAGTAAAAAAGTTACAATAAGCTAAGGTTGAATTGAATGATTTACTTTATTTATTTACTTAATTATTTTAGAGACAGGGTCTCACTCTGTTGCCCAGGCTGGACTGCAGTGGTGTGATCACAGCTAGGAGATATGTTGTTAAGTGATGTGTGACTGTATTTCTATATATTGGCAAAGAAGTGAAAAATAAAATTTAAAAAATCACTTACAAAAGTATCTAAAAAGAAACTACTCAGAGATTAATTTAACAAATTGCCTAATAATATATTTCTCCGAACGTATCCCTGTTAAGTGATGTATGACTGTACTTTATCCAACAATGAAAGAATATATATTATTTTCAAGTGTACACGAAACATTTACCAAGATAGACCATATTCTAAATTATAAAGTAAGTCTCAATAAATTTGAATAAATTTAAATCATACAAGGTATGTTTTCTGACTACTACAGAATTAAATTAGAAACCAGTAACAGAAAGATCAAGAAAATCCCCAAATATTTAGAAACTAAACAACATATTTCTAAATAATCCATAGTTCAAAGAAGAAATCAAAAGGGATAAATTGGTATTTTGAACAGAATGAAAATGAAAACACAACATATTAAAATTTATAAAATAAGACAGTCCAGAAATAAATCCCTCACATATATGGTCAAATGATTTTTGAAAATGAGGCCAAGACCATTCAATTGGGAAAGGATGGTCTTTTCAATAAATGGTGCTAGAAAAACTGGATATTCACATGCAAAAGAATGAAGAGTTGGGCCCCACCATATACAAAAATTAACTCAAAATGGATCAAAGACTAAATGTGAGAGAGCAAAACCATAAAATTCTTGGAAGAAAACATAGGAGGAAAGATACATGACAATGGATTTGGCAATGATTGCTTAGATAAACACCAAAAGCACAGGCAACAAAAGAAAAAAATAGATAAATTGGACTACAGGTTGAGTATCCCTTTGGGAACAGAAGTGCTTCAGATTTCAAATATTTTCAGATTTTGGAATATCTGTATATACATAATGAGATCTATTGGGAATGGGACCCAAGTCTAAACTGTTTCATAAACACTTCATACACAGCCTGAAAGTAATTTTATACAATATGTTTAACAACTTTGTGCATGAAACAAAGTTTTGACTACTATTTTGACTGCAACCCACATGGGGAAAGATATAAAATGTTCCACTTCTGGTGTCATGTCAGCACTCAAAAGTTATGGATTTTGGATTTTGGATTATGGATATGGATTTTGGACGCTCAACCTTGATGTGTTCTTTGATGCACAGAAGTTTGCAATTTTGACATATAGGTATCCCTAATCCACTTATATGAAGTACCTATTGTAGTAAAAAATTCAGAGACAGAAAATAGAATGGTGGTTGTTGGGGGCGGAGAAGGGGGATGGGGAATTACTGTTTAATGGAATCAAGTTTCAGTTACACAAAATGAAAAGAGTTCTGTAAACAGATGGTGGTGAAGTCTGCACAACAATGTGAATGTACTTAATTTTACTGAATTGTATACTTAAAAATAATTACAATGGTATGTTATGTGTATTTTACCACAATATAAAAAAATACAACACAATTCTCCATATTAACTAAAACAAAAAAAAAACAATCAGAGCAGAGAAGCCATCAAAGCAGGTCAGGAAAGAGCAACTAGTGAGTGAGGCAGTGGCGGGGGGGAACCATGTATATAGTTTCTTGGGATAAAGAGAAGAAAATATTTCAAAGAGGAAGAATTGATCAATTATCAAATGCTGACATGTAAATTAAGATGCGACTGAGAACTTGACCACTGGAGGTCACTGGAGACTGGATAAACCAATTTCAGTGTAATAACCCAGGACAAAAGCACAACTGGGTTCAGGAAAGATTGGGAGGCAAGAAATTGGGAGATGGCATTATGGACAATTTTTTTGAGGAGTTTGCTTTAAGGAGGAATAGAAAAATCAGGTGGTCACTACTACAAGGGAAAGGGGAATGTGGTTTCAAAAAGGGTTTTGCCTTATTTATTTTTATAGTAGATACTTATTAATCAAACATTTAAGAGCAACTCAGTAAGTATTTGTCCAGAATGAACTGTTCTCAAGACTAGGTTTACTGCTTGACATTAGAGGTTAAGGTGTTGCAATTCTGAGTCTTGTTTTTTATTACTACCAACCCCCACCCCCGCCGATATTACTTCATCTCCCTCCAAGGTCACTGAAGTTTTTCATAACTATTTTAACAGATATTGCAATAAATGTACAGTAATTTAACTATCCTTCTTGCTGGGCATGTCAAAGTGTTTTCTATTATTACAGATAATGCTGCAATGAATCTTTATTTATATAATACACTTTTATCCAGTTGTCATTTTTTTCTTTGTCTTATATTCTCACATGGAACATTAATTAATCAGAGATTAGGAGGCCGGGCGCGGTGGCTCAGCCTGTAATCCCAGCACTTTGGGAGGCCGAGGTGGGCGGATCACAAGGTCAGGAGATCGAGACCATCCTGTGAATGGTGAAACCCCGTCTCTACTAAAAATACAAAAAACAAAAAAACAAACAAAAAAATTAGCCAGGCGTGGTGGTGGGCGCCTGTGGTCCCAGCTACTCGGGAGGCTGAGGCGGGAGAATGCTGTGAACCCAGGAGACGGAGCTTGCAGTGAGCAAGCAGTGAGATTGCGCCACTGCACTCCAGCCTGGGCGACAGAGCGAGATTCCGTCTTAAAAAAAAAAAAAAAAAAAAAAAAAAAGACTATGAACATTTTTAAGGTTCTTCATGGAGATTAGTTTTATCAACTGGCATTCCAATCAGGAATGTGTGGGTCCCATTTCACCATATCCCTAATAGCACAGTTTCAACATAAATGTTCCTATTTAGTTAACTGTATTATCAAAATTTTATTACTCTAAGTTTCTCCGATTAGTGAGGTTAAAGTTTTCAAATATTTATCAGTCATGTGCTTTTTTCTTTTGTGAATGCGTATTCTTTTTCATTTATCTTTAAAAAAAGTTTGTTCCTATCAAGCAGTCTGTTCTATTTATTAAGAATAGCCACTTTTTTTGATTATCCCGTTTTCCCTCAGATATTGTTTGCTTTTAGCTGTTTATCACGCTCAAGTTAATTTCTGTTGTTTTTTTTTTTGTTTTATTGCATTGTTTTTTTTTCTTTTTTTTCAGTTATTTTGCATTAAATCTATGTTTCCCATGGTCATTTTCCCCTCATAGCTCATGAGTTTGGTTTATAACTGCTAAGGATTGGGTACCAGTGGATTAAAGCAAAAGACTAGTTTAAGAATGGAAGTTCTGTTGTGAGTAATTTAGAAACTCTCTTTTGCTATAACTACTTGGTCTATGGTCTGGCCCACATTTATTTTTTCAGACAGGGTCTCACTCTGTCACCGCTGGAGTGCAGTGGCACGATCACAGCTTAGTGCAGCCTCCAACTCCTGGCCTCAAGCAATTCCCTCCCACCTCAACCTCCAAAGTCCTGAGATTACAGGCGTGAGCCACCGCATTCAGCCAGTCCACATTTAAATCAAAGTTTAGAAGGCTAATAATTTTATGTCCAATAAGTAAATAAACATATAATAAAATATGGTAAAGGCAACTAGATAAATTAGCAAGTAGGACTTAGATTCAGATCACCTATATTTAATCACTGGCTCTACCACTTATCAGGTAGAAGTCTCTGGACTTCTTAAACTTACTCAGTTCTCATGATCTATAACCAACAGTAGCAGTTTAACACTTACTGAGGACTTATTATGTGCAAGCATGTTTCTAAGAATTTTACTTTTAGTCAATTTATTTAAAACAATTCTATAATATTATTATAATCACCACTTTGGACAAGAGAAAACATACGACCTACAGAAGTTCAATAACTCAACAAAACTCACAAAACAATTAGTAAATGGCAGAACGAGGATTTGAACCTAGGCATTCTGCCTCCAGTGCTCCCATCCTGGCTCCTAAGCACTCTATTATATGGCCTCTTTCATCTTTAAAATGGGAATGATACCACCTAACTCAGGTGTGATGGAAGGATTAAATAAAACAGTATACATGAAAGTGTGAAGTGGCAAGAACAAGAAAGTATTAAGAGGGGGGTTTGTTTGAAGTAACAACAAAACCTGATAGACACTTTGTATGATTTAAAATAGGTTAAAAAAAATAAAAAAGATGGCAAATTCCACAAAGCATATGCAATGAACTAAAATCCTTACAGTAACTCGTTAAGAATACCATGGCGGAGAGTCCTTAGGCTCTTGCTCTCTGGCTGGAATAAAAAATTCTTGCCTGAGACTAGAAGGATATGCAATTTATCCCATGAAAATAATTGTGCAAAGCATTATCCTTAGCAGGCCAGATCAGTTAATATGCCAGTTTAGAAGCCCCATGAAAACAAGAGACTCGCCTTGTCTTTTCTTCCACTTACATCTTGCCACTTCTCTTATGTCAAAATAATATCTTGGTTTATACCCCTTCCTAAGTAATGCCTTAACCACTTCCTCTATCTATCCAAATCCTCTGTGCCTTTTGAGGTGCATTTCAAGCCCCAACCTCAGAGTTGTATCCATTAATTCATGCCCACAGTCTTCTTTTCTCTCCCTGACCTCTCATTACCTCTTTTATACTACTTAATCTCTGGTTAAATTTTCTTTTGTTGACATATAATTCATACACTGTAAAATCCACCTTTTTTTTTTTTTTTTTTTTTTTTTTGAGACAGAGTTTCGCTCTTGTAGCCCAGGCTGGAGTGCAATGGCGTGATCTCGGCTCACTGCAACCTCCGCCTTCCCGGTTCAAGGATTCTCCTGCCTCAGCCTCCCACGTAGCTGGGATTACAGGCATGTGCCACCACGCCCAGCTAATCTTTTGTATTTTTAGTAGAGACGGGGGTTTCTCCATGTTGATCAGGCTGGTCTCAAACTCCCAACCTCAGGTGATCCGCCCGCCTCAGCCTCCCAAAGTGCTGGGATTACAGGCGTGAGCCACCGCGCCTGGCCCACCATTTTCAAGTACACAATTCAGTGGATTTAAAAATTATATTCACAAGGCTGTTATAACCACCATCACTATCTAATTTCTGAATATTTTCATCACCCCTCCCAAAAAAAAACATATCCATGAACAGTTACTCCCCATTTGCCCTCCCTACAGTCTCTGGCAACCACTAATCTACTTACTGTCTCTAAAGATTTGCTTTTTCTATACATTTCACATAGATGGAATCATACAACTTGTGGCCTTTTGTGTCTGGCTTTTGTGCTTAGCATGCTTCCAAGGTTCATCGATGTTGAAGTTGTGTCAGTATTTCATTCCTTTTTATGGCTAAATCATATTCCATTGTATGGCTATATCACATTTTGTTTATTTATCAGTTGATGGACATTTGGGTTCTTTCCACTTTTTGTTTATTGTAATGAACAGTCTTGCACAAGTTTTAGTGTACACATACGTTTCCAATTCTCTTGGGTATATACCTAGCAGCAAAACTGCTGGGTCGTAAGATAACTCTATATTTTTCTTTTATTTTTATTTATTTATTCTTTTTCATTGCATCTCTTTAGCATATGTTTAACTTTCTCAGGAACTGCCAAACTGTTTTCCACAGTGGCTGTACCATTTTACATTCTCATCAGCAATGTATGAGAGTTCCAATCTCTCTACATCCTGGCCAACACTTGTTATTGTCCTTTTTTCCCCTAAATTACAGCCTTCCTAGTGTGTATGAAATAATATCTCATTATGGTTTTGATTTGCGTTTCCCTAAGGTCTCTGTTTATATTTTATATGATATATATTCTTCTAATCCATAGTCAGCAAACTTTATCTATGAAGAGCTAGATGGTAAATGTTTTATGCTTTGTGAGCCACATATGGCCTATGTCACATATTATTCTTTCTTATTTAAAAAAAAAAAACTCTTTAAAAAGTAAAAACCATTCTTAGCTTGAGGGCCATACAAAACAGGTCTTGGACCAAAGTTTGGTGACCTCTCCTCTAACTGTTTCATAATTAGCCTTGCCTTTGCTGTCAACGTCAACTTTGCTGAATGCAAGGTAAGGATTATTTTGTATTTCCACATAGAGATTTGCACAGGGTCTATGAATACAAGAACAGAGGTTCTAAAAATACTTGAACTGGGTCAGGCCTATAATCCCAGCACTTTGCGAGGCTAAGGTGGGTGGATCACCTGAGATCAGGAGTTCGAGACGAGACTGGCCAATATGGCGAAACCTGGTCTCTACTAAAAATACAAACATTAGCTGGGCATGGTGGCACAAGCCTATAGTTCCAGCTACTCAGGAGGCTGAGGCAGGAGAATCATTTGAACCTGGGAGGCTGAGGTTGCAGTGAGCCAAGACTGCACCACTACACTTTAGCCTGGGTGACAGAGCGAGACTCCGTCTCAAAAAAATAAAAATAAAAATACTTGAACTAAACTTTTTGCACAAAAAAAAAAAAGTCAATTAAAAAATACATATATTTGGAGCCGGGCACGGTCTCTCACGCCTGTAATCCCAGCACTTTGGGAGGCCAAGGTAGGTGGATCATGAGGTCAAGAGATCGAGACCATCCTGGCCAACATGGTGAAACGCTGTCTCAACTAAAAACACAAAAACATTAGCTGGGCGTGGCAGCGCATGCTGGTAATCCCAGCACTTTGGGAGGCCGAGGCAGGCAGATCACTTGAGGTCAGGAGTTCAAGACCAGCCTGGCCAACATGGCGAAACCCTATCTCTACTAAAAATTAAAAAATCAGCTGGGCATGGTGGCACATGCCTGTAATCCCAGCTACTCGGGAGGCTAAGGCACAAGAATTACTTGAACCTGGGAGGCAGAGGTGACAGCGAGCCAAGATCGTGCCACTGCACTATAGCCTGGGTAACAGAGCGAGACTCTGTCTAAAAAAAAAAAAAAAAAAAAAATTATATATATATCTCCCATAGGCATTATGCAATATAAAGGGTACTGGTTTTTTAAGTGATTATTAAAAGTACAAAGTCATTTTTCTTTTTTGAAACTAGCTAACTTGAAAGAATTTTGTTAAGAACCAGAAAAAGACTTTTTCATAATGCCCTTAAGAGTCAAAATTATAATCAATTAACTTAAAGACATACTTCTGAATCAAGTATTTCTAAATCCCACAACTACAAATAAGATTAAAATTACAGTAATACAATGTGGAAGAACTTGCTATCTGTTCCTCTTTATATATAGCCAAAACAAGCAAACAAACAAGACAGGAACACAGAAGACTTTTAGGGCAGCAAAACCATCTGTATGAAACTATAAGGTGAAGACGGGCGCAGTGGCTCACACCTGTAATCCCAGCACTTTGGGAGGCCGAGGCGGGCGGATCACGAGGTCAGGAGATCGAGACCATCCTGGCTAACATGGTGAAACTCCATCTGTACTAAAAATACAAAAAAATTAGCCGGGCGTGGTGGCGGGTGCCTGTAGTCCCAGCTACTTGGGAGGCTGAGGCAGGAGAATGGTGTGAACCTGGGAGGCGGAGGTTGCAGTGAGCCGTTGCAGTGATCGCGCCACTGTACTCCAGCCTGGGCGACAGAGCAAGACTCTGTCTCAAAAAAAAAAGAAAGAAACTATAAGGTGGACACACATCATTTTACATTTGTCCAAACCCATAGAATATACAAAACCAAAAGTGAACTCTAAGGTAAACTATGGACTCTGCATAATAAGTATGTGTCAATGTACATTCATCAGCTGTAACATATGTACCAATTTGGTAGGGGATTTGTTGATAATGAAGGAGACTATGCATGTGTGGGGGCAGAAGATATACGAGAAATCTGCTCAGTTTTATTGTAAACCTAAAACTGCTCTAAAAAAATTAAGTCATGCTTGCTTTGGCAGCACATATACTGAAATTGGAATGATATAGGGAAGATTAACATGGCCCCTGCATAAGAATGACACACAAATTCATGAAGCATTCCATGTTTTTTCAATGGTCTATTTTTTTAAATGGCATACTTTTCTGGTAAATGCAGAAAAGCCGGAAATTCAACAATTTGAATTTTATATTTTAGAAATTATAAGTAAATCATATAGAAGTCTTTCTGCATAGAAACTCTTTGATATAGGAGAATGAAAACTAATGCAAAAGATAGCAGACATAACTAGCTATTTATCTCAGGGCAAGTCACTGAATTTCTTTGAAGCCCAAACTTCTTATCTTTAAAAGTAGGAGTGACACTATCTGTCCTACCTTTTTCACAGAATTGTGAAGATCAAATGAGACAAACTTAGTAAATGTAAAAAAAAAAAAAAAAAAAAAAAAAGCACTCTACCACTCCACAAATATTACTTATATATATTGTTAGAAGAATTCTAAATCAAAACCAAGTTTTCACTATTAAAATAAGTGTAAACAAGAGTTCTCTGGGTCTTCATACTCATAACAAACATTTTTCCTAATAATCCTAATGACATCAATGAACAGTGTGGTGATTCTTTTTTAAGCCTAACAGAGGAATGAAAATCAGACCAAACTGGTCTCACATTCTGAATGGCATAAAGGTTAACCCAGTGCATAAAAGCATTCAGACCGGTTTTCCAGGTCTTAGGAACCTAAGACAACATTCATTCTTTTGCACCTTTAGCTTATTCTAGCTAAAAGAAATAATGTATTAAATATCCCTTTAAATACTAACCTCTCTGCTAAAAATTCTATGGGAACCAAACCTCAAAAATCAAGTCAGAATCAGTAATAAAGTTTTGATTATCAACAGCAAAAGAAGAAAGGGATATTAGGCAATGATAATATCTAATATTCTGGTCGTCGGCAAAGCCTGAGTCCTATCCTCTCACTCTCCTCCCCAGAGAGCATGAGCTTTACCACTCGCTTCACCTTATCCACCAACTACCAGTCCCTAAGCTCTGTCAAGGCAGCCAGCTATGGCGCCTGGCCAGCGTCTATCCAGGTGCTGGGGGCTCTGGTTCCCAGATCTCCGTGTCCCACTCCACCAGCTTCTGGGACAGCTTGGGGTCTGGCTGCAGGGATGGCCGAGGGGCTGGCAGGAATGGGAGGCATCCAGAATGAGGAGACCATGCAACGCCTCAATGCCTGGCCTCCTACCTGGACAGAGTGAGAGCCTGGAAACCGAGAACCGGAAGCTGGAGAGCAAAATCCAGGAGCACCTGGAGAAGAAGGGACCCCAGCTCAGGGACTGGGGCCATTACTTCAAGACCATCGAGGACGTGAGAGCTCAGATCTTCTTAAATACTGTGGACAATGCCCACATCGTTCTGCAGATTGACAATGCCCATCTTGCTACTGATGACTTTAGAGTCAAGTATGAGACAGAGCTGGCCATGTGCCAGTCTGTGGAGAGTGACATCCACGGACTCCACAAGGTCAATGATGACATCAATGTCACTTGGCTGCAGCTGAAGCCAGAGATCGAGGCTCTCAACGAAGAGCTGTTCTTCATGAAGAAGAACCATAAAGGGGAAGTAAAAGGCCTACAAGCCCAGATTGCCAGCTCTGGGTTGACCATGGAGGCAGATGCCCCCAAATCTCAGGACAGCAAGATCATGGCAGACATCTCGGCCCAATACAATGAGCTGGCTTGAAAGAATCGACAGGAGCTAGACAAGTACTGGTCTCAGCAGATTGAGGAGGGCACCACAGTGGTCACCACGCAGTCTGCTGAGGCTGGAGAGGCTAAGATGACGCTCACAGAGCTGAGACATACAGTCCAGTCCTTAAAGATTGACCTGGACTCAGTGAGAAATGTGAAGGCCAGTTTGTAGAACAGACTGAGGGAGGTGGAGGCCCTCTACTTCCTGCAGATGGAGCAGCTAAACGGGATCCTGCTGCAACTGCAGTCAGAGCTGGCACAGACCCGGGCAGAGGGGCAACGCCAGGCCCAGGAGTGAGTACGAGGCCCTGCTGAATATCAAGGTCAAACTAGAGGCTGAGATCGCCACCTACCACCACCTGCTGGAAGATGGCAAGGACTTCAATCTTGGTGATGCCCTGGACAGCAGCAACTCCATGCGAACCATCCAAAAGACGACCATCCACCAGATAGTGGATGGCAAAGTGGTATCTGAGACCAATGACACCAAAGTTCTGAGAATTAAGCCAGCAGAAGCAGGGTACCCTTTGGGGAGCAGGAAGCCAATAAAAAGTTCAAAGGTCACTGGAAGTCAAAAAAAAAAAAATACACACACACACACACACACACACACACACTGTTTGAACCTGGGAGGCAGAGGCTCCAGTGAGCCAAGATTGTGCCACTGCACTCCAGCCTGGGCAACAGAGCAAGACTGTGAAAAATAAATAAATAAATAAAATTTAAAAAATAAAATTCTCTACAAGAGTACAGACAGGTTGTGACCTAGATTTGAACTAAGAAATGTTAAACAGAAAAAAGTATTTACAGTCAAACCAAAAACCACCTGAACACAGACCTTAAAAGTGTTACTAAACGCCTTGAAGTTCAGGGTTCAAAGGAAGAAACTACAGTTAAATACCTATGACTAAACATTCTAAAAGCTATGATCTTAACATGTATTAGATCTGGATCCCTGGCCAGGCACACTGGCTCATGTCAGTAATCCTAGCACTTTGAGAGGCTAAGGTGGGAAGGGGTTAGGAGTTTGAGACCAGCTTGGACCTCATCTCTTAATTTAAAAGAAGGAAAAAAAAAAAAAGATCTAGAGCCCTAATTCTAAGAAACCTTACAGTAGCAAGAAGCAAACAATTGAAACATTAGCCATATCAATCTGTAAAGCATGTTGAGCTTTAGCTAAATATCTAGATTAATACAGAAAAAATGTTATAATAGTCCCTGATATAACCACAAATATCTGTTACGTTTATCTACATAATTTAAGGCAGCGATCCCCAACCTTTTTGGCAGAACCAGTTTCATGGAAGACAATTTTTTCACAGACTGGAGTGGGCGTGGGAGATGGATTCAGGATGATTCAAACGCATTACATTTATTGTGCACTTTCTTTCTATTATTATTACACTGTAATAATAATAATGATATGAAACAATTATACAGCTCACCATACTGTAGAATCAGTGGGAACCCTGAGCTTATTTTCCTGCAACTAGACAGTCCCATCTGGGGGTGATGGGAGACAGCAACAGATCATCAGGCATTAGATTCTCATAAGAAGCGTGCAAGCTAGATTATGTACATATGCAATTCATAATAGGGTTTGCACTCCTATGAGAATCTAATGCCACTAGTGATCTGATAAGAGGCGGGGCTCAGGCAGTAACACTCAACGCTGCTTACCTCCTGCTGTGCAGCCTGGTTCCTAACAGGCCATGGACCTTTACTAACTAGTCTGTGGCCCAGGGGTTGGAGACCCCTGATCTAAGGGTATGAGACAGTAAGAGACAAAGGAAAATATGACCAGTTACCCAAATTTAACAATAAAAAAACTTTAACTCCTTTTCTCAAAGTGCTAGTTTGACTAATGTTATCTTGGGTAACAAAAACTTGGAAAAAGCCAAGCATTAGGAAAAAATAAATCAACTAGTTCTGTGTTAAGAAGGTGTTCCACTCGTCTGTGCGCGGTGGCTCACGCCTGTAATCCCGGCACTTTGGGAAGCCGAGGCGGGCGGATCACAAGGTCAGGAGATCGAGACAATCCTGGCTAACACAGTGAAACCCCGTCTCTACTAAAAATACAAAAATTAGCCGGGTGTGGTGGCGGGCACCTGTAGTCCCAGCTACTCGGGAGGCTGAGGCAGGAGAATGGCGTGAACCCGGGAGGTGGAGCTTGCAGTGAGCCGAGATTGCACCACTGTACTCCAGCCTAGGGGACAGAGTGAGACTCCGTCCAAAAAAAAAGAAAGAAAAAGAGAAGATGTTCTACTCCAATGGATGCATTCATTCATTCATTCTTATTCCCTTAGTCTGCAATTGCTCAAATTTATTTATAATTTGGGAATTGAGGTTTTGTTTTGTTTTTTTTTTTTTTACAAAAAGGAAAACTGACAGAGAATTTAAAGACAGACACACCCTGTCTCTCCAAATTAGAACAAAACATCACTAGCTCTAATTGGCAGGGATCTCCTATTAAATGGTCAGAGGTATACTAGTGGATACAAACATACTAACATTTTTTAAAGCTTGCCAAACCCATGTTACGTTGTGGGAGAGAAAAAAAAGTGTAAAAAACAACCTGGTCATTTACTAAGGGTTCTATCAAATTCGCAGTGATGAGGGGTACAAAAGGAAAAGATGTTTACTTGTACAAGAATTCCTTACTGCCTTCAACTATATAAAAATGAAGCAAAAAGAATTGTGCAGTGCAAATATGACTCATTAAAAATGCTTCTGAAAGAATTCCTGGTAAATATCTAAATTAATTATCTTTTTTTCAGCACCTGATATAAACACGTGTGCACGTGTGTGTAATCTGAGGAAAACCCCACAGCACAGGTTTTCCACCTCACTGAAGCATCAGCTTTGAGCCCTAAGTCCTTCATCTTCTCCCACCTTATTGTTTCCCTTCCTTTTCTCCTAACCCACGACTCCAAGGGTGATCAACAGTGTAGCTTAGTAGTTAAGAACACAAGACTTTGGAATCTAGCTTCCTGGGTTTAAAGCCCAGTTCTGCCACTTACTAGCTCTGTAATCCTTGGCAAGTGTCTTAACCTCTCTGAGCCTCAGTTTCATCACAGGGATAACAGTGCCTGGCTCGCAGGGTTATTTGAGTAAATGAAATGGTATCTACAAAGATCATTTATGCGCCCAACACAGAATGGGAGTTCTATAAGTTATACACCACCATCTTTGAGTTAGTCTTTGCTCAGATTCCTCTATTCCATGTATTCCTGTTGTTTCACCCGCAAATCAGCCAGTACACATCAACTGTTAGTGAATCTTAAACTTTCTCTTCATTGGTGGAGAAAATATTATTATATAACTGATGTCACTACTTCAAATTCCTGGTCTGAAATCTCACCTGGACCCTCAGTACTGCACATCAATCCTTTTACCAATCTCTACTCCACTTCCTCTCTCATTACCTTCCTTCTTGATAAACTTAAGTCCAGTTACTATGATCTTTTTTCCTAAAGTCCCACTCAAAGGATGAGGCTGTCCCTTCTCACATTTAAGGTCAACCTTTCTACCTGCCCTATATATTTCCCCTGCAATTCCTACAAGCTAAAAACCTATAAGTCATACTTGACTGTACTCCCCATATATAATCAACAGTCGAGCTAGTTCTGCATATTGTTTCCTAAATAATTCTTTAAATTGCAAATTATTTTTATCCCTATTTCCACACTGTGTTAATAAGACCCTCATCATCTCTTAACCAAATTCCTCCAAGAGAAATCAAAGAGATTAAGGAGAATCAGCAGTGCAAATATCAGAAGCTGAGAGAGATATAATATTCTGATTGTTTTTCAGGTTGAGACTAGCTCCTTTTCCCACCAACTATGGATATACTTCAAGAGGTAAAACAAACTCTTGAAATGTTATACAAAACAAAACAAAAACAAATCTTTTTTAAAGCATAAGCATAATCTTCTAGGAGAGAAGAGGGCCCAATATGTGGCCCCAAAATTTCAAAATTTCAAAGAGATCTATGACCCTCCCCCTTCCCCAAAAAAAGTTTCATTATTCTAGAGAATAAGGCCCAAGCTCATTATCAGGCCTTGTAACATTCTACATAATCTGGCTCTGATCCATGTTAGTTTTACCAGCTGACCATCTATGTGAGATATCAAGAGTTGGCGAAGTGGATATCTTTTATTTGTGCATGTCTAGTATTCCTCCTTCTTTTGGTAACAGCCTTGTGACACTTTATTGGGAAACAATCCTTGTCTTCCTGAATGCAGTTGTGGTGAGAATGTCAATCAAGGTGTACCCACCTTTCACTGGGCAAGGGAGACATGTGACCTAAACTCAGCCTACACCAATCAGGCTGAGTTTCCCGGGAAGCTGAATCTTAGAGTGATGTGAGGAAGCAAAATGGCTAGAGCTGATTTTTTATGACTGTGGTACACTGAAGGCATTGTTCCTTACTATTACCTAGGTCCCTACCCCTGCAAACTGCTCTGGTTCTTCTTGGGACTTCTTGAGGCCTAAGTGCTCACTTTTTACTTAAATTCTGTTATTCAACATCCTCCAAATAAACATTTTTCTGCTTAAATTAACCATTTTAGCCATTTGTTCTTCCTTTTATTGGACAAATATATATTGAACCATGTAACGGTTAGTTGGACATGTCAACTTGGCTAGACTATAGTACCCAGTTATTCAAACAGATGGAAGTGTTGCCATGAAGGTATTATCTAAATGTGGTTAACATCCACAATCAGCTGACTTTAAGGAGATTATCGTCAATAATGTGAGTAGGCCTCATCCAATCAGTTGAAAAGCCTTAAGAGCAAAACTCAGGTTTCGCTGAAGAAGAAATTCTACTGAAAGACTGCATTATCAGCTTCAGCTACAGAATCTGCAATGTGTTGGCCTGCCATATAGATTTTGGACTTTCCAGCCCCCACAATCACATAAGCCAATTCCTTGAAATAAGTATCTTTATTTACATAATGTATGCATGTGTGTGTATGGTATGTGAATGTGTGTATGGTCTTATAGGTTCTGTAGGTATCTGCCCAGTTCTCTGAGAGAAGACCTACTACACACCAGTGCTGATGATAAGCACGGATTGTCATTTGCTTGCTGCTATGACTCTGAAATAAAGGACTCAGTTTCATGTACATCCACAAGGCATTTAAGTTAAATTCTGTACCAAAGAATAAAATCTCCAATGAACCATGATGGTTCTGTTGCTTGCAACCAAAGAACCCTAAATACAGTTATATATGTCATTGTTTGAGGAGGAGAGAGTTCACAAAGTTTCACTGTTTCAAATAGTGCTAATAAACAGCTTAAGCTCAAAGCTGTGAGTAGAATTTTAAAGTTCTAAACTTGATGCCAAAAAATTAACTTTCTAGAGTATCCCAATGTACAGAGAAATTTAAAAATGAAGGAATGTCCAAGAAAGAAAAGACGTCTAAAATAGTTATCAGAATGTGCAGGTTTGTTTACCTTACTTCAGGGGCCAGCACACTATGAACCACAGGCCAAATCTGGGCCACTGTCTGTTTTTGCGTGGCTTGTGAACTAAGGACTGTTTCTATATTTAAGGACACCTTCAGTGTTCATAAATAAAGGAGACACAATCACTCTCATTTGCTTATGTAAATGGCTTTCACCCTATAACAGCAGAGTTGAATATCTGCAACAGGGACCATATGGCCCCAAAATCCTAAAGTACTTACTATCTGGCCCCTTACAAAAAAAATTAGCTGGCCGGGCGCAGTGGCTCACGCCTGTAATCCCAGCACTTTGGGAGGCTGAGGTGGGCAGATCACAAGATCAGGAGTTTGAGACCAGCCTGACCAACACGGTGAAACCCCATCTCTACTAATAATAACAAAAAATTAGCCGGGTGTGGTGGCGCACACCTGTAGTCCCAGCTACCCGGGAGGCTGAGGCAGGAGAATCACCTGAACCCAGGAGTGAGCCAAGATCACACTACACTCCAGCCTGGGCGACACAGCGAGACTTTGCCTCAAAAAAAAAAAAAAAAAGGCTGGGCACGGCGGCTCACGCCTGTAATCCCAGCTCCTTGGGAGGCCAAGGCGGGTGGATCACGAGGTCAGGAGATCGAAACCATCCTGGCTAACATGGTGAAACCCTGTCTCTGCTAAAAATACAAAAAACTAGCCGCGCGTGGTGGCAGGCGCCTGTAGTCCCAGCTACTCAGGAGGCTGACGCAGGAGAATGGCGTGAACCTAGGAAGCGGAGCTTGCAGTGAGCTAAGATAGTGCCACTGAACTCTAGCCTGGGAGACAGTGAGACACCGTCTCAAAAAAAAAAAAAAAGTTAACACCTACTCTAGTTTATCAGAAGACGCATTAACTTCAGGAGGAATAAGCAAGAAAGGGGTAAGAAATGTTAGAAAATAGACTACAAGAAAGGAATAAACTAATTAACTGTTATTTATTGTACATTTACCATGCATAAAATACTGTTTGAGCACTTTACATCTACTAGTATTTTTAATCCTCACATTTCTGTGGGGTGGGGATTATTGTCCCTTTATTTTAATTTAATTTAATTTAATTTTTTGAGATGGAGTTTCCCTCTTATTGCCCAGGCTGGAGTGCAATGGCTTGATCTCGGCTCACTGCAACCTCCGCCTCCCGGGTTCACGTGATTCTCCTGCCTCAACCTCCCAAGTAGCTGGGATTACAGGCATGCACCACCACACCCGGCTAACTGTTGTATTTTTAGTAGAGACAGGGTTTCTTCATGTTGGTTAGGCTGGTCTCAAACTACCAACCTCAGGTGATCCGCCCACCTTGGCCTCCCAAAGTGCTGGGATTATAGGTTTGAGCCACTGTGCCCAGCCTACTGTCCCCATTTTATAGACGAGGCAAAAAGGCTAAAACTAACTTGTCCAAGCTCAACATACATAAATTATGGAGCCAGGATTAAAACTCTGGCACTGTGGCTCTAGCATCAGTGTGGTTAACTACAATACTATATTGCCTTACCAGTCATCTTCTTGTCTATCTAATCTGTACTATGCAAATATTATTTTTCTTTAGAATTAAAGTATACAAACACTATGGATGAACCAATACTAGAATAAATTAGAAATCTGTGGTGGTACATTTCTTAGAGAATTTAAAGGATTACAAAGACCTATGTGCATGCGCGCGCACACACACACACACGCACACACCCCTTCCTTCTAGAAGATAGAGAAACTGAGGAAGATGGCCCCTTGGATTCAACCATTGCTTTCCCGCAAACCATATTTGAACTCTGAAGCTGAGGCAAGCTTCCATATGCAGGCTAAGATAAAGAACGTTCTCCTCCCACATCCCCTGCATCATTATGACCAATTAATTAAGAATCTGGAAGGTGGAGCCAGAATGTGGATATTTCTCAAAGCTCCCAGTTAAATCTAATGTATAGCCAAGCCAGCGTTGCAATCCACCACACTATACGTTCTCTCCTCTCAAGGAGAAGAGTGGTAAGAACAGAATAAGAGTGAAGGGAGGAGCAAGCAGAAAGATGAGAGAAACTTGACAAAACTTATCTCTGAAGAATGGAATTTTTATTTGCTAACATGCTAATATAGAACTAGTCTTCTTGTCTCATTGCTACACCTGAAGACTTAAAAACAAAAGGAATTGTAAAAAGAAAACTAATTATTTCTATATATGCATATATGTACATATGCATGTTTTTACAGGAAACTTCTGTAAGGATACACAGCAAACTGATAACCATTATTTTTGTCTCATTTGCATTCTTTTCTTGATCTGTACTTTTCAGGGCATTACTTGTATTCCTTTTAAAATACATTACTTAACAAAAATAGTGGTGTTTTTTGTTTTTTTTGAGACAGGGTCTCACTGTCACCTAGGCTGGAGTGTAGTGGCACAATCATGGCTCACTGCAGCCTCAACCTCCCATGCTCAAGCGATCCTCCCACCTCAGCCTTCTGAGTATCTGGGATTATAGGTATGCACCACCACACCCTGCTAATTTTTTGTTTTAATTTTTGTAGAGACAGGGTCTCACTATGTTGCTCAGGCTGGTCTCAAACTCATGGGCTCAAGCTATCCTCCTACCTTGGCCTTCCAAAGTGCTGGGATTACAGGCGGGAGCCACCATGCCTGGTCAAAAATAGTGAATTATTAAAAAATCGTGTGTTAACTAAAAGGATGTTCAAGGATTACTTTATTATTACTTTGAATAGGAAAATAATTATAAAAAAGAGCTAGTAACAATTATTTAATACTTTCCTGAAAAACAGCTTACTTTTAAGTCACTACACAAAACATAAAAATCTCTCAACTTTTATGTACTGTGAAGATGTATACTCTAACAAATCTATTAAAGAATCCCTGCTATCAGATGGCTATTATTAATTAAAGTCTTACTGATACTAATTTATCACAATATTTAGTGAGGAAAAAATGTTTTAAATAATGAGAAATAATAAAATGAAAACATTTGAAGTTTTATAAAACACAAAATATCACATAGTTTTATAATCACTTATAATAGTCTCACATAATATTTAGTTAAAATCAAATATTGTCCTAAAAATAAGTTAAACATCCTCCTTACATGGACTATTCAGTTAAATGAATTTGAAGTTTTTATATGGCTTCAGTCTTCAAAAAACAAAGAAGTAGGCAAAGGTGGAGGGTAAGGCTTTATCTAAGCAATCACAGGCTTGGCCAAAGGTCTAAGTGATAATGAGTTAATGCTCAAGCATGGGTTGTCATTTGTTTGCAGCTGTGATTCTGAGATAAAGGACTCAGTTTTGTGTACATTCACAAAGCATTTAGGTTAAATTTTGCACCAAAGAATACAATCTCTAATCTAGTTAAATGGTAAACCTCGACACAAAATCACCATTGTGATGTTAATTTTCATAAACACACCATGCAAAAAGCATACCACTACCATGAGGGGAAAAAGTTGGCTTTTCACTTTGATAGACGCAGACCCACAATCCAAAGCAAGGTAAACCTCTGTAATAAGCTTAACCTGGCTGTGGTGACAATTCAACTCCAAGGGAGGCTAGTGTCAGACAACAGTCCTGTCTGAAATGCCTGGGTACTGACTACCATTTTTTATATTTATTTGATTAGTTTTCATCCTAGCGGTGAGTGCAGTACTCTCATGAGAGATTTTTCATTACAAAGGTAAACTAACTCTTCCAGAACACTAAAACCATTTGAGAATCTCACCTGACAGTATGTCCTAAGGAAAAAAAAAAAAGTTCATAATGTATTAGTTACTAATAGTATATAGTATCAGAATCAACATTTAAAAATTTTAACAATGCTGTGAGTGGCTACATTTAAAGAAAGAATAGTCTCAGAAAAAAATTAGCATTTTTAGAAACTAAACACATTTCTACTTTAAAAAGCAAAGTGTAATTCTTCTGCAATGTTTACTGTTTTCTCATAAAGAAACCTACATAAATCCAGCCAAAACACCAGACTCTTAAAAAATCGGATTCTAATTCAGAAAAGTGTTACCTACTATAACATCTATTCTGATATTTTGAGCTATATTAGATTAATAAACCTCAGGAAAATCTATGTATAACTCTGAAGGTATAAGTAGAGAACTACAGAAATAAGCAGAAACAACACAGTATGATGTACCTAAACTAAACACATTACCAGAAATGTAAAAAAGATAGTGTATCTCCTTTAAAAAGAATAAAACCTTGATAGCAGAAAGAGTCCAAAATACTTCAATCAATAAACCAAAGATTAAAAGGCATATTTGACAGAAATGTTATGGTTCCAAGTATTCCCAGAAAGCTCACAGCTCAATAGCTTGTTTGTTCACTATGCAACTTTGATGTGCCTTTAGAGTTCTGAATTACTGCCTGGACCTAAAAGTCCTCAAAAATCTGTATTATTCTAGACTACTTAAAATACATATACTTGTCTTAAAAAAAAAAAAGATAAAAACCAACACCTAGCCAAAATTCAACTGTGACTTATCTGCCTACTTATTAGAACATGTTATATTTCCTGATACAAAAGTAATTAACATCTGGTCCAATACCAGAGTAGGCAAATAAAGGAATGAAAAAAATAGAAAACACAGGGTACGGTGGCTCACACCTATAATCCCAGAACTTTGGGGGGCAAAGGTGGGTGAATGGCTTGAGCCCAAGAGTTCAAGACCATTCTGGGCAACACAGCAAAGCACTGTCTCTACAAAAAATACAAAAAGTTAGCCAGGCATGTTGGCATGCGCCTGTAGTCCCAGCTACTCAGGAGGCTAAGGTGGGGGAATCACCTGAGTGGATAAGCCGTGACCCTGCCACAGCACCCTAGCCCGGGGGTAGGATTAAGATTCTGTCTCAAAAACAAAAACAGAAAAGAAAGAAAGAAAGAAAAATAAACACAGAAAAAGACCAGCACATATAAAGTACTTTCAATTCATAAATGACCCAGAATTCTATTACAAATGGGAATTTATGCTGCAGAAATAAAAAACAAAGACATACGCAAAAACAAAACAAAATGGGAAAGAAAAGATCCTTCCGTAGAAGAATGGACAAATTACTATGTATCATACAGCTTACAAGAATGAGGTAGAATTATACATAGTGATATGGGATGACTAAAATCTCTCAGGCAAAATGCGTTAGGCAAAAAAGCAACTTGCTGTAGTTAAGGAACAATATATTTTTCTTTTTTAAGAGACAGAAACAGCTATATAAAATTATTTATATGTAGGTTTTATATAAATAATATATATAGTTATTTATGTTAGGATATATACAGGAAAAGGCTAGACAAAGATTGATTTTGATGGTGGCTGTCCTTGGGGAAATGGACTTTCACTTTCTAAGTCATATACACCAAAAAATATTAAAATGTACAGAATGAAGTAATTCTACTTTTTGGAATTTATCCTACAGAAATAATTAAGGATGCATGGAAAAATTCAACTATAATGATATTCATAGTAGAACTTTTATAATAAAAAATTGAAAACTATAGACAAATCATTTAAACAAATGATGGCAAATTCACATACTACTATACATCTATAGTATTTATCCATTAGAGATGGGGTACTGTTAAAAGATACTCATTTATCATGAAAATTCACAAAATATTAAGAAAAACAGGAGCATGAAGTATTATGTATCTGATTTCATTTTCATCAAAGAAAAGGCATATATGCATTGAACATCACTGAGAAAGATGTACACCAAAATGTTAACAAGTTGTAAGGTAAAATTAAAGGTGATTTTTCTTTTGGCTTATTGCATGCATTCTCAACAGGAGCAGTATCACCACCAATGGGGTGAAAATTGGCTCTTGAGGGGCAAAAAAATAATTCTTATTCTTTTAGTGCATAAAACACAGATATACATACAATACATAAACAAATATACAGTTATATCTGTGGCATTAAAATTTCATGAGGGGGACAATTAGAAAAATATCTAAAAAGGCTGAGAAATAATGTCTAATTGGTACTTTATTTTTTTCTACAGTGAACTTGGTATTACTTGAGTTTGACTTAAGTAATCTATGTACATTTAACTAATTGAAAAAGTAAAACAAAACATAACCATGGAAAGCTAAGATATATCATTAATTTTCATTATTAACTATAAAATGTACTTCTTTATTCCTATGGCTTTAAAAATATAATACAAACCATTTTTTAAAAATAACACTAAAATGAAAATATGGAGATAAATAAATTGAAAAAGCATCTCATCAGAATCATCTGAGGATCACAGGAGTAAAATACAGCACCCTAGCCCTATCACAGACCCATAAAATCAGTATTTCTGCAAGGTTATGAGGTATACCGGAGTAGCTTTTATTAAATGAAGCACACTTACATCATCACACCACTCCATGGAAATATGAAATCTAGACAGGAAATATATTTTAATTTGGCCTGAGAGATTTAAAAAATTATGTACTGAAGTAATAGAAATAATATAAGAGCCTAGAAATCTAGAAATTCCCAGTCAACTCACCCCTTTCCTTTAATGAATTCAAAGATTTACATTTCTTGGTTGGGAGCAGTGGCTCATGCCTGTAATCCCAGCACTTTGCGAGGCCAAGGCGGGTGGATCACCTGAGGTGGGGAGACTCAGCCTGACCAACATGGAGAAACCCTGTCTCTACTAAAAATACAAAATTAGCTGGGAGTGGTGGCGCATGCCTGTAATCCCAGCTACTCAGAAGGCTGAGGCAGGAAAATCCCTTGAACCTGGGAGGTGGAGGTTGCAGTGAGCCGAGATCACATCATTGCACTCCAGCCTGGGCAACAAGAACGAAACTCCGTCTCCAAAAAAAAAAAAAAAATTTACCTTTCTTCACAAACTACCAAACACACCTTATTGTTCATTATCTCCACTGGGCGCAAGACATTGTGAAGAACAGAAAAGAAATAAGCAACACTCATGAATTGAATTGCTACTAAAATAAACTTACTTTATTGCCATAGTGTTTGTTGTCTAAAATCAAGAGTTTATCTAAATCTGCAAAAACCAGTATTAACTACTGGCTTTCCCCGGGCACTAAATTCACAAAGAAACAGTTTTTAATTCTAGGATGAAAATTAAGTAGAGAACAAAAGTCACGTCACTGTTGGGTAATAAAAACTGGGATACTGTCAGCTATATTCAATTCTCTAGTTAACAGACTTGTTCAGCACATCAGCCTTGAATTCAAAATTTTGCCTATACCAGATTATAAATTTTTCATGCTAAATACTTTAGGTCTAAACTATTAAGTCGTGAATGCCAAAGATTTATTGTATACATAAACAATGAAACTACCTAAGTGAGGAACTAACCGTCCCACTTAATTAATGGGGAATACACAGGGTTGACCAAAATAGGGGATACATGGCATAAGATATTGTTCCAGTCCCTAGGGATCTTTTACCTCAGTTTCATGGAAACATCAATGCTGGCCAGGCACAGTGGCTCACACCTGTAATTCCAACACTTTGGGAGGCTGAGGTGGGGGGATCACCTGAGGTCAGAGGTCAGGAGTTCAAGACCAGCCTGGTCAACATGGTAAAACTCCATCTCTACTAAAAATAAAAAGATTAACTGGGTGTGGTGGCACAAGCCTATAACCCCAGCTACCTGGGAGGCTGAGGCATGAGAATTGCTTGAACCCTGCAGGCAGAGGTTGCAGTGAGCAGAGATTGCAGCCACTGAACTCCACCCTGGGCGACAGAGTGAGACACTGTTTCAGAAACAAAACAAAACACAAAGAAAACAAAGAAACATCAATCCCAACTTTGGGGTAATAACAGCAGCAATAATTTTAAGTGCTTCTTGTACCTCAGGCATGCTTATTTAATCCTCAAACAAGATATAGATATTGTTCTTTCTCCACTGACAGATGAGAAAACTGAGAAAAACTGGTAGGCACTACATGCAAACTTTTGCAAAGTGTTTTGCCTGCTGACCACAAATACAAATGACCAAATATTCAAAGCAAGATTTTGCATACCATTTATATAAATAAGTTTAAATCCTATAATTAAACACTTATCCATAAAACAGCATATGACGTAACTGAAGCAAATCTGAGTTAGAAGAATCAAAAGGTTTCCAAGGCAAGGTACAACAGTACAAAATCTTTCCTATTTCTCCCATCCCCATGCCCAGAAAATGGCAACTTAATTTTGCATCTGTTTTAGTTTTAAAGGAAAAATGTTTACCATAACATAAAATTCCATTTCAGAAATCCTATTTATTATTTGTAAAGCCTTTAACTCATTTTATCACCTAAGAATCTTTATCTTTAAAAGCTTTATTAAATTTAATTTCATACTCTATAATGAATTGATTTTAGAACTTTTAGTTTGATTATAAAATATATGAACAGGCCAGGCGTGGTGGCTCATGCCTGTAACCCTAGCACTTTGGGAGGCCGAGGCGGGTAGATCATGAAGTCAGCAGATCGAGACCATCCTGGCCAACATGGTGAAACCCCGTCTCTACTAAAAATACAAAAATTAGCTGGGCGTGGCGGTGCGTGCCTGTAATCCCAGCTACTCAGGAGGCTGAGGCAGAAGAATCGCTTGAACCCAGGAGGTGGAGGTTGCAGTGAGCCGAGATCACACCACTGCACTCCAGCCTGGCAACAGAGTGAGACTCCATCTCGAAAAAATAAATGAATAAAATAAATAAATAAATAAATACATACATACATACATATATATATATAAATGTAAAGTTCATAAAAGGCTTAACAAGGGAAATAAAATATATGACATATAATAATACATATAATATATAACATATAATAAAATATCTATAACCCATACATCAGAGATAATAATCTAGGTCTTTTGGTGTTTCCTTTTAGCCTATATTCTACATATGAATAGATATATATTTTAAAAATAAGTACTAAAATCATACTATGTAAACACTGGTAATCTGCATTTACCAATGTAACAATAGAGAACTTTTTAAAAATAGCACAGACAAATGCAATTTTATGATTGATTTTCTATAGAACACTTTGGCCTATATAACTAAAAAATATTTATTATATTGTGAAAATTAACCAGGGAGGGAAGAGATAGTTGGTCCTTCATATAAAGGGCACTCTCTCAAATATTTGAATGTTTTTAAAATCACCTTTAAATTTTACTGATTAAACAGCCAATTTCTTTGCACTATTAAAAAACTTCACATGTCCATCTTTGGTATACCAACACACAGAGGACACTGAACATGTGGTTATGGGAGTGTTGTTATAAATGCAAAAGATCAAAATTGACTACAGGCTCAGCCCAGAACACTAGAAGTTAAGCAGAGTCAGCTAAGAAAACCACAAAGCAATGATTCTTTATGTCCAATATTTAAGGCCTACTATATAGCTTATGTACCCATGTAGGCAGATGGCACTGAGTGGTGACACATCTCAAGTATGTTCTGTTGTGACAGCAGTCCACGTCTGAAGCCTAATGGGAATATTAGGATGAGTATATCATCTAAAACCCTCCAACCCATGGTTTCTACTGCAGATTTTGGTTGGTTCTTGAATTATAATGCTATCATATTCCAATGTAAAAGTTGTAACACTTGAGTGAAATACTAGTCAGAAGTTATTAAACAGTAATTTAAAATTCAAAGGGATGTTTTACAACTGAGGTTTGTCCTAGGTGTGAAACTCGGTATTTAAAAGACACAGAAACTTTTTAAGAGTATATACTATTTGACCAATTTCGAGATACTAAAGTCCCAGGCTTCTTACCAGTTGAACGAAAAAGAAACACTACCGAAATAACCTAATATATGAAAATCTAAACATGCAAATAAAGGTGTGTCTGATTATAAGATTCTCCCTCCCAAATCACTTGCCTATGGTTTTTCTTAAGTTAATCTGATATCCTTAAATAATCACACTAGTTTTTATAGATACACATCTATAGAGCAAATTGATACTTGCACTTTATATGCCAAACAATTTTCTGAAGCATAAAAACTTCATGCCAGGGGTTATGTATGTCATTACCAAATCAACTGTATGATTAGAATGGAGAACAGCAGGATGCAACAATAGGGCAGTCTAAAGCTGACATACAGAAATCCACCAGGAAAAATTAAAAACCAACACTTTGAGGATACCAAGAACCAAAATATCACATAAAGTTATCTTTTATAGACCTGTCATACCAAGTCTCAGACAACTAGAAACAAATTTTAAAATATGTTACCTCTTCACAACAACCCTCTTCATTCGATCTAGGTTTATTGTCCTTCCAACTCAAACCAACAAGACACCATACCTCATGAAGTAGTAATTATACTGCCACAAATGGTGACAGATTAATCATATTCTCTCTGAAGGTCCCTGCAGGCTGCAGTATCTTTTTTTTTTTTTTTTTTTTTTTGAGACCAAGTTTTGCTCTTGTTGCCCAGGCTGCAGTGCAATGGCACCATCCTGGCTCACCACAACCTCTGCCTCCCAGGTTCAAGGGATTCTCCTGCCTCAGCCTCCTGAGTAGCTGGGATTACAGGCATGCGCCACCGCGCCCAGCTAGTTTTTTTGTATTTTTTTTTTTAGTGAAGACGGGGTTTCTCCATGTTGGTCAGGGTGATCTCAAACTCCCGACCTCAGGTGATCCGCCCGCCTCGACCTCCCAAAGTGCTGGGATTACAGGCATGAGCCACCACACCTGGCCGTAGGCTCCAATATCTAATCCAAAGTATTCTACTCCTTCAACCATAATTTACCTCCTCCTAGCCCTCATTCCATCAATTTCATTTCTCTTTTTTGAGAAAATAAATTCCTTTTCCACAGTCTAGCACGTCAACTTCCATGTGTTATTCCCCTATGGTAAATTCTGTATCATAATTACGTTCCTTTCTCAACCTTACTCTGATTTCTTTCAATTTCTCAATTACTTATATTTACTTTCATCCTCTAGGTATCCATTCCTATGATATTCATTTAAAAGAATACTAAACTTAGAATTTATTAAGATATTAATTAATTTGAAGGATTAGAAACTTTATAAACACAGGGTTTAGAGATTTCATACTCCTATTCTGCCTGGGTGTAGGCATTAGTTTAAAAAAAAAAAAAAGCCCTCATTTATCCTACTAACCATTAAATGACCCAGAATTATGAGTTCATATTTCTGAGCAACAAATCACACACTTTGATATTCTAATAGAAGACAGAAACAAACACATGCCACCAACCCTGCCCCACTCCCCACAGACTGTGATAGATATTAGGCAGACAACTAACACTGGCTACATAAACATTTGGACTACTGTAATTCCATCACCTCATTTCAGAATACTAAATTCTTAAATGGTTACAAAAAAAATTAAGATATAAACAGAACCAAAAGATGTTATTGATAATGAACACTATGGTGCAAAGCAGACTTTTTTTTTTTAAAGCCAAAAACTCTACAAATTACTCAGTTAACAAAGCCCAAGAGAAAATTATACTTTGTAAGTGTTTGGTCTTTATTTCTCTCCTCAGGATTTTCACCGTATGATTTATGGAAAAAAAGACAGGTTAAGTCACTTTATTTCTGAAGAAATTTTCTAGACTCATTTAGGAGAAAAATGGTGTGACTCACTGAAAACAGTATAGGGACAGAGGCAGTCTCCTGTCATTTACTCATTCATTCATGTTTACATTTAAGCAAGATACAAATATGTATTGATCACCTATTTTCTGCTTTGTATTGCAAAAGTCCCTTCTTCTGGAAGTTTACTACCCACGTGATTCTCTATAATTAGAGCTGTGTAAATTTTCACAAATTACATAATTACTTTGAGTTTCATCACCTGTAAAAAAACTGGACAATAACAATATCTACTTTGTAGATTTACTGTGCAAATTAAATAGGATGTAAGGGGTCTACACTCAAAAACATATGAGTTCCCTTCTCCCTGTAGGTCCATTACAGATAGGACATTAATCAATGGCTCCCAACCTTTCTATAAAAAAACTTTATTCTATTCCATGGATTTCACGTGTTTAAAGATCTTTGTCTACCAACTGCAATGACATCTTATTAATCACATAAGTAAAAGCTAATCAAAATTCTCAAATTGCCAAAGACTTAAAAACTAACAAAACCCAGTGCTAGGATCTTGAAGGGATAAGTACAATATTTTATTTCCTTAACAATCTGCAAATCGCTACAATGTATGATAATGATTTGAGTCAATATAATCACTGGTCAAAGAAAAGATACATAATATTTTATCTGTATAAGTCTATTTAGGGTAAATGCACAATTTTCATTTGACTTTTTGTAATACTAATCATAATTCCTTCCTATCTCTGCAGATCCCTGGGAAAAACATAATTTATGGACCAGGAATTAGTGATTCTGTATGTCTAGAAAAACTACTGGTTACCCTACAGATTTAAATGAGTATTATTAGTAACACCATCTTCAAATTCACAAGTTGCATATATTTACCCATAAAGAGAAATAATGATATCCAGTGAGCTGTTCCCTATCAACCTCATCTACCAGGCTTTTCCTAGCCTTGTGATGACAAGGGTCTTTTTGTTCTTCCTCAAACATGATGATCTGCTTCCCACTTTAGGGCCTTTGCACCAACGGGCCCTTTCTCTGCCTGGTTCATTCTTCTTATATACTGTTATATGTCTGGCATTTTGTAATTCAGGTGCCACATTAAATATCACCATCTCAGCGAGCTTTTCCACAACACTCAATTTAAAACCCTTTCATCATTCTCTATCATTTCATCTTGCTATAGTTTCTTCATGGCATTTGGGACCTCTGAAATTATCTTATTTACTTGTTTTTCTACTGTGTCTCTCTACTATCATCAACCCTTCAGTGGTATAAAAATTGCCATGAAAGCACGTCTTATTCACTGCTAAATCTGTGGTTCCTAGAATAGTATCAAGCACTCAATAATCACTCAATAAATACATGTTGGACGACTAACCAAACTGTTTATTATTACTGTAGGGAATGATTTCTTAGTCAAGAATTTATATTTAGCATTCAAAATTGCTGATTCAAAAGGAGTATGAAAAAATCTTCTGATAAAGAAAAATGTACATAATATTCTATTCAACCAGTACACTTCATTTTGTTTTATTTTAATCCTTTGGGATAGAAGCATATAAAAGTCTATTCACATTTCAGACATTTCGTATTTCACCTCATGTAAAAATTAAATGAACTATCTTATAACAGTATCCCATAAACTGCTAGCTACTTAATTTAATAATTTATTTTTTCTGTCAAGATGCAAGCAAGTTTCTAAAAATGTAAGACAACAGGCCATCATAGTGGCAATGCCAGAATGGCCCAAACTAAGGACTATGCTATTCTCTCAGCTATAGTTTAAGGAGTAGGAATGATGGGGAGAGAATGACTGTAGTTCAGATTCTGCTGGACAAACAGGCAGAAGTATCCTCAAACCTATTTAAAAGAGACTCTTATAGTTTGTAGACATTAAATCATCGTTTTGAATATCTGAGATCCCTTTAGCAAATGAAATTTCATTCAGTTGACCAGATCTGGGCTTTTGCAGATTCACACAGGAAAAACACAGTATTTGTAAAAAAAAGTCACACGCACACAATCCCCAACACTACGAGCACTGTGAGTTACATTTGCTTATTAATTTAAAAATATTTTCAAGGATAGTTTTAAAGGGAAGAGATTTGAATAAAAATAATAAGTACTTTATTTCTGAATTTAGGCAGTATTTGGAAACTAAAAGAAACATTAAGAAAGGTATGATAACTCACTGTTTTAAAAAATGCAAACACCTTATAAGTATCACAAGCCTGTATTTTTTTAAATTGGTGGTTGCTTCTTTTCTCCATTGGAAGATACCGAGCAGACAATTCACAGTTCATGTGAGTTTACTTATCAGTCAAAAAGAAATACTATTAATATCAATCTCTGGCTAACTTGCTTTATATTATTCAGTCAAGTGGAAAGTATGAGTAGAGCTCTAGTCAGGTTCTAGAATGACTAAAAATGGCATCTGCAAACTCTCTTTTTTTAATTAGGAAAATTCAGGGCTGAGAGAGAAAACAGGAACACTAAAAGTAATGTTTTTCTAAACATCATACACACAATTTCCCATTTTTTTGCTCCTATATTTTACTTAGAAGCTGCTTAACAAACAAGAAGTCTGTATTTCACTTCTCATCACCTCTGCTCACACGACTGGTTTTTTTAAAGTCCTGCAGCAATCACAAATGCTACAAAAACCACATGCAGAAGAATTTCACCTTACAGTGAAGAGTTTTAAGGTAATAGCTCCAGAAATACAAAGTCTAAAAGCGAGGATATCCTGTTAACCAAGAACTCAAAATGCTAACTAAATAAAATTACTGCAGGAGATTGTACATATATATTTTTAAAAGCATAAATATATGCTTTTTACTGACGAAATGATAGGAATCTTGGAATGTTTTATCCTTCAATTTTTAAAAAAACAATAGTAACAACCAAAGTGTACTGAGTCCCATCTTCTCTCAAAGGCTGCCTAACTGCATGTAAGCCTAGGCTGTTTCTTTTGAATTTGATCTCCAAATTGGTTGTACAGATCTTCACAAACATGAAGCCTAAGCACTTCCTCCAAAACCCTCCCTTTTGTTTTCCTTTAAACCCTCAGATCTTACCTTACCTGTGTTACTATTAATCCAGATTCCCTGTCTTCAACCTCTTCCTTCCTCAATTCATTCTTTACTCTACAAGCGAATTCATCTGCTTTTCGATGAATGCTTTTATCAAGTCATTTTCCACATACCAAAGCTTGTACTCCTGAAAAAGTCTACACTTATCAACGTAGCATTCAATGGCTTAAAAGTCTAGCCCCAATCTCCATAATTCTCCCTTATCTCCATATTTTCTAACTATACAAAAGCCTAGGCTTCTGTCAAATTAATCACCTGTCCTCCAACTTCTCCTGAACTTTCTTTCTATCTTGGCACATGCCATTCCTACCACAAAGAATGTCCACCATTCCCCTCCTGCTGCCACTGCTCACCACAGCCCATTTGCATTTCAGTATTTATTCATGTAAACAGAAACACAAAAATGAGATATTTCTTGCCCTTGAGGAGACTGGCAGAAAAAACAAATTTAACGAAAATAGCTAGTTTTTATTAAATACCTATGTGCCAAGTGGTCTTACACATTATTCTAATCCTCTCAACAATCCTATGGGGTAGATATTATTCTCCTTTTATAAAAATAAGGAAGCCAAGGTTCAGAAAAATCAAATCATACACATATTTAGCAGGTTGCCTCCAATCATGTACTTAGTAAGTGGCAAAGCAAGGACACAAACCCAGGCTGCCCAACTCCAGAGCTACTGCTCTAAACATTCACAGATTTTTTTTTTGTTTTTTCAAAGTCAGAACCATGTGACTACCCCCCTCATCTATCTGAAATAATTTAGTTTTACATAATATTTATATTTATTACATACTATAAAACAAGCTTTCTCATGTTTGTCATTTTAATAAAAGAACATTAAAATTCTAGCTCTCCAAAAAAAAAAATGCTGAAATTCCAACTTTAATCAGTAATTTTTTTTTTGGTCACAGATTACTTTTACCTAAAATATTTTTAAAGAAACTCATTTCAGGACAATTGCAAATTTCTTTCATACACTATGATGGTTTTACAGATTATTAATAATATGAGGATTTCTGCTATTACCACCCAAGAATGTAACAGATATCTATCACATTGGCAAAGATTGTAAAAACTGACCTACTCAATGCCATTGAAGGTGCAGTGAGACACATACTCTTATACACAGGGTAATCACCCTCTGATCCAGTTATCCCACTTCTGGGAATCTATCCTACAGGAAGAAAAAAAAAACAGAGATGCAATCAAAGATACATGTACAAAAAATGTCTGTCCCAGTGTTATTTAAAACAGTAATATTATAAAGAATCAACTTTAAAGTCTCAAACTAGGAGACCAACATCCCATTCAGGAAAAAAAAGTATGATCAAAACAGTATATATAAAGTTATAATTCTAAGTTTCGTAAAAAAAATAAATAAAAAATCCGTACATGCAAGGAATAAACTGGAAAAATGTATATTAAAGTATCAGTAGTAATTTTTTCTGGATGATAGGATCATGGATGTTTTCAATTTATTCTTTACACTTAACATTTTTTTCAAAATTTGCCACAGTATAACATGAATTACTTTAAACAGAAAAAAAAATGTTTAAGCAGTTATAACCACTGAAAAAGATCCTGAACCTAACAAGGGCATATTACTTGGAATAAGAAATACATTTCCTAGTGCAAAGAAAACGTCAGACTTGTTACCAGCTTCTATTATGCCCAGCAGCTTGTTTCCAGCTTCTATTATGCTCACCTTTACTTTTAGGTTGTGTAAAGAATGTCATCCAAAACTCAGTAGTACCTGTATTTATGAAACTGCACAAGGCTCACTATCTAAAAGTCAGCCAATGTTCCAAGAGAAAGAATCACAGTTAAATGGACTATTTTATTATATATGTCTACTGAGAATAATACAAGTCCAATTAATCCAAACTCAAAACATGCAAAAATGGAAAAACCAGAAAAATTGTTCTCATTTTGCAAACTAACTAAATATATTATTGTTGCCTTATAAACACATCATAATTAATTAGGTCGGGAGAGAAGAGGATCTTGAAAATAAAACTGTCAAGCTAACAACAGTCACTAAAAATGCACATTTACGCATGCTATTTGCACATTTCTGTCCTAGCAGATACTTGACTTTAGTGGCAAAGGATGATTTTAATCAGTGTAGAAAAAAATATTAACATCCCATTCTACAAAACAACTTCTGACGTTAAACAGAGAATTGAAATTGCTAGCTGAACCAGGAAACAACTTCCCTACAACGTGTGTATATACATGCATATGTGTGTGTGTGTGTGTGTGTGTGTGTGTGTATGTATACATATGCAGAAAAGCTATTTACAAAAAATAAGTCTTGGACTGAAGTAAAACAGGCAGTAAAGCAAACAATTCTTATTTAACTCTATTTTAAACAACTGGGAAACTGATTTGGTCTAATACTCATAAGCTGTTAGAAAACAAGACCACCAAAATAGCTGTTCACCAACTAAGAGAATGTGAAATGTTCACAATTTATTTTACTTAAAAAATGAGTATCATTCTATTTTCACTCTATCATGAAAATACAACACTGATTTATAAAACACATGACAGGCTGTGGCAAACAAAATAAACTGCTAGACTATAAATTCCTTTAAGCAGAAACTACACCTTCACATCTCAGTATCCATCAAAGAGCCTAATTTGGGGTTACTTAAACATCTGTTCAATGACTGAATCTGAAATCTATTAATGAAATTATGAATTAACTGTGGTGGCACACGCCTGTAGTCCCAGCTACTCAGGAGGCTGAAGTGGGAGGATAGCTTGAGCCCAGGAGGTGGAGAACAGCGTGGGTGATATAGCAAGACTCTGTGAAAGAAAAAGGAAGAAAAGGGAAATAGAAAAAGAAAAAGAAAAAAGAAGAGGAAGAGAAGAGAGAAAAAGGAAAAGAAATTATATGCAACCTTTTCACAAGCATAGGATGGAATTTAAAGGGTAGTTCCAAAGGTATCAATAGATTTGGCCTAGATTGTTAACTGTGTAAAACTGTAAGATTAGCATTAAATTTCAACTGCTACAATATTTAACTTAGTGCCTGCTTGCTTAATGTTTTATAATATAGCCAACTTGTCTAGAACAGAATGATCCTACTGATAAATGAATTTTAAAATATCACTGAAAATACAGTGAGTGAATTTACTCTCTGGATTACACATCTGACATATCTGAAATGTATAGTCAGCAATAAGAGATTTCCACTACTAACTTAGAGTCATATAAACTGCATTTGGGATATGTCCAAATAGTTGTATTCAGTTCTTTGTGCCTCTTTTTATAGTTTTGTCTTTTCTAAAGACAAAAACAAAACAAAAAAAAAAGAAAACAGTTAAAAAACGAAAGACAGCTAACCACAGTCCTATCATGAACAAAATTATCTTTTACCTCCAGAATAAGTGGGTACAGCACTGCACTGCAAAAAACCGTGAAGGAGTAACATGTTATAGGCGTATACACCTAGGTGTTCAAGGTAAGGCACTTCAAGTTTTAATTAACCCAATAGTATCTTTTATTAGCTTTTTTAGTTTAATATACTGCTATTCTTATGAAATATGGCCTAATTTAAATACATTCGGACACTAAAACATATGATTACACATTTAATTTTAAATTTGGTTAACTTTAACACTTTGAACCACTCTACCAGTGTAAACTAAATAGGTTAGAGGTAAGAAACACTGGGAAAATTTGAGTGATTTATAAAGAATTTTTTTTTCAGATTTATCTAACCTAAATTTATATAGCCTAAGTAAATAAGTCATTAGTGCTTTTAAAAAAGCCATTAACTTGTCTACTGATTGGAGTTTATTTCATAAAACATTTAATTTTCCATGCGTATATCAAGTATTTCTGAAAATTTTATTAAAAGAATTATTTTTAAACCACTTATAAACGCACGTTATTTCCTGTTTCAACTCTACCTTAATAACCATACACAATTTCCTTTTTTTATTGGTGCATGTGTATATGCATGTTTGTACCTTCTACCTCTAAAAGGCTTATTTTCAAGCAGAAATGACAGCATGGCATGGTTCTCTGTTGAACTGCTTTGTTGATCAGAACCTCATGATAATGAACAAAGCTAAGCTTATAGGTTCAATACTCATCTGGATCATTTAACTTTGAAACAAAGTGCCCTCTTAACCAGTCATCTCACAACTGTGTGCAGGAGACTGAGAGAATGTGAATTATGCAGTGCAAATCTATACCACTATTACAAAAGTTTCAAAATGTAAATGAGCTAATATTAACATTATCTTTGTATATGAAAAACTAAAAAGCACATAAAAACTACTGCTTGTAATCCCCATACTTCATGCACACAATAAAAGAAAAAATGGACACTTCATCTGTCTCAGTAACATACTAAAGCTTAAATATTTTTGTTTAATGCTAATCTTTTTCATAAGATATGAATCTGGCATTAAGTAATGCAGCAATTATATGACATCAGAATAAGCAAAAAATTCTTGGAAATAGGCCGTAACTCTTCTTACAAATGATTAGATGTAATCAATTAATTGTTATAACCAATTAATTTGAAAAGGGACATTATAAACGAGTAAACTTACATTCACAATTTCAAATGTATTCCAATATTAAAATATAAATGCTTTACATTAGTTATTTTCATTGACCAACTAAAATAAGAGAATTTTAGAATCACGAGATTAGAAGTGATCTGAGGTTCAATGAACATTTACGGTGTCCCTATCACATGTCAGAAACAGAGCAAGGTGCTTTCAAGTAACTCAAGTGATTCAACCCACTCCCTTGTGTAGATGTCAAAGCTCCCCACCTATGCCAAATCAAGCCATCTAGGTTCCAGAACCAGAAATTCTGGGCAAAGCCCTCACAGTGGTATAGTTTTCTATCAAAACTGGCTGGTGTCGTCATCCCCTATAAACCAAATAAAATTTCAATGTTGACCTATTTAACAAAAACAATAGTCTCAGCCGCAGGAGTCCAGCATTCTGGGAGGCTGAGGCGGGCGGATCATGAGGTCAGGAGTTCAAGACCAGCCTGACCAACATGGTGAAACTCTCTCTCTACTAAAAAAAAATACAAAAATTAGCCGGGTGTGGTGGCACGTGCCTGTAATCCCAGTTACTCAGGAGGCTAAGGCAGGAGAATCCCTTGAACCTCGGAGGCAGAGGTTGCAGTGAGCCAAGATCACATCACTGTACTCCAGCCTGGGTGACAGAGCAAGACTCTGTCTCAAAGAACAAAACATGGGGCGGTCACAGCTATAATATTCTAAAAGCATCATACAAAACAGAAATTAAACAAATTACAGATACCATTAAAAATTCCTTTGTTGCCAGCCACAGTAGCTCACACCTGTAATCCCAACACTTTTGGAGGCCAAGGTGGCTGGATCACTTGAGGTCAGGAGTTTGAGATCAGCCTGGCCAACATGGGGAAACCTCGTCTCTACTAACGATTAAAAAAAAAAAAAATTATCTGGGCGTGGTGGTGGGTACCTGTTATCCCAGCTACTGGGGAGGCTGAGACAGGAGAATCGCTTGAACCCAGGAGGCAGAGGTTGCAGTGAGCCAAGATTGCACCACTGCACACCAGGCTGGATGACAGAGCAAGACTCCGTCTCAAAAAAAATTTAATTTTTAAACATATCCCTTTGTAAGGAAAAAAAACAATTACCAACATGAAAATCTGGATGTCTAATCCCTATTTTATATAAAATATCATCAACCATACACTAAAGTTCATGGGTAAAACTAAACACTGGCAAGATCTGGAGTAACTTAACTATTACAATACAAACAATGACAGACTGTGAAACTCCCTGAGGGCAGAGACCCTGTCTAATTCATCTCTGTATCCAACAATTAGCATCCTGTAGTTAAATGTTGAAGAGAGGTAAGCTAACATCCAAAATTTAAATGTGAGCTATTGAAAAATTCAACTTAACAATCTGAAAGTTATCTTTTTATGACTGACATTATTTTTTAAATGTTAAACAATAATGTCCAATGCAAGTATACAAGCGACATTACCATGGAATGTTTGTCAACAACTGTGGCTGTCAAAATCAGTATAACCTAGTCTTAAGAGTATAAGGTAGGGTGAGAGGATAGAAACAGTGGCAGGGAAGGGTAGTAAGGGAAGACCTGAGACTGGTGCAGAGACCTGAAGAAGTGAGGGATATATACTGCCTTGGGGAAAAAGGTTACAGGCAGAGAGGACATTAAGTGCAGACACCTCAGTGTATTTGACCTTTTTGGGATGTAGGAGGCCAGTGTGGCTGGAGTACAGTAAGCAAGAGGAAAAGTAAAGGGGCTTGAGATTAGGGAAATAGCTGGGCAGCTGTAAGGCTTGTAGGCCATGGTAAGAACTTTGGATTCTACTGTGAATGAGATGGGAAAACACTGGAGGGTTTTGAATAGAAGAGAGACTTGTTCTGAAGTTTGTGAGCATCATTGTAGCTGCTGTGTGGAAATCAACTTGGGGTGGAGGGGCAAGAGTGGAAGCTGGAAGATCAATTAGGAGATTAATAATCTTCACTTCTAACCTTTTTCAGTGATTGCAAAATTGTGTATCTTTCTGCTGTTGGGCAAGTAGTTTCCTTTTCTTCCCATCTATTAAAATAATTAAATGAACATGTGCATATACAACATTTTCTTTCTTTTGGAATATTTCCTTGGGATTCATTTTCAGAAGGACTACAGGAACAACGTATATGAATATACCTGTCTTCTGGGGTATATTAAGTGTAGATACTGTCCTTCTTGAAGCCATACAAAAAGTGAACAAAGGCTTTTGAGCTGTTTTAATATGGAACTGTGTAACACTGAGGGATTCCATCCAGTTCACTTCTAAGACATAAGTTCATGGTTGGCCTCAGAGGGTCCCTAAAACTAATGCAAAATTTTGTGAATAAATGCCTATTAACTTTATTCTGGGGAGAGAGTTTATATATTTCATCATATTCTCAAAGGTGTCAGTGGCCTAGAAAAGGTTAAGAATTACTATCTTACAAACTGGAAATGGACTGCAGTATCCTAATATAGGGTACCTCTCAAAAGGACAGAAGATTTAATAACTAGACTCATCTTTGTAATCATTCAATTCATTCAACAAATACTTAACACGTATGATCCTCAATACCTAACAGCTAATCGTATCTGAAGTAGGCCATAATTTAAAACACCAAGAAAACTAGACAGGATTCACTGAAATATCACGCTACAAAAGAATATCGAACTATATGATTTCAAAACAACAATGTTATAGGAAAGCATAATAAAGACAGAAAGTCTGGGGCCTAATTTAATGCTTATTATGTCAAAGTATCACAGAAATAAATTACATCACAAGGAAAGAAAAACTACACATAGGCATGTCCACCCCCACACATTCTGACAGGAAACCCAAAGAAAGTTTCCAAATCCTGTTTCCAGCAGCATCTCTTCTGAGACGGCCCTTCATGCTTTTGAAGGTAGGAGCCCCAAGTTAAATCTAAGAGCTGATACTTTATTCTTACTGTAATCAAAACAAAAACATCATCCGCCACCTAAGAAGAGTGGCTGGCTACCTGTAGGGCTGTGGCTCATTGACCTTCTGCTCTATTATTCTATTTCATTTCTTATACCTCCTCCCTTCAAAGAAGTAACAAAATGATTTTCCCTCCCAAAACAGAATGCATTACTCCTCAATGGCAGTTCTTTTTCCAAGAGGTCAAAGGTTCCCTAAACTCTGGTTCTCAGCCCTAAGAGGAGATCCCATTTTGTAGGCACAAATGTCTTCCTCTCATCTTCTCCCCGTAGCAGTAAATTACACAACTCGGCTGAAGACACCGTCCTTAACTTCCTGATTAAGGGGGCAAGAGATACTCTTACCAAGCCGCTAGTTTGAAGGATAACAAGAATCACACCGTGACCTCTTCCCTAACAAAATTCAGGGAAGAAGCAGAGACCCATGAAAAGTAACACTGAAAAGGCGAACACATGGTAAGCTACGGAAGACATGAGGGTAAAGAAGGCGGGAAAGGGGCTGGAAGGTGGAGTGGGATGTAGATGTCAGCCCTATTAACTGGGGGAATAAAGGAAGGAAAGGGAGACCCTGAACCCTGACAGAAGTGAGCCCGGAGACAGCAATGCTCCAGTCTACCCGCACTCCTACAGCAGAGGACAGAGAATTCACCCAACCCTCCAACCCCGTTCCCCGTGTGTCCCTCCCCCCCGCCCCCGCGGGCCCAAAAGGGAGAGCTGGGTTTGAAGGAAGCTCTGACCCTAGACAGGGGACATGCAAGAGGAGGAAGGCAGCGATGTCCAACCTTCTACTTCTCTCAGGCAGTGAGGTACGAGGGCACCGTGTCTGGGGAGACGGCGAGGGAAATGGGCTTGTGCTATGACACCTCGGGGAGCTGAAGGGTGGGGGACACAATGTCCTCTTTCTCTCCCACAGCCGGCCGGGGCCCCTCCCGACGGTCTCCCGCAGGCCTACAGTCGACCGGGTCGGTCCGCGGGCGTGGTTGGCTCTGGCCCTGGCGGCGGCCGGGCCTCCCAGATCTCCGGCCCCTCCCGCCGGCCAGGCCCCCGGGCCGCCGCCCCGACACCGATGGAACGCGGAGGAGGAAGGGGGAGCCAGGCGACTGACCGGCGACATGAGCCGCCTCACCCTCGGCTCGGCCGACCCGCGCCCCCCGCTCCCTCTGGGGCCGTCTGGAGCTCCCCGCCCCTTACTCACCCCCCCGGTCCGGCGCCTCCTCCACCTCCTCCACCTCCTCCACCTCCTCCTCCTCCTCCTCCCTCCTCTCGGCCGTGGCTCCTGCTCCGGCTCTGCGCGGCGACAGCAGCGGGAGCGGCGGCGGCAGGGGCCTCGGGAGCGGCGGCGGCGCCTCCTCCAGAACGCGCACGCACGCACCACGCAGGCCCCGCCCCCTGGTTCTGCCCCGCCCCTCCAAGTTGGCGATGGCTGGGCTTCGGCCCCGCCTTCCCCACGGCGTTCCGGAGTCCGCTTAAAGGAGCCGCGCACACTGGAGCCGGGAAAGCCTGGAGCTACCGGGAAGGGGCGGGGAGTTTTAGCTTTGCGTAGGGCGGGATGGGAGGTGGGTAAGACCGGAAAAAAGATGAGGAAGGGTCCAAAGATTCAAGAAGAGAATTTGGAGGGAACTCAATCATTCGACAAGCCCTAATTGAGCACCTGTTAGGTTCCAGGCGCTGTTCTAACTAAGCGCAGAGGTTTAAAGTCATAGACAGGCAAAGACCCTCTTGCAGCTTGCATGCTGGTGGAGTGAGAGAGGGGAGACAGACAACAAACAAGTGACAAAAATTGCAGGTAGTGATAAGTGGTGTGGAGAAAAATAAAGCAGAGGATAGGGTGACTTTACACCTGGTGAGATACTGCCTCTCAAAGAAGACCTTTGAGCGCATACACACGGGATGAAGGAATAAGTCTTGCAAACACGCGGGCCTGGAGGAGGAATAGCCTTTCCAAGCTGAGAGAAAATCAGCCATAAACCCAGAGGTGGGGATACGCCTGCCATGTTGCAGAAACAGTGAAAGGCCGGCATGGCTGAGCAGCGTCAGCCAGCCCGAGAGCAGTACCAGCTAGGCTTGGCCAGATCCAGTGAAGCCTGTGGGCCATTATAACAGGAACGGGAAACCATGAGAGAAGGGTGAGCCGAGGAATGACCGCATCTGATTCATGTTGTTAAAAGTTAGTCTTGCTGATGTGTGTAAAATACACAATGGAGAAGCACAGATGTCCTTGGGATACCAGTAAGGTAGCTTGGACTAACTAGCCTGGCAGCCACGGACAGGATGAGAAGAAGGCTATTTTATTTTATTTTATTTTATTTAGATACATTTTGATTGGAATGGATTTGGATTTGGGGCATAGTGTGTGAAAGAACAAAAAGAAATCAAGAGTTGATTCTTAGGTTCGGGCCTGATGACTGAGTTAATGGCGGTGCCACTTAATGAAATGGAGGAGCAGATTTGGGGATGGGGAAATCAAGAGTCTTTTCTTACACATGTTATGTTTAAGGTGTCTGTTATACATCCAAATGGAGATATTGAATAAACAATCGATATATGAGTCTAGAGAGATACATTTGGGATTCATTAGCAAATAGATACTTTTTAAGTCTTAAGTCTAGTTAGGATCACATGGGGAGGGGAGATAGCTGAAGGAAAGGACCAAGAGGCACTCCAACACTTGAAGGTTAAGTAGAAAAGGAGGCGCTACCAGTCAGGGCAGGAGAAACACCAAGAGAAGGTGAAGCGTTGGAAAACAAGATAATTGTTTCAGGAAGGAGAGAGTGAAGAGTCTTATCAGATACTGCTGAAATTAGTAAGATAAGGACTGAGAATTTGAACACTGGATGTGGCCTGATGAAGTTGCTGATGACCTTGATGAAAACAGTTTCAGTGGAGTCATAGGGGAGAAAGTCTGATTAGGGTATGTTAATAGGATGGGAGGTGAGGAAGAGAAAGTGTTCTAAACAGCTCTTGAGAGGCTTTGCTTTGAAGGAGAAAAGGGCAGTAGCCAGAGAGGTACTTGAGATCAAGGGAGGATATTTTAAGATGAGAAATGCTTTTTCTCATTTTAGTATGCTGGAATGATTTTTTTTTTTTTGAGGCGGAGTCTTGCTCTGTTGCTAGGCTGGAGTGCAGTGGTGTGATCTCCGCTCACTGCAACCTCCAACTCCCTGGTTCGAGCGATTCTCCTGTCTCAGCCTCCAAAGCAGCTGGGATTACAGTCATGTGCCACCACACCTGGCTAATTTTGTGTTTTTATTAGAGACGGGGTTTCTCCACGTTGGCCAGGCTGGTCTCGAATTCCCAACCTCAGGTGATCCACCCGCCTCGGCCTCCCAAAGTGTTGGGATTACAGGTGTGAGCCACTGCGCCCAGCTGGAATGATTCTTTAGAGAGGTAAAATTGGGCCAGGCGTGGTGGCTCACACCTGTAATCCCAGCACTTTGGGAGGCCAAGGCGGGTGGATCACGAGGTCAGGAGATCGAGACCATCCTGGCTAACACGGTGAAACCCCATCTCTACTAAAAATACAAAAAAAATTAGCCAGGCGTGGTGGCAGGCGCCTGTAGTCCCAGCTACTCAGGAGGCTGAGGCAGGAGAATGGCATGAACCTGGAAGGCGGAACTTGCAGTGAGCCGAGATCGCGCCACTGCACTCCAGCCTGGGCAACAGAGCGAGACTCTGTAAGAGAGGTAAAATTGATGACACAGAAGGCAAGAGGAGACAACTGGAGAAAGAGTGTCCTCAAATAGGTGAGAAGCAATTGGATCTAGCACAGAAGTGAAAGGGTTGGCCTAGGATAGGAGTAAGGGAATGCATTCACACACTGTTTCTGGAGAGAAGGTAGAGTGTCTGGGTGCAGAAGCAGATAGATTAGACAGTACATTTGGTTGTGGCACGCTCAGGCCCCTGTAGAGCAGAGGCGGCAGGTAGGAGCTGAAATGTAGCCCTTGTTTTGCCCACAAAGCCACGTGCCCTGGTGGGGTCACATCAGCCTGGAGGAAGGGGTACTTTTCTGATTGCTCCACCAGGAGAGGTGGTGCATGTTAGCATCCTGCATATAACACACACACATGCGCAAACACACACACATGCGCATACACACACATGCATACCCACACACACACGTATGGACCTTTTCCCAGTTTCCACTGAGTGCCATATGTACTGGCTGCCTCACTGGGATTGATGAGGTAAGATCTGTTCTCTATGCAATGAAAAGCTGTTGGCTATTAAAGGAGATAGAAGAAGGTGAGAAATAATCTCCTTGAAGAGTGGAAAAGTGACTAGAGAAGCTTAGCATGGACAGTGCTGAGGGCCCTCTTGAGTTGATGATCATACATTAAAGTGAGACCACTCAGCAAGGCCGTGTGATTCTCCTCCAGCCACACTCCATTGCTTGGGGGTTGGAGGAGAATTGTATTTGACCAGGTCTGAGTTTTGCTGGGGAAAGCCTATGAGAGGGGTAGGAGTATTATGTAAGGGAGTGATTATAGTGATAGACCTTGGAATTTAAGCTGGGAGGGAAGACAGGGCAAGTAAAAAGTGGTAGAGTCAATGGTTTGCTGTGGTCCCTGTGAGAAGTAGTTTGAGAGGAAGTAATCAAACAAGTGAGGCCAAGGGGACTTTCCAAAAGTTGAGCATGGGGAAGGGTGAGTAAGGCGGTTAGGGGACAGGAAGCACAAAGCATCTGTGAGAAAAAGGTTCAAGCTGGCTCCAAGGAGCTAAGGAAACAGCAAAGCCCTTGGGCTTCTGTCCTCATCACGGTATATGTGAACCATTGGTTTGGAGAGGTTGAGGAACTGGATTGCCCACTCATAATCTTCAGGGAGCTGCACAAACAGGAGAAACTGAGTGCAGGAGGAGATAAACCAATTAAATCCTCCCAGGGCTCCTTTACAAGCTTTGGGAGAACCCAATGGGCACTTTGCTTTCCCTGCCCTTTCCTTTCACCAGGGATATCTGATGATTTGGGTAGACACTTTATCTGGCCTAGTATTTGACAGAAACTAAACACCTTTCTTCCTAAATCCAGCTCCTCCTCTTCCTGACTTCCTCTTTTCTGTTCATGGCACTACCTTTCTCAGTCACTCAGCTGCCAAACCGAAGCCTCCTTTAATCCATCTTCCTCATTCTATGCCTAATTAGTCCCTAAAGCATAGTGAGCTGCACTGTTCAATAAACATTGCACTGTGATGGAAATGTTCTTTATCTGCATAGTCCAAAACAGGAGTTACATATGGCTATTGAGCACTTTAAATGCAGCTAATGCAACTGAGGAAGTAAATTTTTTTTTTTTTTTTTTTTTTGAGACAGAGTCTCACTCTGTCACCAGGCTGGAGTGCAGTGGCACGGTCTTGGCTCACTGCAACCTCCACCTCCCAGGTTCAAGCGATTCTCCTGCTTCAGCCTCCCGAGTAGCTGGGACTACAGGCACAGGCCACCACGGCCAGCTAATTTTTTTATTTTTAGTAGAGGCGGGGTTTCACCATGTTGGCCAGGATGGTCTCAATCTCCTGACCTCATGATCTGCCTGCCTCAGCCTCCCAAAGTGCTGGGATTACAGGCGTGAGCCACCACGCCTGGCCTGAATTTTAAATCCTATTTAATTTTAATTAAAGTTGCATTTAAAGAGCCTTAATTAGGAGCTGCTATATTGGACTGCACAGGTATAAATACTATACTTTCTACACAATGGCCCTTCCAGCTGCCCCCACCTCTCTAGCTCTATTGCCACGACCCTAGGTCAGGTATTGGTTAACCTAGGTCGAGACTTTTGCTGTGATCTCCTGTTTGGTCTCCTGCTTGGTTGCCTTCCCTTCAGTCCGTCTTGTGTTCTTGCCAAAACCATCTTCCTGAAGCATTGTCCAGATCATGACTCCACCCTATTTTAAAAACTATCAGTAGTTCCCCATCAAATTTAGTACAAACTGCTCAATCTGGCACTTGCCCAATTGTGTATCTCCATCCCACTTTTCTAGCCTTACCTTTCACTATACCCTTACATGTATATCAAACTACTTGCTGTAACTCCTACTAACTTTTTACAAAGGAGTCAACGTATTAAGTTACCTCTCTGCCTGCAACAAATGCCTTCCATTCCCTCTATCAAACCTAAAATCTGTTGAAATCCTTGAAGGCCTGTCTCATATTGCAACTCCTAAGTGGAGCCCTCCTCTGAAGTCCCATAGTTCCTATTCATTCCACACCTATGGCACTTATATGCTGCTTTATAGTGCATTTTGTGTATTCATTTTATTCTCATTACTAAATATTATTCCTTGCAAGTCACTGTGTTTTAATTATGCTAATGTCCCTTGCAGTATAAGGGGCACCTTATAAAATAAGGTACTCTTCAAATAGCCACTGAATGTAGTTATGCACTTTCATGAAATCTGTAGAGCATCCATACCCCTGTCTAACTCTAACAGTAACATCACTAGCCCTCAAAAAGAAAGTCTTTATACCCTGGAAGCAACTTTTCTAACATGAAGTTCAGACGTTTGAAGAGAAACAGACTAGGTACATTTCTTTTCATGTTATTATTGGCTGAGAATTTCTTCCTCCCCAAACTTAGGGCACTTTTACAATTCAGTTCTAGGTTGTAATGCTAAAGAACACCATTATTCTTAGAACTGACAGGAAAAGCATAGACACTTCTAGGACCAATTGAAGACTTTAAGAAGATTGTGATACATATCAATAAAAAGAAGCTTCCATCTAATAAATGTTTAGAAAATATATTTTTAAGCTTGCCACTTAGCAAGCCCTTATGCTTCCTGCTAAGGATACAAAGGCAGGAAAAATACCATCCCTTCACTCAGGAAGGGCCCATGATAAAAATGTGACCTGGCATTGGTATGTGATTTTACAGTTTTCACAATATCTAATGCTACCAATGATGACATTAAAGTACGTATTATTAGTCTCATTTTGTAAAGAGAAAGACTTGCTTAGAAGGATTAAATGAATTTATACAAAAGCGGAGAGCTATTAATTAGCAAGGCCTCAAACTGGTACCCAGATGTTTGGGTATTAAGACATTGGTTGAATTAGAATTTTAAGTTCCCTGAAAGCAGGTACTTGATTTGCTTTATTCATTACTATATTCTCAGAGCCTAGAAAAGTAACAAGAATATAGTAGGTTCTTAGTAAATGTTTCGGGAATAAATATTCAGGAGCATGTGTCTGTGTGTTTCGTAGAGAGAGAGAATATAAGCGAGCCATATACTTCACTGGTTATTTGTATACTTGAATTAACTAAACCGATGTTATCTATATTAGTGCCACTCAAAATGTGGTCCATAGATTGTTGATGCTGGTCCACAAAATGACCAGTTGACCTTGAGATAAGTAAAGAAAGTGAGAGTAAGCATTTAGAATCCTTTCTGGCAACTTAACATTGCTGTGATATCCAAGCAAGTGATTAGTGGCCTCGTCTAGGTGAATCAGGGCATGGACCAGTCCAGGTGTTGTCCAAGTCTTATGGTTGGTTACATGAGGTATAAGCTATGTACTAGTCACATAGCGTTTCATTTAATCCTATCATGTTGGCCACTTACTGCCCAACTTCTCCTCTTCCTAGATGTTCTTTACTATTTAACAAAGAGAACACTTCATGCCTTTGAAATGAAAGAGCTGGCCGGGCGTGGTGGCTAACGCCTGTAATCCCAGCACTTTGGGAGGCCAAGGTGGGAGGATCACGAGGTCAGGAGATCGAGACCATCCTAGCTAACACGGTGAAACCCCGTCTCTACTAAAAATACAAAACATTAGCCGGGCATGGTGGCGGGCGCCTGTAGTCCCAGCTACTCGGGAGGCTGAGGCAGGAGAATGGCGTGAACCTGGGAGGCGGAGCTTGCAGTGGGCCGAGATAGTGCCACTGCACTCCAGCCTGGGTGACAGAGCAAGACTCCGTCTCAAAAAAAAAGAAAAAGAAAAAGAAAAAGAGCTTGCAACAGATTTAAAACTTAAAAAAAAAAAAAACCCTACGTTTTCACCAAAAAAGCGCTATCTACCACTGATCTTATGATGTAGAGGTATTGTTATGCAGTAATTAAGTATATGATCCCTGGAATGAGGCTACATAGCTTTAAATGCAGCTTTTGCCACTAGCTGTTCAGCCTTGGACAAATTACTTAACCTCTTGTAGCCTCAGTGTTCTTGTCTGTCATCTGATACTAAAAAGAGTACAAAATTTTGTAGTACTTTGGTAAAAACTAAGAGAGAGAATGCATGGACAATACTCTTCATAGAGACTGGCACATACTGACAAAATGTTATTTTTATGTTATAATAAATATATCTATTACTATTATTCTATTCTTGGGTTATAGAAATTCAGGCTGTTTGAAATATTTAAAAGATCTTGACTATAGAGGTAATTCTATAAACATCCAGGTTTGTAAATAGACAATTACTTTTCGGTTATTCACATTGTTAAAAGATGATAAAGATCAGCCAACTCCAAAGGCTTTTATATTTGTTTTTTAATGCATTGTGTGATTTGAGCGGCAATACAGTTGGTTTCTTGATGGCCATTGAAAACAGTTTCTATATTTTCAGCTTAGGTGATCCGAGTGGTGAAAGAAGGTATACAGGCAGGTGCATATTGTGCATTGTGAGAGAGCTAAATCAGAGTGGAAGATACCCATGGAGAAACAAGAGTTGTTCATTTGGTGGTGTATATATTGCCTATTTATATGTTTTATTCAACAGACTTTATATATAAAGTTCTTCTAAGTTCTAGCCCACTGATTCTTTTCTCTTTCCTTCTGTGAACACTGTTGTCTGGAAGGAAGCTGCTACTTAGCCATGCACCTCTGCAAATCTTGGAAAGAGTCAAGGATTCCTGAGGCAAGGAAGTTGGATAATGATGAGCACCAGGCAAGACACAGCTGGCCACTGGAGAGAGAGCCCAGTGTAGGCAGAAGGCCAGAATGTGCCAACAGTAAGTGAAGTCTTTTTTTATCAGAAGAGAAAAGCTTGCACTTAGCTTCACTATCAGGGAGAAGACTGGCATCAGACCAACCCGCCCTTCAATAAATGGAGGGAAAGAGAAATCCAGAAGCCTAGTTTTGTAGATGTGAATTAACATCATTTATTCTGTAAAAAAAAAAAAAAAACTCAAGCACGTGTAAACTGCAAATTAAACAACCCAAATATATGGATATCTGAATTTACAGAAGGCAGAATAGTGTGGTTAGGGTTGCTAGATTTAGCAAATAAAAATAGAGGATCCCCAGTTGAATTTGAATTTAGATAAACAAAAAATGTGCTTTTAGTAAAAATATGTTCCATGAAATATTTAGGATTTGTTTACCCAAAAATCCAGTGTAACTATATTTTATCTGGCAACCCTAAGTGTGGTTAAACATGTAGGCTCTGGAGTCACACAGCGTGAGTTCAAATTCTGATCCTGCTTCTTACCAGCTGTGTGTGTAACCTTGGGCAAATTATTTAACCGTTCTGAGCTTCAGTTCCCTTGTGCGTAAAATTAGGATAACATTTACTTCACAGGGTTGTTGTGAAGGTTAAATAATACATTTAAAAATTTACAATGTTAACTGATACAGCATAAGTGCTCAAAAACTATTAGCTATTTTTATAGGAAAGATAAACCGTTATTCATTAAGCAAATTACTTTTTTTAAATTGACATTATGATTCAAGTAACTTTAAAAAAATCTGAAGTGGAGCTTTTTATTCCCTTCTATTTCCATGGTACTGTCACTTTACAACAAACTGAGCTAACACAACTTTTAGACTCACTATTTATGGTATAAAGGAATACACACCAAACATTGTACAATATCATCAGGTTTCCTGTTCCTTCCCTTAGTGCCTGATACTTGAACCCAATTTTGAAGCCATCCTAAGCACAAAATTTCCAGTGAGAAATTTGGGCAAACTTTTACAAAATATTCCTTGAATGTTTACTAGATAAAAGTTAGGAGCCAATGACAGCTCTAGAATGGGATTTTCTTAGAAAGAGGTTTTGTTACAGTGGATTTGTTGTAATAGGATTTGTCGTAATAGGACTTCTGCACTCTGTGTAGATCATTTAAGAATAACCAACTGTACAGACAGTTCCAGTTCTTGTAATAGAGCTCTATTATCACAAAGTTAAAAATCAAACAAGAAGAAAGGGCAATGGGCTTGGAATAAAAAAAAAATATGTTTCTTCCATTCAGTACAAGTCACTTTCTGAATATTTGCTTTCGCATTTATAAAATGGGAATACTACCTTAAAGAGCAACAATTAAATTAAATGAGATAATATGAGGGACAATAGAGTACTGGTTTTCAAAGTAAGCACTCAATAAATGCTTGTTAATATGGATCTGTTATATTCAGTAGAAGAACGACTATATACCAGTGCAGCCTTACAGGAAGATTAAAGCCTGGGGCTTATGCTACTTTATATGGCTGAGCTAAAACTCCTTACTCTGTCCACGTCTGCTTTTGGATAAGAACCAATAACTTCCAAACAATGATACAACCTAAGGGGAATTCAAGGAAGAACTCCATCTTCCCCATCTTCAGTGACTGGTGTTGGGTGTGTGTGTGTGTGTGTGTGTGTGTGTGTGTGTGTGTGTGTGTGTGTTGGGTGGAGGGAAGTAGTGGAATAGGAGAAAGGCCAGAAAAGGAGCTGGAGATGTCCTTTTTCTTTCAGTAACTAGTTAAGCCAGATAGCAAACTTTGTGTATAAAACTACTAGCTGAGTCCGAAAAGTAGAAAACACATTTGCAGTAAATTTACAATATTAATTTTGAGCTGAGGGAGCAAATTCCAAATTCAAACCAGATTCAGAAATTATGACCTCAGTTTTTCCAGAGTTTCTACTGATTAGGATTGTTATAGATTGGCCAGGGGTAGACTGTATTAGGGGAAAAATAAGAGAGAAAAATAGAATTCACAAGAATATGTAAACTCAGAGAATGAAGTTTCCTGTGTTAGCATTTGCTGCTAATAAATGAGACTCAAGCAAAGGAATATAGTATTTTTCTAAGGAAGAGTGAGGGGGTGAGTCTTAGGGTTTTGCAAGGAGGATTACCAAGGGAGTCAATCATTTTTGGCTGTAAGGTCATAAGGGGCGTATAGTTTTTCAGAGCAGTACGTGAATGATGTTAAACTAAATTAGTAGAGCTGGTGGTTACAGAATAAACTAGAAGGCAATTTTGAAAGTCAATCAGGCCAGATGTGGTGGCTCATGCCTGTGATCCCAGCACTTTAGGAGGATCACATGAGGTCAGGATTTTGAGACCAGCCTGGCCAACATGGTGAAACCCAGCCTGGCCAACAAGGTGAAACCCATCTCTACTAAAAATACAAAAATTAGCCGGGTATGGTGGTGCGTGCCTGTAATCCCAGCTACTCAGGAGGCTGAGGCAGGAGAATCACTTGAACTCAGGAGGCGGAGGTTGCAGTGAGCCGAGAGCATGCCACTGCACTCCAGCCTTGGCAACAGAGCAAGACTCCATCTCAAAAAACAAAAAAAAGTCAATCAATATTTACATATTGAATATCAACTCTGTGCTCAATAGCCTCCCATTGTTCAGGGGCCACAATGACACAGAGCGGAGCACCAGCACCCAGTGTGTCTAGTTTAGGGAGAAATAACCTATGAGCCTAGATGAAGACAGAAGAAAAAGATGGAAGACTCTGTAACCAAAGGGTTAAGAAATCTTGAATGACTAACATTTAAGTAAAAAAAAGTAAGGGTCAAGTTCTAAAACAGAGAATAGAAATAGCATTTGCTACCAAAGAAGTGGGCTTTTGATTAAAAAAAATAATAATAATGAAGTGTCAGGTGTGCCAGGGACCTGATTGAAGGTCTCACTTGGGCTTTGAACCTGGCAAAGGGTAGAGGTGAAGCATTCTCAAATCCTTCCCTTGCCTCCTGCACCCAGGGTTCAAGGTGTAAAGGAAGAAAAGCCAGGGCATGTGCATCGTTGACAGACATCTGAAATGGATCATCTTGCTGGGAGTTGGAGGGTTCTTTCTCACCGCCCCTCTGTTCATCCTCTGAGCTGTAATTGCCTAAATAGACAGATTAGCACAAACTCAGCCTGTGCAAGTATCTTTTAATGCTCATTTGCTGACTTTAATGAGTTCCAGAACCAATTTGTGATCTTAAAATCGCTCAGGTTTATCACCAAAAGAAAGCACTGTAAGTCTAGTGCAAGAGGTCAGCTCAGCAGAACTCAGCAGTGAGACATTGATATGAAAATGAATTCACTCCCTCTCCCTCTCCCTCTCCCGATGCCGAGCCGAAGCTGGACTGTACTGCTGCCATCTCGGCTCACTGCAGCCTCCCTGCCTGGTTCTCCTGCCTCAGCCTGCGGAGTGCCTGCAATTGCAGGCGCGCGACGCCACGCCTCACTGCTTTTCGTATTTTTTTGGTGGAGACGGGGTTTCGCTGTGTTGGCCGGGCTGGTCTCCAGCTCCTAGCCGCGAGTGATCCGCCAGCCTCGGCCTCCCGGGGTGCGGGGATTGCAGACGGAGTCTGGTTCACTCAGTGCTCAATGGTGCCCAGGCTGGAGTGCAGTGGCGTGATCTCGGCTGGCTACAACCTCCACCTCCCAGCCGCCTGCCTTGGCCTCCCTAAGTGCCGAGATTGCAGCCTCTGCCCGGCCGCCACCCCGTCTGGGAAGTGAGGAGCGTCTCTGCCTGGCCGCCCATCGCCTGGGACGTGAGGAGCCCCTCTGCCTGGCTGCCCAGTCTGGAAAGTGAGGAGCGTCTCTGCCCGGCCGCCATCCCATCTAGGAAGTGACGAGCGCCTCTTCCCGGTCGCCATCCCATCTAGGAAGTGAGGAGCGTCTCTGCCCGGCCGCCCATCGTCTGAGATGTGGGGAGAGCCTCTGCCCCGCCGCCCCGCCTGGGATGTGAGGAGCGCCTCTACCCGGCCGCGACCCCGTCTGGGAGGTGAGGAGCGTCTCTGCCCGGCCGCCCCGTCTGAGAAGTGAGGAGACCCTCCGCCTCGCAGCCGCCCCGTCTGAAAAGTGAGGAGCCCCTCCGCCCGGCAGTCACCCCGTCTGGGAAGTGAGGAGCGTCTCCGCCCAGCAACCACCCCGTCCGGGAGGGAGGTGGGGGTCAGCCCCCGCCAGGCCAGCCGCCCCGTCCGGGAGGGAGGTGGGGGTCAGCCCCCCCGCCCGGCCAGCTGCCCCGTCCGGGAGGTGAGGGGCGCCTCTGCCCTGCCGCCTCTACTGGGAAGTGAGGAGCCCCTCTGCCCGGCCAGCCGCCCCGTCCGGGAGGGAGGTGGGGGGGGTCAGGCCCCGCCCGGCCAGCCGCCCCGTCCGGGAGGGAGGTGGGGGGGTCAGCCCCCCGCCCGGCCAGCCGCCCCGTCCGGGAGGTGAGGGGCGCCTCTGCCCAGCCGCCCCTACTGGGAAGTGAGGAGCCCCTCTGCCCGGCCAGCCGCCCCGTCCGGGAGGGAGGTGGGGGGGTCAGCCCGCCGCCCGGCCAGCCGCCCCGTCCGGGAGGGACGTGGCGGGGTCAGCCCCCCGCCCGGCCAGCCACCCTGTCCGGGAGGTGAGGGGCGCCTCTGCCCAGCCGCCCCTACTGGGAAGTGAGGAGCCCCTCTGCCCGGCCAGCCGCCCCGTCTGGGAGGTGTACCCAACAGCTCATTGAGAACGGGCCATGATGACAATGGCGGTTTTGTGGAATAGAAAGTGGGGAAAGGTGGGGGAAAGATTGAGAAATCGGATGGTTGCCGTGTCTGTGTAGAAAGAGGTAGACATGGGAGACTTTTCATTTTGTTCTGTACTAAGAAAAATTCTTATCCTGTTGATCTGTGACCTTACCCCCAACCCTGTGCTCTCTGAATCATGTGCTGTGTCCACTCAGGGTTAAATGGATTAAGGGCAGTGCAAGATGTGCTTTGTTAAACAGATGCTTGAAGGCAGCATGCTCGTTAAGAGTCATCACCACTCCCTAATCTCAAGTACCCAGGGACACAAACACTGCGGAAGGCCGCAGGGTCCTCTGCCTAGGAAAACCAGAGACCTTTGTTCACTTGTTTATCTGCTGACCTTCCCTCCACTATTGTCCTATGACCCTGCCAAATCCCCCTCTGCGAGAAACACCCAAGAATAATCAATAAAAATAAATAAATAAATAAATAAATAAATAAATAAAAGAAAATGAATTCAAATGAACTCTTGTGGCCATTGTAAGGCCTCACTGTTCTCTAATATCATTAAATAGAAAAACATTAGGTGCTGGATGTCCTGATGAGCCAGTTCTTGTACAATACCTGTTTTACAAACTACATTCGAGTATGCTTTTGTTCTCTCTTCAAATTTCACAGCTTCCTCTACTCTGCCTAAAAAGGAAAACTCACATCTTTGAGCTGTTACAATAAAACTATCGGCAGCCTGTAAAGTGAGAACAGAGCCTTGCCTTAATTTATTGCACCACACAGATTTATTACACATCAGGGTAATAATAACAACACCGTGACTTGCTGCCTGATAATCTCCCCTTCTGCTCCAGTAGGAGTGTGGTGGTGGGAGCTTGGAGGGCCCTGCAGACTCCCTGTATGGTGCTAAGCACGGCTGGGCACACTCTTGGCTCAGTGCCATGAAATGATGTGGTACTACTGGGCCGTGCAGTGCCAAGATACATGCAAAGCTGGTGAGGAGATGTAGTATTTGGACAGAAAATACTGGAAGCTGTTTGCCAGGTCTATATGAAAATAGTGTTTCCACAGTTGCTATTTGCCAGGAGAATAAGCATTCTCCAGCTACCTTCTTCTTATAAAAGGTTCTTCGTGCTCTGAGAATGAAGGCATTTTTTTTTTAAAGGTTCCTCATCCTGAAATATGACGAGAACCCAGTTTTAGAACCATAGAGGTGAGGAATTCCCTTAGGGGGCATTTTACCTGTCTTTAGGCAACACCACACCTAAAAGAATCCAGGACTATAAAAGTTAAATAGATTCAGAGAGAGTTTCTGAGAAACAGTTAACAGAATTCAGGGTTAAAGATGATCACCCTTCAGGTCAAGGGTCTCCTTCCATGCCAGCCTTGCTTCTGGCCTGCTTCTCTGTCTTTTCTTATGGCTCCTGAGTCCTGGGGTGCCTAATCAATCTTGGCTGCTTCCAGGGAAACTGCGCAGAGGCATTTGGGCCCTCAGCTTGCCCCTGGTGACGACAGTGACATCCTTACAGAGGACAGCATCCATCAGAGGTGCCCTCCTGCTGCTCAGCTTGCTCTGGAAGCCTCTCATTAGAGTTTCTCATTTTTAAGATAATGGGAACTTAATGGGGATTATTTTGATTTTCTCTTACCAGCCAACACTTTTGTAGCTGAAGCCCTGCTGCCCCCAGCTGCACTGCCTGAACAAATTGCATCTGAGCAAGCCAAAGCTGTGGCCCAGGAGACTGCTGACATGACTTCAGCAAGGCACAGCCCAATCCTATTGCCTAATTTTCTTTGTTCTTAGGCCAAGACTTTGGCCTGTAACAGTGTTTGGATTTCTGGCTTTTTGGGTGACCACTTTAGTTCCTCCTTTCTTCACCTACCAAGACAGAAACATCTTTAACAAATCATCAGTAAATTAATCCATGAATTCCAAGCAGTTGAGAAGGTCAGGCTACTGCTGCTTCTTCCATACCATGCTTGATAAAAATGAAAAATTCAGTCCACCCATTGTCCATCACCTGGTTGTACTTAACACAGAGATTCACTCTCTGAATATAGTACGAAGACCAAAATGATTGGAAAATTATGTATGCTTAGCCTCTCAGAGGAATCAGATGACCTCAGTGAATATTTTTTGAGACCATTAGGCCCTGGGGATCCAAAGACATTGTCCCTGTCCTCTCCAAAGCTTTGGTTTTCTTCCCAATAAACATATGTACGTTTATTTGGTTTTGCATTGGCAAGTGGTAATCGGTCGGGTAAATTGGCCCTTGGGAAATTTTATCCTGCCAAAGTGATTCACAAGCCACAAAAATGTGGAAACTACCTTCCTTAGAATACCAGTCATGCCCTGCACTTCACAGCATAGTCTGGGTTTGGGTCTCCTCTTCTCCTGTTGGCTGTTACCTCTTACAACTACTAGGCAAATCCTGAATCTTGGAAACCACTTCAGTCCTGTAGTCACTAATTGCTGCCTGGCAAGAAACCATGTCAGTCTCTTGTCTGAGTTCAATGGAGAATTGTCACACTAACTTGAAGCTCTGGTGGTAGATCTTCCTCTCCCAAAAGACCTCAAAGCAATCTAACATCAGGGAACCCAGTGAGGCAGAGTGGTGGCCGAATCATATAAATGGAGATAAACATGGTCCCAGGTGCCATCAGAGAGTCAGCAGACCCCAGGCTTCAAAGCACATTGCTGATTACTCTTGATAGAGGGCCCACAACTGTTTTAATCATGCAATTATTTTGAGGATGAATTTATAAGAAAGGAAATTCACCTCCTTGCCATTTTGCAGGGTGGCTGTCAATAGATTGGCCCAAAAGGAAGAACAAGGAAAAGGGCACCAAAGAAGATAAATGAAAATACAAGGTAAGAAGTGGGTAGAAGCTGTAGCATTATAAAGAAATCCAAGCCAAAATTGTCAGGGGTGGGGAACTGTTTTTAAAAATTATTTTGATGATAATGATGACTTTTTTGTTTTGTTTTTATATTTTAAGGGTATAAGCTGAACTGTGGACATCCTGCCACTGGGAATTAAGTTAAAGTAGAAAAAAGCAGAATGTAATGGGGAGTCCCCTCACAAGAAGAATTTGGATCAAAGCATGGCAGTGAGGGGAAGCATTGAGCAGGTGAGAGTGAGGCAGAGGCTTTAGTCCTGCAAGAAACAGTCGCCTGACTTTAAAGCATGCCTGTGTCACTGACAGCATTTAGCAGTGCACAGTGTGCAGAAACTTGGCTTGTCAGCTCTCCTGATGCTCACAGATAGGGCAGCTTCACTGTGGAGCACTACACAAGCCCATTTGCTGCCTTCATCAGTCTGTAGGTGCTGACTTTGCTGGTAGAGTCACCACCGCAGCCTCAGGGCCTCTTCTCACTTACCCACTTCCTCCGCATTCACGTTGCTCCTCTCATCAGAGACACCAAGGCCCACTGGAGCCTGCTTTGCATCACTTACATGAGAGGTTTGGGATGGCACATTGTAAATGATCTTTGCAAACTTTTCCTTTTATACTCTTGAAGTTTAAGCAGAGAGGCAAAGAGTAAGTGGCCCAGGAGCAAAATGTCTACATTTCTAAAATGAGTCTGAAATGAAGGTCATCTGAAAATGTAGCTGGAGGCAAAGACAGCTTTCAGGGTCAAAGTTGGGCAGGATCTCACAGAGTTGCAATCCTGCAAATTTTTTTTGTTTTGTTAAAAAGAGAAGGAAGTTTTTTTAAAAGCTAGATAGTACCCCCTTAGTAGGCATGGTATGAAAAATAATCTAAAAGATGTTCGTCATTTTTTAAACTGCAATTGTGAACATTTTAACTGGGAGGAGTGGGTTTCGTATTCCAACACAACTGGTCATGCCCCGAACTTGGGAAGGGAGAGAAGAAAACATTTTACAAAGGAAAAAATGAAATATTTGTTACCTAAAATTTTCTACTTTGACAAAAATGAAAGTTCAATTTACAAGCTAAAGGAACATTCTGTTGAATCTTCAGTGCACCCCAGAACATCCTACCAATGGCTTCAGCTCTGCCAAACTTGGCACCTTTCATCTCAGAGTCCCCAGTAAACTAATTTCCACAGCATTCTAAGGTTGGCCAAGTCATTCAAATTATAGTGATGACAGGTTGGGCGATAGGTGGCAATTTTCCTTTGTTGTCATTACCCTTCCCACATACTGGGCAACTGAGGCATGGAAGGACAGAGGTAAGATGTTGGCTTCAAGGTTCAGGACCAGATCGGTGGCGTTCCAGGAACCAAACCTTGAACATTCATGTCGTCTCTGGGAAGTGGCTTTTTGATTCAGCACTGGTACTTTCCAGTGTCAGCACTTGTATGTGTCAGTAGCTAAGTCTCTCGTCCAAGGGCCCCAGGTTCTCAGCCTCTGCTTCATCTCAGGAAAGCCCTCTGGCAGTTGAAGAGAATGGGGTAGGTGGGGAAGTAGGGTGAAGCCTCAGTGAGTTTGATGGTTGGGTGCTTGAATGGGAATCTAAGAGGGGAAGAAGGGCTCTGTGATTGTGAATTACTATAAGGAGAGGTGATTGGATTGGAAAGAGCTGGCAGGACTTACACTATGTCCTCCCTTGATAATGATGCATCACAGTGCCATGGCCACGCCTGACCACACACTTCACTTGCCCTGCCCCCTTGGGTGTTAGGTATATCCCTTCAACTTTGGAAAGGGGCATAACGTGTAGATACTGGGGTAGATTTTCCTGAGGTCTTATTTGTATCCACCTTTAATAGAAATAAACAGGATACTTATTTCTAGGTTGATAAAAATGGCCAGAGTAGCTAAATAACTCTGTGTCAGCTGGACTTTGATTATTTTTTTAAGTGGCAGAAGAGAAGGATGAACAATGTTCACTAGGTTGAAAAGGTTAGAGCAGTAGATGTTTGTTTCCTCCCATCATCTTCATGATCTCTTGCTTCAGAAAAGTGGGAGAAAAATAAACCAACACACCACCTGATGAATGTCCCACCCCACAGAGTAGTCTAACTCTGTGTCTCAGCAGGAAAAGGGGAAAGAGGAAGAGAAACTGACATTTAATGAGTGCCAACTCTATATTGGTCACTATATATAAATAGTTTAATTTAATCCTCCATTACAAGCCCCTACTATGTAGATATTATTATCCCCATTTTTAAAGATAACTATTTGGCTCTTGCAATTAGGAAACCATGAGACCAAAATTTAAAAGCCAGAGCTTCCTGACTCCAAAATCCTCTTTCTTTCCTGTTATCCTGCTGAAGTGCCGATTTCAAATGAAGACTGACTTGATCCTGAACATAACCTACAAGAAGAAAGGGACCACAGGTGGGTACTGTCTTCTTACCCAACATGGTTATTAGAACACCCTCAGTGACAGAAAGGGTCAGGATGCCAAGCAGTTGTTTGCAAACGCTGTTTGGCTAAAGGATCTAATTCACTGAATGAACACATTTCTTTCCAGGGTGTGGGATGCAGGTCCTGGTGAAGGGTCATAGACTGTGGAGGAAGAAACCCTATGGCTTGTTTATTGAAAATTCAATTAAAGTTTACCCTGAATCACTTGTCAGTAAATTTACACATGCCTTAAACTAGATGGACCTTTGAAATCATATTCCTCTTACCCTTGTTATAAAAATAATAATAGCCATATTTATTGAGGGCTTATCACATGCCAGGAGCTGTACTTTAGGCTTTATGTGTCATTTAACCCTCCAGCGATCCCATGAGGAAGGTATTATTATTTTCTCTTTTTTACAAATGAAAGGCACAAAAAGGCTAAGAAACTTGTCCAAGGTTACACAGGAGAGAAATGGCAGAACTGGGATTTGAACTTTCAAACCTGGGCACCTCTCAACTATACTTTCTGCTACCTGTCATCAGGGAAGATGGTACATAGACAGGAAGGGTGAGTTTTTTCCTGAGTGTTTGTTTCTCTACTTGGAGAAGGAGATATTTTTCTCATTTTCCATTTCTAGAGTAATAGCAACCTTCAGCCACAGAAAGCACCAAATCCCTTTACCCCCATTCACGTTAACCTGCTAGATAAGTCTATTCAGTAAAATCTCTTAGTCCTCCTTAGTCATTACATAGCTTTATTCCTCCCTTTCCTTCTCCTCAGCTGGTCTTTGGCATCTTCCTCTTGTGTTAGGAGTGAGGGGTGATCATAGACAAGGATCTCCTTTCTCAGCAGTGGGTTACCACTCTCTGGTATGGTCATTGTCCTGGACACCCAGGACAATCGGTGTGGTTGAAATTAGAGAGTGGCTGAAATTCAACTTCTTGGATACAAAAGATCCCACGGTGATCACCGGCCTCACCAAAGAGAAGCAGGTGGTTTACCCACACTGAACATTGTCATCGAGGTTAATGAATGCGTTCTTACATGGTCTAAATATAAGTATGTGGACCTCACTGAGGAGAGACCAGGCCCTCAAGAAAGGTCTTGGAAATCCCACATTCTGCTGTTATGGAGAGGGGAGTAAGCCAGATGCAGCAACCTCAGCTTCTGATTTTGACTGCTGAAACTCACATCTGCCTACCCTTCATGTGTAAACAGGGTTGCAAAATTACTCACTCCGCTCACATGCATAAAGAATGTATAGTTTCTTTTTTCTCTTAATCACCCTGATCTCCCTTATGAGCCCTCACCTGCTGGGTAGCAAGAGAGAAAAAAATAATTTTAGCTCAATAGATTTTAAAACTAGTCTGATACAATTATTTAAGCAGTTTCTTTAGGCTTAATTTTTGACTTTGGGATAAAGGAGTCTTTCAGATTCCTTGCTTCTTCTGGTTTCTTCTCTGTAAATGGCACCAGTGGTTCTCAGACCAGGTCCCCTGGTGCCCTCCCCACACTGCTCTGCCCTCTTAAACATGGTGGTGCGGGGCCATCTACAAAGCAGTGTCCTAACAAGGAATTTCAAAGGGAATGGGGAAAGAGCTCTCCTGCTCTTGATGCTCTCTAATTGATTTCATTCTTCAGGCAGAACGCTGGAGAGGGGAGGCTAGGAGAAGACAAACAGCCTTGCTGCCTGGCGTGTGGCCACTCCCTACCTCTTGTAGCACTGGCTGGAAGAGGAGGCTTGCTAGCCTCTATCACAGGCAGAAGAATATCCATTTACACTTAAGGGAAACTCTCTAAGATCAGAGACTTGGTTCTTGAACTTCTAGAGATGGTAGAATATCTAGTTTGTTTTTCAAGCTGTTGTGATTACCAGTCCTGACTGGCCAAGGCATTAGGCCAGGCGAGGCCTCTGCAATGTGAGCTGAAAGAAGAGGGGTTTAGAGAGGAATGGAAATACTGTGTGTGACATTGTGAAACACATATTTGGTCTTTGTGTTAGTCTGTTCTTGTGTTGCTATAAACACCTGAGGCTGAGTAACTTTTTTAAAAAGATGTTTTATTTTGGCTTGTGGTTCTGCAGGCTATACACAAAGCATGGTGCCGGCATCTGCTTCTGGTGAGGGCCTCAGGAAGCTTACAATCATCTTGGAAGGTGAAGAGGAAGCCAGCGCATCACATGGCAAGAGAGGGAGCAAGAGAGAAGGGGACAGTGCCGCACACTTTAAAAAAAAACCTTATCTCACGAGGCAGAACTAACTGAGTGAGAGTTCACTCATCACCAAGGGAATGGTGCTGAGTCATTCATGAGGGATCCCCCTGCCGCCCCCGTGATCCAATCACCTCCCACCAGACCCCACCTCCAACACTGGGGATTACATTTCAACATGAGACTTGGGGGGGACAAACATCCAAACCATGTCAGTCTTCAACCCCTCTTCCTGACATACAACTCCTAAAACTCTTAGAATCTCCAAAGTGCTGTCTTTTTATGTGTTAGTAATTGGCTAGTGGCTCACAGCCCCTTGGTAGCTTCAGGATGGGGCCTGGTCACTGGAAAGACCAAGTCATAATTAGAGGGTTGAGACTTTCAGCCCACCCCCAACATCTGGGGAGAAGAGAAGGGCCGAAGCTCAAATTGATCACCAATGGCCAGTGTTTTAATTAATCATGTGGCCAGGCGTGGTGGCTCACGCCTGTAATCCTAGCACTTTGGGAGGCTGAGGCAGGTGGATCACGAGGTCAGGAGATGGAGACCATCCTGGCTAACACGGTGAAACTCCATCTCTACTAAAAATACAAAAAATTAGCTGGATGCGGTGGCATGCGCCTGTAGTCCCAGCTACTCAGGAGGCTGAAGCAGGAGAATCACTTGAACCCGGGAGGCAGAGGTTACAGTGAGCCGAGATTACACCACTGCACTCCAGCCTGGGTGACAGAGCCAGACTCCATCTCAAAAAAACAACAACAAAAAAAGACAAATAAAATAAATAAAAATAATGAATCATGCCTATGTAATGAAGCCTCCATAAAAACACAAAAGAATAGGGTTCAGGGAGCCTCTGGATAGCTGAATATCTGGAGGCTCCTAGAGAGTGGCATGTCCAGAGGGCATGGAAGCTCTGTGCCCCTTTTTCACCCTATACACCTCATCATCTGTATGCTTGGTAATATCCTTTATAATATACCAGTTAAACGTAAGTGTTTCTCTGAGTTCCTTGAGCCACTCTAGCAAATCAATGGACTTCAAAGAGAGGATCGTAGGAATCCCAACTTGAAGTCAGTTGGTCGGAAGTTCTGAGGCCCAGACTTGCGACTGGTAGGAAGTAGGGGCAGCTTTGTGAGACTGAGCCCTCAACCTGTGGTTTCTACTGCTATCGCCAGGTAGATAGTGTTGGAACAGAATTGGAGGGAGCCCAGCTGGTATCCACTGCAGAACTGCTCGCTTGCTTGCTGTGTGAGGATAGACCCACACACATTTGGTCACAGAAGACTTCTGTGGTCACACAGACTTCTGTTCATCACAGAAGTCTTCTGCGATGATTGTTGTGGTGTGAAAGCAGAGGAGAAACACAGTTTGAATTTTTCTACTTTCACACTGTGTTTACTGAAGGTTGCTCAATGTAGGCTTGGGATGGTTGGTCCGGGGTATGTAATAGAAGGTGCTTAAAAGTGCTCCTCAACAGTTTTGAAGCGTGTGGGACAAAAAAAAAAGTGCTCCTCAAAGGGTAGGCAGGATAGTGTAATGCTTAAATATATGGAATCTGGATCCAAACTGGGCTCTGGTATTTCCTTGTGATGTGGACAACTTTACTTATATGTAAACTCAGTTTCTTCATCCTAAAATGGCATAATAACAGTATCTACCTCCTAGGGTTGTTACAAAGTTTAAATCTGTTAACGTATATAAAAAAGACTTTTGCCTGTCTCATAGTAAGCACTCAACAAATGTTAGCTATTTAGATTCCAAACATATATAACATTTGATTATAAACCATGGAAACATCTTATGTATGGTATAGCAGAAAGAACAGGGATTTTCAAAATAGCCTAAGTTATATAATCTTGAGCAAGTTGTATGGCCACTGTGAGCCTTGTCTGAAAAAGGAGGATGATTACATCATAGGATAGTTGTGAGAATTAAATGAAATAATATATGTGAAACACTTAGCAAAGAGTGGCACCTAACTGAGGCTCACAGTGTTTCTTCCCCTTTTTCCTATGTCAGTAGTATGCTGTCTTATAATTATTTACTATTATGTTCTCAACGAGGAGTCTTAAGCTTTTATAATCTCCAAACTGGCTAGCACATAGTAGAAACTCAATAGAGTCATTAATGGTTCAAATGAGCCTCCAAGTCTGCGGCATGAGACCTAGAATGTCTCCCCTGTTGAGTGTTGCTGGTCAGAGGAAAGTTCCCACCCCTCCACCGCCAACTTCAATTGTTCTAGGTGTATATTTCTCCCCTTTCTTTATGAAAATTGCTCTGTGGTCTGTCGGAGGCATTTATGTCTGCTTTACTCACATTGCTCAACCCACACTTGGAGAGAAATGTGTTTGCATAAATACTAGCAGATGAATTTTTTAAATATCGCTTTTTCTTTCCTGGCACTCTGTAAGAGAAATGAGCAAATATAAACAGAGGAGTGTCACACTAGAAATATAGCAGATGGGCTTCTGTTGGGGATCTGGACTTTCCTGGAGTATACACATTTGGGATATGTAGGATTACGACAAAATCCACTTGTAATGTTCATGCTTTTTATTTCTTGGGCACAATATTAATTGCTTAAAGACTGGGCTTAATGCACACTTTCAGCCCCAATTCTCCCTTTGGGAAACAAGCAGGATCCTATAAACACTCTGTGTAGTAGGGATTGTCTTCCTAAGCCTAACATAAATCCAGTTTGATTGAGGAATCAAGGAGAAGTAAGAAAAATAAAGTTTTTCTTCACTCCGTGCTGCAATGACAGGGGAAAAAAGGAAACTCTTCACTCCTCATTTCAGATGGCTTCATGCTTGTGACCAAGGGCTTATCATGGATATTAAAAAGTGGAAACTGACTACATATACTCCTGACATATCTTGACTTAGGCCACCTCAATTCAGACCACACATCTTGAGGAATACATTTATATGCAGGCATTGACCATGAGCCATCCTTAACTCCAGCCCACACCTTTCGCCCGGATAATATTTTCATTTATTTATTCATTCAACAAACTTTATTAAGCATCTATGCTATAGAATGAATGTTTATGACCCCCTAACCCCAAATCAATACATTGAAAGCTAATCCTGAATGTGATGATATTTAGAGGTGAGGCCTTTGGAAGGTGATTAGGTTATAAGGGTAGAGCCCTTAAGAGGAGAATTAGTGCTATGCTGTTATAAAAAGGACTCTGGTGAGTTTCCTCACCCCTTCTACCATGTGAGGACACAGTGAGAAGACTGCCATCTATGAACCAGGAAGTGGGCCCTCGCCAGCCACCACATCTCTCAGCACTGCAGATTTGGGACTTCCCAGCCTGCAGAACTATGAGAAATAAATTTCTGATGTTCATAAGCTACCCACTCTATGGCATTCTGTTATAGCAGCTCAAATGGACTAAGATCATCTGCTATGGACCAAGCACTGTACAAGGAATGGGACTATGGCAATGAAGAAGACAGACATGGTCCCTGATATTATAAAACTCAAGTCTAGTGGGAAAACAGACTCTTACGTTATAATTTAACCATTCCTTTAAAAAATGCACCAAGAAGCAATAGTTTCCATTTCCATCAACCATACTATGTCCCAAGGATTGGCCTAGGAAAAACTGGGAGGTGGAAGCTGTCCTGTGGCCTCCTTGTTGTCAGAGCCTCTGTAGGGCCTTTCAGAACTCCATGGAAGAGTTCCTCATCCATTGTTGACCTGGCTGGACCCAGTGGTCATTTTTTTTTTAAAGGGATCCTCAAAAGAATGTTGTAAATGATCCTGCCTACCCATAATGGTGACTCCTGGATCCCAGAGAAAGCCCTGCCTTTAATCAATAAGCATTAACTCTTTTTTAAAATTGCACTTATGTTTATCTGTTAGGTTTAACAAGGGAGGCAGCATAATGTAGAGCAAAGATCACAAACTTTGAAGTCAGCTCTATGTTCTAATGTTGGCTCAAACATTTATTAGCAAGTCCTCTTGGCAACTTATTTTACTTTTCTGCTGTTTAATTGTCCTATGTGCAAACTGGAGAAGAGAGCACTTAACTCTGAATTGTTGAGATTCTTAAATGAAATAATCATTTAGAAGTGCTTAGTATGGAGCACATGCTCCTTTACTATGCTCGGGAACTATATTTTCTATGAAACAGGACTTGCCCTTGAAAAAAAACAGCATTTACATGAAATATTTAATGATATTCATACAACTTTGAGCTATTTGGCAAATGATGGATTATATCCATAGCCAACTCTGCCCATCCTCACTGGTGCCAACTCTCTCTGCTTTTGCTGCCCTAACTGCAGCTCTAAACACACCTCTCCAGCAGGTAACCTAACCAGGGAAGCCCAAAATAAAGATGTCAGAATGCTCCAATAAGAAATGAGAATAAGAGACAATATGACCCTTTATGTTAAAACAAAAAAGATCCTCAGCTTTGCCATGTGTTATCCCTGTCCTTTGTTTTACTGTTTTTTTTCACTCATTGAAAATGTCATCTCTATTCTCTAGGATGCTTGAAGATGTTGAGCTGGAAATGAGGCTTGTGGGTGACATTGGACAGGGAATACACAGCTAGAGGGCTGGTGACCTTACGTCAGGCAATTTCTTTGTCCTTCAAGACCCCTGTACCAGAAACTCCTACAGCCCGAGGAATCTGTACTAGTACCTCCCTCTGATTGTCCTATAGGTTCCTCCTGCAGCCTTCAGGTTGCTGGTCCAGATATTGGTAAGATTTGCTACATGGCTAAGTAGTGGGGCTGATTCAAAAAGCTCTAAATTTCGTACATTAATTAAATCAAGACTTACAGTTTAAAAAGCTGAATACAAATTTAATGTCCAAAACATAGTGGGGGAAGATGGGCTGATTAACTGTATTGGTTATTAGGCAACTATTAATAATGATGGTTGCATAATTTTCTATATGATAACAGTAATATATATTTAGCAAAAAGCAGCATACACAATTCCATATATACAGAATGAGTGCAACTGTGTTACAAGAATAAGTCTATATGCCTATAAGAGAACTGGAAGGAAACACACTGAAGTGTTAACATTTGAGGGTTGGAACTATGGCTAATATTTTTTGTTTCTACTTTTATTTTTATAAGAATCGTGTATTGTTTATAGTCTTAAACTATAAACTTCATTTTGAAATGAAGACTTCAGAGGCCAAGAATATGCTTCCTTGTGATGATTTTCATGAATCATTTCCAAAGATTTTCATTTATTCATCAGTGGGCTCAGGTGAGCAGAAGACTAAATGAGCAGAGGCAGCACTTAAGGAACTTTATGGGTTCAGAAAGTTCACCTTTATCAAGTCTTTGGTCTCGGTCTTTGTTTTTTTCTTTTTCTTTTCTCGCTCTCCTTGCTTCCTTCCTCCCTCCCTTCCTTCCTTCCTTCCTTCCCTCCCTCCTTTCCTTCTTTCTTTCTTCCTTCCTTCTTCCCTTTCCCCTTCCCCTTCCTTCCTTCCATCTGTCCTTCCTTCCTTCCTTCCGTTTTTTGTCTATCTCTCTTGCCCAGGCTGGAGCACAGTGGCATGATCACGGCTCACTGCAGCCTTGGCCTCCTGGGCTCAAGCAATTCCCTTGCCTTAGCCTCCCAAGTAGCTGGGACTACAGGCTCACACCACCACAACCTGCTAATTCTTTTATTTTTTATTTTTTGTAGATATGCTGTCTCACTATGTTGCCTAGGGTGTGAATCTTTCTTTGCAGGGGCTATAGTTGTTTCTTTCTAGCTGCCAAAGCTGTGTTAGTTTTACATTTTCCCACTTCCTCTCAAGATCAAATTTTGCTCTTTCCAAGTCGTGGCATCTGGTTTTATACTTATGCGGGATAGGGGTGGGAGAACTGCAGAAGATAAAATCAAAGGCTGACACCAGCCCCCACTGCAGGGTCAAGTGAAGTGAAACGTTGCTGGAGGCTTAAAAATCCAAATCAACTTATTTTGTTTTCCTCTGTTTGTAAGCTAGTCCCTGAACTTCCTGGTTTTGACCTAAGAGAAAACCAGACAGCTTGTGATCAAATCCTGTTATCCTTGTGATCTGAGACCACCTGTCTCAGAGGACATTTTATAATTCTTTTTTCAAAAGATTCTCCCGGAGGTCATTTCACATTAACAGTCCTGAATGAATCTTAGGCCTTGTTCTTTGCACACATGGATTTTCTTTCTGGTTTTTTTTGTGACAGATTAAAAGTCCACTGTGGGCTGGCCAGGCAGAACCTCATGAAATCAGACCATTTGTCTTGTTCCAAGGGCTCTGCCTATTCCACTCCTTTTTTACTTAGAAAGGTAAAAAAAAAAAAAAAAAAAAAAAAAAAGTAGGAGTCATAACTTAAGCTGCCAGGACAAATTCCCAGTGGCTTCTAAGCAAAGCTGGCCCTATGGGGCAGCATCCCAGGATCTCTCAGCAGAGCCTCATCCTCTTAGGGTGCTGGGCATGGTCAGGATCAATGCTGCCTGGAGCCTTAGCTTTGAGGTGGCGATCCAGCTCCACCACTACACTTCAAGATAAGGTTTTGAAAAAAGGATGCATTCTAAACATTCCCAACAAACAAAAAAGTACAAAGAAGAAATTTAAATTCTGCCCTGACTCTTATCACCCAGATACCATATAACCAGAAAGGGAATGGCCCTAGAGCAATATCATTGCAGGTTCCTAATTAGCAGCTTTGCAGCAACTTGAGCAAAGAATTCCAAGCCCTACAACTCAGAACTTGTAAACACAAGAGAACGGCAGTTAGGCGACTTGTCTAGCTGATTTTTACTAGACAGCCCAGTGTGAACAGTTCCCGAGGGGCCTGGGCTTAGCTTGAGTCAGCCAGGGTGTGACAAGCCACAGCACTGATCTCACCTTTGCAAGCCAACACAACCCGGCTCCCCGCCCCCTCCACCCACTCAGCTGCTCTCAGCCACCTCTGCCAACTTGCTCGTTTTGTTTCTATTTTTTCTCTCTCTCCCTCTCTCTGGGCAGCCACCTCCTCTGCTATTTACCCCCCAACACACCCACTGATCCTCAGAGCTCTTCTGTGGAAGTGTGGTGACTCATTTGTTACTTAGGTATTTTGGGTTCATTACTCTTCAGCCACTTTACTCAGAAGAGCCACGCAGAGCCAAAACAGAGAAGAGAGGAAATGGGGGCGTGCAGATGGGAGGGGGTGGGGCAGAAATCCAAAAGCTGCTGTGGAAAAGTTCAGCACAGTTGCTGTTGTCAAAGCTAGGACTCAGAGAACAAGGCCATTCCAAAAGCAACAACGGGAAGGAAACAGTGCTTTGATTAAAACTTCATTGAGAGAGCTGGAAACATACCCCAGAGTTCTCCCACAACAGAGATGGTGTGTTCAGGAATCCAAAAGAATCGTCATTGCTCTTTGGGAATATTTATGAGCAACCACACCCAAACTGTGTTAACTTGGCCAAAGCAAGGTGGAAGGGTGCAGTTACAGGACTGTCAAGCGTGGCCTACAGAACATGATAGAAATCATTTACCCTAAACTTCAGGTTTCCTGCTCCCCAATATACATGTGCCTTTGGCTCATATACCTAGATTTGCTCTGTGGACAATATCTGGGGTTAAGTGGCTGCTGTCCTGAGTAGACAGACTGCTTGTGCTGTGAACAACAGTGACCCTTTGTGACAGGTCAGCCAGGAGATTGGTGAACATATATGTTTGAGAGGCTTTCAGAATGTTATTGTTTAGAAATTAATTTTCCTTAAATTGTTCTCCCCAAGAATGTGCAGCACGTGATGCTTCTGCTCGCATTATAAGCCTGCCTTGTTGTAGACTGTGTTCCAATCTCTTTAGAAAGAGTATTGAATTACTATTTGTGACATTTGCCATCCGTTTCTAGTTTGGGGCTAGCAGGATTAGCATGCAGGGAGTATTCATTCTTTTCTAATTATGTATTCTTTAATCTAATAAATATCCCCCAAATGCCTAATGTTGGAGCCAGCCCTCGAGGTCCAGAGCTGGGGCGTGGGATAGAGTCCAGACCTCTGATGTGCAAATCCAAAATGGGGCTCTGAACTTCGAATTCTGAATTCTGAAAGAGAAAAGCTGATGAGACTGATTCATGATAAATCTCATGATTATTGTTTGGGCTGTTAAATCTTTCTTATGTAGCATGATGTAGGATGTACCCTATAGCTGCTATGTGCAAACCATTTTACTGAAAACAATGGGAAATACAAAAAAGGTCTGTGATGGAAGCCATGAATTAGGATGACAGAACAGAAAGATAGAAGGATCCAGGTCTCTGGTGACATCATGACACCATCTCAGCCCAGACAAGTCAGTATCATATAGATCATGTTATCTGATCGGTTTTTAAAAAAAGCTTTAATAACATCATGCGCTCAGATATTTTAAAACACTTCTAAATAACTTTAGGAATAAATCAATTGTGATTAAGTCCTAAATAAAAGAACAAATTATAACTAAAGTTAGATAATATAGAGAGCTAAATAATGAAATATATTCCAAAACTTACGCAGAGAAATTTACAAAAGCTTTAAAATGTTTATTTAGTAAAGAAGAAACACTGGAAATTAATGAGTCACATGTCCATCTCAAGACATTGAATAATGGAACAATAGCATACACACAAGAAAGTAAATGGAAGGAAGTATTAACAGAGCAGAAATTAATAAAATTTAAAACAAAGTTATGATAGAAAGGATCAGGAGAACAAAAAGCTGGTTCTTTGAAAAGACTAATAAAACTGACAGGAATTAAAAAAAGAAAATCGCTACATAGGTAACATTTTTTAAACAATAGGAGATGATTATAAACTTCATGCAACTAAATTTGAAAACTTATGTGAAATGGCCAGTTCCCTAGAAAAAGAAAACTTACAAAACTGACTCAAGAAGAAACAGAAAATCTAATTAGAAAACTATAGCTATTTTTAAAACGTTGAATTGGTAGTTTAAAATCTACCTACAAAAACAAAACATACCAGGGCTAAAGGGATTTATAAGCAATTCTGCCAAACACCTAAGAACAAGATAATCATAATCTTATATGATCTATTCCAGATAATAGAAAAGGAAGAACTGACTGTAACTTATTTTATAGTGCTGGCAGAATTTTGATACCAAACCAGACAAGGAGAATTATAGACCAATCTCTCATAAATGCAGAAGTAAAAATTCTAAACAAAATAATAGAAAATTAAATCTAGCAATGCATTAAAGCTAATATTTGTGATCCCTTTGGGCTTATCCCAGAATATAATATTAGAACATTGGAGAGGCCGGGCGCAGTGGCTCACACCTGTAATCCCAGCACTTTGGGAGGCCGAGGCGGGTGGATCACTTTCAGGAGTTCAAGACCAACCTGGGCAACAAAATGAGACCCCATCTCTTAAAAAAAAAAAAGACCATTAGAAAATGTATTATTATAATTTACTACATTTATACATTAAAGGAGAAAAAATTCAAATTATTTTAATGGATGCAGAGAAAACATTTTATAAAATTTAATTCACAGTAAACATTCTTAGCTAATCATTACAGAGGGAAATTCCCTAACTTGATAAAGGATATTCATCCAAAATTTACAGCAAATAATATGCTTAGTATGCATGCTTAATGGTTAAATATTTGTTAGAAGCATTCTTTAAGTCAAGAATAAGACAAGAATGTCCACCATCACTACCTCTATTAAATTTAGTACTGGGGGTCCTAGCAGGCAGTAATAAGATAAAAAAATTAAATGCCTAAGGATTTGAAAGGAAGAAACAAACTACAGTATTCACAATCAATGTGATTATCTACATAGAAAATTGAAGACAATCTACAAACTATTAAGAGAGTTCAGCAAAATCCACAGAAACAAGATTAAAATGCAAAAATCAGCTGTGTCCCAATGTAAGAAAAAACAAATAATTAGAAAGTATAGTAGGCCGGGTGCAGTGGCTCACGCCTGTAATCCCAAATCTTTGGGAGGCTGAGGTAGAAGGATCCCTTGAGCCCAGGAGTTCATGACCAGCCTGCGCAACATGGCAAAACCTCATCTCTACAAAAAACAAAAACAAAAGCAAAAATTAACTGGGCATGGTGACGTGTGCCTGTAGTCCCAGCTACTCAGGAGGCTGAGGTGGAAGGATCACTTGAGTTCAAGTGATCTAGGTGATCTAGTTCAAGTGAACTTCTAGTTCAGTGAACTAGGAGTTCAAGGCTGCAGTGAGCCATGATAGCACCACTGTACTCCAGCCTGGGTGACAAAGTGAGACCCTGTTGCAAAAATAAATTAATAAAAATAAATAAATACATAAAACTGGATGTGATAAAAGGCACAAAATCTCTCTGAAAGGAATCAGAAAACTGTATGTGCATGGAGTTGGACTTAGTATTTAAACAGGTAGAAATGGAGCAAAGAGATTCTCAGTGTAAGGAGTTAAGGCCCATATAGAGGAAATAACACATTGGGAAAATGTGGAGCATTTTCAGGGAGTGTTTAGGAGTTTAATTTAACTTGAATGTAGATTTAGTGCTGAATAATGGTGAAAGGTATGTTGGGATAAAATCTTGGAAACATTTTATTTTATTATCTTATAGAGTCAGAATCTTGCTATGTTGCCTAGGCTTGACTTGAATTCCTGGGCTCAAATAATCCTCCTGCCTCAGCCTCCTGAGTAGCTGGGACTACAAGCATGTGCCACTATGCCTGGCTTTGGATAAATTGAAATACCCAGTTAAGGTATTTGGTAAGAAAACCTGAATTGCCTAAGGTATACTATGGTGTCCAGATTGTGTTTCAGGTACATTGGCTCCACTTGAATTATTTTATTAGGAGTTTGGATCCAGATGCTAAAACTAATAAATTAGTTTCTTCACTTAAAATTAAAATATCATCAAGACACCAAAACAATAATAGCTGTGTTAACACATTTAAGGGGATGATACAATTTAGAGAAATATATAAATATAGATATCTAATTATAATAAAGCACTTCTTTTACAGTTCTTTCACTGTTATCACTACTTAATTTTTCTAAAAGTTTTACTCTGTCTTGATTATAAAAAATGCCTTATTCACTTGACCTTGTTTTTAGACCCAAAAGCTCAGTGGTTTATTCATTTAGTCATTCATTTAATGCTAATATTTTTAACACCTTCAGCCAAAAACATACAGTCTTTGCTTTCATGGAGGGTATATTCTAGTGCAGACGTATAAACAAATCATTAATGATAATAGAGGTGATAGGGGTATGCACCAGTTGCTCTTCTAGAATGGAAGAGAGGCTCCCAATTGAAGTAGTTAAAGCTTCCTAGGGAAAAGATGCTTGAGAGGGATGTTCAGCAGTTAGTAAGCTGGGCCAGAGATAAGAAGGTAGAGAGTATCCCCAGAGGAGTCTCAGGGGCATGAAACATCATGTGTATACAGTCAAGTGTGATCAGAAAACAGGAAGCCATTAGAGGTACCTGATGGAATAAGAGGCTAAAGATGTGGGCAGGGGCGTATCATGGGGGATCTTGTGTGTTCCATGTTTTAATTCCATCCTGAAAGCTACCGGAAGAACAATCGAAGTATTTTTAAACAGGGAAAAAACATGATCTGATTGATTTGCATCTTAGAAAGATTATTCTGGTAGTAATGTGGTATGTGGCAGCAGTGTGGCAGATAGATTAGAGAAGAAACACCCAGCAGCCCACTATGATGATCCACATGACAAATGGCAAAGGCCTCAGCTAAAGTAGAAACAGTAGAAGTGGATTACAGAGAGGGTGGCTTACAGGCTCTAAAAGCCTAAGTAACCAATCAGATGTGTGGGTGAGGAGGGGCACATCTAAAGGAAGGGACACATTTCCAGCTTGACACCTGTGTGCATGGCTTGACACCTGAGGCAGGAAGAGAAGCAGGCTTATGGGGGAAGATGATGAGTTTGAGACCTGTTATCATCAACGCAGAGAGAAGTTTCAGTTGGGCGTAGAGATTTGAGGCTGTGGGTCATATGCAGAAGCTGAAATAGTGTATTTGTGACCACCAAAGAGAACTCATAAGTAGACTGGGGAAAGCAAAAACTTTTTTTCTGTCTGACCAAAGAATAAAACAGAGAAGGACATGAAAAAGGAAGAGAGAACAGTATCACAATAACCAAAAGGAACAGATGTTGAGGAGGGAATATTTCACAGCATTAAATACTGTAGAGGGGTCAAGTGAGGTAAGGATAGCCCTGTGCAGGTAATTAGTGACTTTAGGGAACAATTTTGTTGGCATGGTGAACATGTTTGCCAGATTGCACTAGATTTGTAAGTGAATGGGAGGTGAAAGTGGAGGCAACAATAATAGGTAGACTTAAAAAACTTGGCTTTGAAAAAGAGAGAAATGACTAAGAGCTAGAAGAGAAGAGTGGGCGAGTGGAAGTTGTTTTTAGATTAGAGATGATAATATTTATATTTTGCCAGGAAAGATCAAGTAGAGGGGAAGCTTGGAGTAAAGGAGATAGAGAGGATAACGAATAGAGTAACAGTTTCCTGAGGCGTAGGCAGAGGTCAGATGGAGGGATTAGTTTTGAACTAGAGAAAATGTCCTGAGAGGAGAGAAAGAAGGGATAGAATTAGACTGAGAGTTTTTAGGTGTTGTTGATGGAGCTCAGGGAGTTCCGACCTGATAGCTTTAATTTTCTCATAAAGTAGAAAGATGATTTACTGAAGTTGCAGGTGATGAAGGTGTTGAGGGTTTAAGGAAAAAAAGAGAATGCGTGAGAGAGCTGTTGAGAAGAATGACAGAAGGAACAGGTTAGCAGCAGCTTGAGGGTCACCTAAAGTTGGAGCAAATGAATCTATATAATTGCTTGTAGCCACCTGGATGCAGAAGGCAGGAAGTCGATATGCAGGGATGGGATGTCATAGAATGGTGGAAAAACAAGGACAAGGAGGAGTAGGGCTGGGAGCAGCTGCAGGGGAGGATAAGAAGGCAAGGCCACTGGTGTTGAGGAGTCAAGGAAATGTAAGCTCTTGTGTTACATTGAGTCCTCTACGTGGACCTTAGCATTCAGTTTCGCAGTCTGATAGAGGCATGAGAGGTCAGCAGAGGCTGGGAGGTGAATGTGAATCAGATTCCAGAGTCTTAGGTGAAGGTTGGGTCGCCATGATTTTAGCCAGCCGTGGTGATTCAAGACTGCAGTGCAGTTTGCCATAAGAAGCAATCTCAAAGAAGGCAGTAAAGTGCCTTCTCAACATTCCCAATTAGCTACTTGTTTGTTTTTTCATTCATCCTTTCATCTATACTTTCATTCAGTCCTTCAACAACCTGCAAATATTTAGGGAACGCTTGCTATATGCCACTCCTCTCTCACTGGAGGTGAAGAAGACATCTCAGTTCATCAGTTCTAAACCACATATTTTTCTCCTTGCCACCATCCTCCACTTTTTTGTTGTTGTTGAGATGTGGTCTCACTCTGTTGCCCAGGGTGGAGTGCAGTAGCACAATCTCAGCTCACTGCAGCCTTGACCTCCTGGGCTCAAGCAATCCTCCCACCTCAGCCTCCTGAGTAGCTGGGATTACAGGTGCATGCCACCATGCATGGCCAGTTTTTGTGTTTTTTGTGGAGATGGGGTTTCACAATGTTGCCCAGGTTCCTGGTTGTTTTTTGACATCTCTGAAGTCAGTAGGGATGTCAGTTAGACTGTAGCCATGATGTAGTTGTCCTGGTCTGCCCAGGTTCAAAATTAGTCATAGCTGTTCATGTTGTCACGACTTCCATTCAGTTAAGGACACTATTGGTAATAACATGTTGAGCTTACTTGTTGTTTAAATTTTAAAAAAATTACACTATGATTCCCGTATTTGTAGAAGGCATGAACATAGTGGGGCATGAATTTGATACTAGTGAAGCAAATATTCATCATCAGAGAAATGATTGCAGTTCCATATATTATTCTGAAAAGAACAAGAATCAAGAGTTTTATGGGACCTGAGAAAGAAAGATACCTACAAGCAAAATTGTGTTGTTTTATTAGTGAGATACATACAAATGAACTGTCTAAAATCAACCAAGCAATGCAATGGAGGGTGGCAGGAATTGTCCTTTATTTCAAAGCATGAGAGGCTGGTGTGATTAATCCTGAGGTCACAGGGCTATAGTTAGGGTATTCTGTCATAGTTTAGTTGGCAGGATCTTTTTTTTGTTAGTAGTACATAAAATAATGGCTTATCTTATAATTAAATGTGTCTTAGTGTAGATGATATATGATAACTCACATCCTAGAACTCTCTAAACATCTTTCAGAGAAACACAGAATGTCAGAACTATGAGAACCAATTCCCTCCTTTAGCAAATGAGGAAAGTGAATCCTAAGAGGTGGGTGGCTAGCCCAGGATTACATTCAGAGCATGTTTGAGGCAGAGGAAATTTATTTACTACAGGGGAAATAAATTGTCTTGCCTCATGGCAAAAGGAGTAAGAAAAGATAAAAATTACATAATGGCTTGATGGCTCAGACTGACATCAAAAAAACCGTATTACTGCTTTTTTTTTTCTGTTGGAAGGACAATAAAGAGCTTTAATATCTACTAATCTTTGACAACATGCTTCTGATTTGTATCCATCATCCAGATCTATTTAATCTCCTTAATCACCGGCCTTGCTGCCTTTATGGTTTAAATATTTCATTGAGCATACTCTCTCAGTGTACCTTTTTATTTCTCCCATGACATTTTAAAGACACACGAGACAGTTTTAAAAGAGATATAGAGAGTAATTTATTATTTGATGTGATTTTCTTTCAATACCTAAAAAAACAAATTCCCTCCCTGTTAGTCCTCCCCTGGAGCTAGGATAGTTGAGGAATGCAGGTGTCCAGACTTGAAAGAGGAGGATTAAATCGGCAACAGAGGTGACATTCACCCTGTCCAATTGATGAAGCCACGATGGAATAGCTAGAGACAGACTTATCTCTTTCTACACCATTCTTTTTGGTCCATGCTATCATAGAAACATTCTATTGATTTGCCATCTGCGGCTCCTAATATTAGTAAGAAAATACAGTAAAGGGTGTGAAAATGAAGATGAAAGATATTTAATTTTCTAGTTTTGCAGTGGAAAGCTGCAGACTCTTGTAGTGAGATTTTTATGGCAAGCAGTTGAAGCTCATCCTCCTAGGTTTGGTATTTTAACTGAATAAGCCTCATATTTGTGGGTTTATTTTTTTCCTTAGTTATCAGAGCTGCTACTTTTTCTACTCTTCCTAAATAATGGCATTCTGGTCACCGGCCACATCAGGCATATAAAGTATTCCCTATTTATATATGAATTTCTCTAGAGACATTAGAAGGATGTAAACAACACTATGCGAGAGGCTGTTTGTTTCTTCGGCTCCTTTTATCTACAGTATGAATGCAGTGTCCCCCCACATGCATATGTTAGAGCCTAATACTCAGTGTAATAGTATTAAGAGGCGGTACCTTTGGGAAGTGATTAACTCATGAGGGCTCCACCTGAATGAATAGGATTAGTGCCCTTATAAAAGAGGCTTGAGGGTGCTTTCTTGCTCCTTCTGTCTTGTAAGGACTCACAGAAGGCACCATCTATGAAGAACCGGCTCTCACTAGATGCTGAGTCTGCTGGCACCTTGATCTTGGACTACCCAGTCTCCAGAACTATTAGCAGTAAGTTTCTGTTGTTTATAAATTACCCAGTGTAACGTATTTTGTTATAGCAGCCCAAGCAAACAGACAGGGAGATTTGGCCTTTTCTGGTGGTAAAATTAATCTGTGGTACATCTTGTTGTACATCTCCAATCATTTCTCTATGCATGACATTCACAGTTGAAATATCAATTGTGGCCAGGTGCAGTGGGTCGCACCTGTAATCCCAACACTTTGAGAGGCCGAGGCGGGTGGATCACCTGAGGTCAGGAGTTCAAGACCAGCCTGGCCAACATGGTGAAACCTCATCTCTACTAAAAATACAAAAACTAGCTGGGCATGGTGGTGGGTGCCTGTAATCCCAGCTTACTAGGGAGGCTGAGGTAGAAGAATCACTTGAACCTGGGAGGCGGACGTTGCAGTGAGCCGAGATCGCGCCACTGCACTCCAGCCTGGGCAACAGAGTGAGACTCTGTCTCAAAAAAAAAAAAAAAAAAAAAAGAAATAACAATTGTATAGACAGTTGTGTATCTTGTTTTGCTTATTCAACATTATTATATAATCGTTCCTAGTGTTACTATTACTCTTGTTAAGTATAACGTTTAATAGCTGCAAAATATCTACTGTTAATGTACCATAACTTTCTTTACCCATTCTCTTGTGATTGTAAATTGCATTTAATTTTTTGTCTATTTTTTAGTTCAGCTTTTTTTTGCAATTCAGATTTTCATTGTAAATAATGCTATTTTAAACAATTTTATGCATTAATCTTTTGTGTGAAATGAGACTTACATAGAAATTGTGAAACTATGACTGCGTATTTTAAAAATAAACTGGAGTAGAGATTAGTGAACTCGTGACCTGAAAATGATACATCGTGCTTAAACTGACTGTATTTTTTTTTTTTTGAATGGGGTCTTGCTGTGTCGCCCAGGCTGGAGTGGAGTGGCGCAATCATAGCTCACTGCAGCCTTGAACTCCTGGGCTAAAAGTGATCCTCCTACCTCAGCTTTCCCAGCCACTGGGATTACTGATGTGAACTATTGCGCCTGGTTAAACTTGCTGTATTTTTTTTTTTTTTTTTTTTAAAGCATGAGCATTTATATATATCACTATCAGGGGTAGACTTCTTGCCCTAGAGAATAATTGGGCATATGTCCAGCAGCCTGGGATGTATACTGCTTTTTTGCACTTTTCCAGGACAGGGAAAGACATTGGGGGTTGGGGAGAACAGGAATGTTTAGAGGTTCAGTGGTGATCTGTGCCTGTCAGCCTCTGCTCTGTGATCCGGAAATACAGAAATCTCTGCAAGATACTTTGTAAACATTATTCTTTCCCACTTTCCAATTAAATTATACTTTCCATGAAAGTGAATTGGCCTCTAGACCTCCATGCACCCTTCATGCTCTGCAGTTATTACAGACTGTATGGTTGTAGGAGCTGGGAACCCAAGATAGCCAGGTTCAGGCCGGGAGACCAGGCTCTGGCCTAGGTGGGAGTAATCCCCTAGCTTGGCACTCAGTAGCTTCAAAGGACAAGCAATCTGAAAGCTCTTAGGTCACACTTTCTAACACAGCTGTTAGAATACACACCCTCTAAACAGGAAATGCCTTAGGAAGTACAACTGAGTACTTTTAATTTTTTTAATAAATTATTAAAAAGCCTGAGCAGAGGGTGACATTTATCTGGCATTACAGTTAACAAGCTAGAGATGCTCCCTGACTGTCCTGGTTTTATGTTCTAGGCAATCGTGTGCCCACTGCTGCTTAACCGGAGCTTAAATATTCCCAAATTAATCCATAACTCACTTTGCTTGTAAAATGAATGTCTCAGTCAAGGGAGTTGTAAGTTACATAGCTCGTTTTTGCTGTCATAGGAAAGAAAAAGATTTACTAAACCCCAAACCAATATTTAGACACCTCTGTGCTTGGAATATGAAAAATATAGTACTGGGCAAAAGAAAAACAGTGTAAAACAGAGGATAGGGAGGCTCAATTATTTGAACAGCATCAGGAAAGGCTAAAATTAAGAGCTGCTGACTTCTAGAAAAGACTTAGCTACATGGCTGCCATGGTACTTCTCCACCCCTTGTGGTCCACCTCTGCCCCTGCCCTGCCCTGTGCCATTTATTTCAGTCACATAGCCTCACCAAACGACTGTTTCATACCTCAGGGCCTTTGCATGTGCTCCATAATATCTGGAATGCCCAGTCCTCTCTTCCCCTCTCTTTGTTTTGCAAATTCCTGCTCATCATTCAAGGCTGAGATGTCACTTGACTTGGTTATTGCATGAAGACAGCATAGTACAATGGAAACAACTTAGATTTTAGGGTGAGACTTAACTGGGTTCAAATCTTGGTTCCATTTCTCACTAGATGAGTGACCTTGGACAAGTTAACTTGACCTCTGTGACTCTGTTTCCTCCCTAGTTAATGGAGCTAATATCTCACTCACCAGAGTGTGGTGTATATTAAATCACACAACTAAATAAAGTGCTTGTATAAAAGCATATTTTAAGTGCTTATATAAAGTGGACACTTAATAAAAGTCAATTTTATTTCTCTATTCCCATCTTCCAAGGCTTCCCTGAATTCTCTAGGCAGCATCATTTTATTCAAAACTTAGAGTACGAGCTTGTGTCTTATCTTTGAGTCTGCAGTACCTACATAGTATTCAATTTTTTTATGCCATGCTTAAGTTATAGGGCTTCCAGATGAAAGGAAACAGGATGGAATCTATTTATGGAATTTTAAATTCATTAATTTATTTAACAAATATGCATTGTGTTATATCAGGTGGAAGCTAATCCTATCACTTGCATTCTTGGTCTGTTTTTTCTTCCTTTAGAATAGGGTTTCTTGACCTCCACATTGTTGGCAATGGCCAGATAATTCTTTGTCATGAGGGGCTGTGCTGTACATTAAAGGATATTTAGCAGCCTCCCTGGACTCTGTCTAGCAGATGCTGGTAACAACTCCTCTACCCCAGTTGTGACAGCCAAAAATGTTTCCAGATACTGAATGTCCCCGGTTGAGAAAAACTGCTGTAGAACTTTGCAACCTTGGTTATTCCCTCTCTCCAGTCTTCATGTTTAGCCACTATTGGCTCCTTTCTATCATAAAAATATGCTATTTTCTCCAGTCTTTAAAAGCAAAACAAATCAATCCACCACAAAACCGTCTCCCATCATAGTCAAGCTCTCTAAAAGTACAGACTGCATTTACCGTCACTTTCCATCCATTCTTCCACCTGCTGCAGTGAGGCTCCCTGCATCCCACTTCATAAAGGGCCCAGGCAAAGCTCCCACTGAGAAATAGCAAAACCCTGTGTCCTCTTTGCACTGTTCATCTTGATTGGCCTGTGTGACATTTGACAGTTGGTGAATTCCAGGATCTTTCTTTCATGGTTCTTCTTTGACCCTCCTTCACAGGCCCTAGTGGTATCTCCTTTGCTCTGCCTCTTAAATTCTGGCATTCTCTAGGGGTCTATTCTGTTTTTTGTTGTTTTTTTTTTGTTTTTTGTTTTTTTGTTTTTGAGACAGTCTTGCTCTGCCGCCCAGGCTAGAGTGCAGTGGCACGATCTCGGCTCATTACAACCTCTGCCTCCCGGGTTCAAGCGATTCTCCTGCCTCAGCCTCCCGAGTAGCTGGGATTACAGGCACCTGCCACTGCACCTGGCTAATTTTTGTACTTTCAGTAGAGATAGGGTTTCACCATCTTGGCCAGGCTGGTCTCAAACTCCTGACCTCGTGATCCGCCCGCCTTGGCCTCCCAAAGTGCTGGGATTACAGGCTTGAGCCACCACGCCCGGCAACTAGGGCTCTAGTCTTGATCTTCTCTCTTCTGTCTTTCTGGGGCACATTCACTTATTCTCATGGCTTTAAATCTAATGTAAATGCCAATTCCAAAGTTTTTACTTCCAGCCCCGATTTCTCTTTTGAGTACTAAACCTATACATCCACGTGTGTGCCTTACAACCATCTCAAAAAGAACTTATTATCCTCATCTCCTCTTCCCAAAGTTGCTTCTCCTCCCACCTTCCCATGCTCCATCTTATCTAGCCATGGAGCACAGTGAGAGCATTAGATCCTGGCGATGCAAATATTTGGCACTTTTGTAAAGATGTTCTCCTTAGTTTACCTAATACAAACAGTCCCTAACTTACCAATTTTTGACTTTGTGAATGGTATAAAAGCAATACACATTCAGTAGAAACCATACTTTGAGTACGCATACAACTATTATGTTTTTCACTTTTAGTTCAGTATTCAATAAGTTACAGGCAGCCGGGAGCAGTGTCTCACACCTGTAATCCTAGCACTTTGGGAGGCCAAGGCAGGTGGATCACCTGAGGTCAGGAGTTCGAGACCAGCCTGGTCAACATGGTGAAACCCTGACTCTACTAAAAATACAAAAATATTAGCCAGACATGCATGGTGATGTGCACTTGTAATCCCAGCTACTCGGGAGGCTGAGGCAAGAGACTCGCTTGCAGTGAGCCGAGATCACACCATTGCACTCCAGCCTGGGCGACAGAGCAGGACTATCTCAAATAAATAAATAAATAAATAAATAAATAAATAAATAAATGGAGATATTCAACACTTTATTTTAAAATAGATTTTGTGTTAGATGATTTTACTCAAGGTAAACTAACATACGTGTTATGAGTTTGTCTAAGGTAGGCTAGGCTAAGCTATGATGTTCGGTAGGTTAGGTGTGTTAAATACATTTTTGACTTAGTTGATATTTTCATCTTACAACAATGTGACCCCATCATAAGTTGAGGAGCCTCTGTAATGCAAGACTGAGTTTATTCTTCCCCTTCTCTAGGCCCTCTTCAAAACCCTCTGGCTGTGGACCCACATGGAGCAGCAAACCTCAGTGTTACATTAAATGAGATAAACTTCATAAAGTACCTGGCACATAGCTCAGTACATGTTGGCTCCCTTTCCCCTTGTGATATGATGTAAAATATCTTTGGTCTTTTTTCCTGGTTCCTATCATAGCTTCTAAAACCCCTAGAATTTCCTGGGTGATAGGAACATCTTTGTTATTCATAATGAGCTCCTTTAATAACTCCAGCATTTATACTAATAAGGTGACTTAGTGTGGGGGCCCTAGTTAGTCTCAGGATAGGACCAGTCACCAGAAAGACCAAGTGATTAGAGGATTGGAACTTTCAACCCTACCCTCCAACCTCCAAGGAGGGGAGGGAGGGTGTTGCTGAACATCAAGCTCTATAAACACTCAAACAAGAGTTGATGAGCTTTGGGACTGCTAAACACTAGGAGACGCCAGGAGGGTGGCTCACCTAGACACGGCGTGGAAGCTCTGCAACCGCTCTGCCATACCTTGCCCTGTGCTTCTCTTCGTCTGGCTGTTTATCTGTATCCTTTGTAATATCGTTTGTACTAAACTGGTAAAACAGTTAATAAGCTGGTAAATGTTTCCCTGAATTCCATGAGCCATCCCAGCAAATTAATCAAATCCCAGCAGAAAGTTGAGGGAATCTCAGTTTATAGCCGGTTGGTGAAAAATAAAGGTGGCCCAGACTTGCAATTGGCCTCTGAAGTGAGAGCAGTTTTGTGGGACTGAGCCCACAACCACTGGGATCTGATGCTATATCCAGGTAGATAGAATCAGAATTGGATTCTAGGATACCCAGAGAGGGTCTGCTGGAGAATTGCTTGGTGTACGGGGAAAAACACACATCTGGTCTAAGAAGTGTTCTGTATTGAGTAAATAGGGAGCAGAGAGAGTAGGAAAAAACCTTTTTTTTTCCTTTTACACTCTGTTATTCTCTCTGGAAAACTCACTCCAGTACATTATGAGTTGGGTATTAGTAGTGAGTTCATATGTAATTTTTTTTTGTGGTTTTTTTTCCCCATTGAAAATAAACTATTTTTGCAACTAGAGAAAAAATTTTCCTTATAACACCCATATGTCTGACCAAACCACTCCCCTCTTACTGGCTTTTCATTGCCCAAACTTCTAAGTATGGCTTACAAGACCCTCTGTGAGTTGACCTTGATCTAGCTGTGTAACCTTATCTATTGCTCTACCACCTTCCCCACACATCCCATCCTCTGGCAACTTCAAACCTCTTCCAGGTCCCTGACAAGCCATGCTGTTGCTTGTTTCTTGGTGACCCATGCCCACCAATCCTCCCCTTCCACCGAGTGCCCACACACAACACACACACTCTAGAATACCTGGCCAATTCTCATTTCTCAAAACTCAGTTCAAACACATCCACTTTTAATCCTTTTCTTATTTAAGTCTCCAAACTAAAAGTAAACATGCTCTGCTTCATCACTCCTTGTCCATTTAGACATTTGCCAGAGCACCTGAGATACTTGATTATATTTATTTGCTGACTCATCTTGTCTCCCTCTAAGTGACTGTGGACTCCTTTACGTGCAAAGACTGTGTCTTTTAGTTGACATACAGGAGATGCTCAATTAAATATTCTCTAACAGAGAAGCAGTGTAGTAGACTTTAGGATGGGTGGAGAGGAGGGATATAGGCCCACAGCCCCAACTGCCTTTATAGAGCCTGACATTACTTCATGGGAAGAATGTAATTAAGTGGGATAAGAAGAGAAAGAATTATAATAAAAGCCAATCACTTTATATGCTTTATGTCTCATTTAATCCATTATATAAATATTATTTTTTAAATTTGGGAAATTGAGACTTCAGAGAGGTTAAGGATCTTGCCCAGGTGAAACAGCTAGCAAACCTCCAAAATCCAAGCTCCTAATCTAAACCCAATAATATATTTGATCTTACAGTCTGAATGAAGCCCTAAAAAAATCTGTTTATGGAGAAATTACCATCAGGGATCATCTTGACCACTTAATATACAAGAAACTCATGTTTCTACAAAAGAATACCCATATGTCAGCGGATAAATCCAAGTTTTCAGGGTCTGGAATTTCTGCTATTCTTTTTTTTTTTTTTTTTTTTTTTTTTTGCGATGGAGTCTTGCTCTGTTGCCCAGGTTGGAGTGCAGTGGTGCGATCTCGGCTCATTGCAACCTCCACCTCCTGGGTTCAAGGGATTCTCCTGCCTCAGCCTCCCAAGTAGCTGGGATTACAGGCGCATGCCACCACACCCAGCTAATTTTGTATTTTTAGTACGGACAGGGTTTTGCCATGTTGACCAGGCTGGTCTCAAATTCCTAACCTCCGGTGATCCGCCTGCCTCGACCTCCCAAAGTGCTGGGATTACAGGCGTGAGCCACCGCACCTCAGCAAATTTCTGCTATTGTTTCATAATTCATCCTCCAACTCTAGAAAAACCACTAAAAACATAAACATCCCCAAGTATTTGGATCCACATCTGATTGCCCCATGGAACTTCCTGGGTCTCAGGGGACAAGGAAAGTCTGACCTGTGTGTGGTCAGGTACCTGGAAGGGACCACATCTTGGAGCATAGTAAGAGCCTTGGTGATGCAGATTCTGGAGCTCTAGTATAAAGATGTTCATCTTAGGTAACCCAAGGTTGAGTTTGTTTTCCCTCTCCATACTCCCGCTTCCTAAAGCTCTGGCTGCAGGCCACGTGGAGGCCTACCTCCTAGTAGCTTCGTTAATGACTTTAGAGTCTGATTGAGATCAGGTGGCCTCCAAGCTGGCACCAACACCCATTACACTCTCCAAAGATAAGGAAACCAAACATTAGCTAGCCGGAGCAAACAGTGCCATAAGCACACCCACACGTTCCTCCCTCCCCTCACCCTTCCAGAGGAGCAGCAAATGCCGCCCCTGTACTTATTAAGGTAGGGAAGTAAGGAACTAAATACAACTCAACTTGAACTATTTAAGTTCGCTTTAACCCAGACGGGTTCTCCTACAGAGAATGTTTTCTTTATTTTCCCCTGCTGAATCAAGTGTCTTCCTTTCTTCCTTCAGGAATTCTCCAGATGACTTTACCTGCCTGAGCACTTTAACTCCATGGTCCTGAATTATTATATATATACTTAAGTGGCACTGCCATCTCTAGTCATGATATATACAAATATAGGATTCAATTTACTGAGTATTTTCTGGCCACTCGATGTATTTGGTTTTGTGTCTTGTGTATCCAAGGGTTTATAACTCTCCTTAGGACTCAGCAACCTATTTCTTCAGTGTTGCCTGGTGTGGTCCTGTAACCAGTAGCATCAGAATCAACTGGGAGCTTGTTTGAAATGCAGACCGTAGACCCACTGAACCAGAATTTGCATTTTAACACGTTCTCCAGGTGATCCATATGCACTTTAAAGTTTGAGATGTTCTGGACTAGAATGTCATTTGTGGATACACTCTTTCATGATCCCAGTGCAGAGAATAGTATGCAGGGCAGGTTCAGTTTTCTCTGTCCCCCAAGGTCCTCAGGTGTAGAAAAATAATTCTACTGATTCCCTTTTGTATGTTTTTGTGTGTATTATATATTTTTCAGTGCCCTGCTCAGATATTTTTAGTATTAGAAATATTTACTGAGCATTCATGTGCTAGGTGATCTATGAACATTATTTCTCCTATTGTATTAGTTTGATAAGGCTGCTATAACAAAATGCCCCAGGCTGAGTGGTTTAAACAGCAGAAATTTATTTTCCCACAGTTCTGGAGGCTAGAATTCCAAGATGAAGGTGTCAGCAGGTTTGGTGTCTCCTAAGGCCTCTCTCTGTGGCTTGCAGATGGCCACTTTCTCACTGTCTCCTCACATGGTCTTTCTCTGTGTGCACGTGTGCCTGGTGTCTCTGTGTCAATATTTCCAATTCCTATAAGGACACTTGGAGGTATTGGGGGTTGACTTCAACATATAAACTTGGGCAGGGGGACACAATTCATTTAGCCCATAACAACTATGAAGTGGCTAATTATTATCATCCCCATTTTACAGATGAAGAAACAGAAGCTTAAAGATGTTTAGTACCTTCAGGCTGGGTGTGGTGGCCCACACCTGTAACCCCAGCACTTTGGAAGGCTGAGGCAGGCGTATCACTTGAGGCCAGGAGTTTGAGACCAGCCTGGCCAACATGGCGAAACCCGTCTCTACTAAACATACAAAAATTAGCTGAGTGTGGTGATGCATGCCTGTAATCCCAGCTACTTGGTTTTAGACACAAGAATCACTTGAACCCTTGCACTCTGGAGGCAGAAGTTGCAGTGAGCCGTGATCATGCCACTGCACTCCAGCCTGGGCAACAGAGTGAGACTCTATCTCAAAAAAAAAAAGAAAGAAAGAAAGAAAGAAATTCAGTAACTTAGGTAATGTCATACAGGTAGTAATGATAGAGCCAGACAGAGCTGGAATTCATTTATTCATTTACTTCACAAATATTTATTAGAATATTTACTATGTGGCTTGCATTGTAGTAAGTGATAGAGTACAGAAATAATTATTCCTTCTCTCATAAAACATATATGTTTGTGGATTTTTATTTTGGAGTCTATATGCTTACACTATCTACTGCTATAGCAATTCATTTTTTTGTGTAGCCACAGATCACATAATTATTTCTTGCCAAATTCAAAAAAACAGTATAGCAGAGCCACTGCCTTCCAAACAAAACCAGCCCCTGAATTTGGCTTCCCAAAAACCTATCTGGTACTACACTTGTTTCAGGTCAGTTCCAACTATTTACTACAGTTACTGACTCATCTTAGTTTGTCTGGGACTTTACTAGTTTTAGCCTGAAAGTGCTGTGTCCCAGGAGAAGTGAAAGATCTCTACAGTGAGAATTACAAAACGCTGCTCAAAGAAATCAGACATAACACAAGCAAATGGAAAAACCTTCCATGTTCATGGATCAGAAGAATCAATATCATTAAAATGGCCAAACTGCTCAAAGCAATTTACAGATCCAGTGCTATTCGTATCAAACTACCAGTGACATTCTTCACAGAACTAGAGAAAACTATTTTAAAATTCATATAGAACTAAAACAGAGCCTGAATAGCCAAGGCAATCCTAAGCAAAAGGATGAAGCTGGAGGCATCCTGCTTCCCAACTTCAAGCTATGCTGCAGAGCTAGAGTAACAAAAACAGCATGGCACTGGTACAAAAACAGACACATGGACCAATGGAACAGAATAGAGAACCCAGAAATAAGGCCGCACACCTACAGCCATCTGATCTTCGACAAAGCTGACAAAAACAAGCAATGAGGAAAGGGCTCCTTATTCAATACATAGTGCTAGGTGAACTGGCTAGCCATATGCAGAAGATTGAAACTGGACCCCTTCTTTACACTATATACAAAAATCAACTGAAGATAGATTAAAGACTTACATGTAAAACTCAAAACTATAAAAACTCTGAAAGACAACCTAGGCAATATCATTTTGGACATAGGAACAGTCACATATTTCATGATGAAGATGTCAAAAGCGATTGCAACAAAAGCAAAAATTGATAAATGGTATTTAATTAAACTAAAGAGCTTCTGCACAGCAAAAGATACTATCAACAGAGTAAACAGACAAAGTATAGAATGGGAGAAAATATTTGCAATCTATGCATCTGACAAAGGTCTTATTTCCAGCATCTATAAGGGACTTAAACAAATTTACAAGAAAAAAAAACCATTAAAAAATGGGCAAAGGACATGAAAAGACACTTTTCAAAAAAAGACATACATGTGGCCAACAAGCATATAAAAAATCTAAATATCACTGATCATTAGAGAAATGCAAATCAAAACCACATTAGATACCATTTCACACCAGTCAGAGTGGCTATTATTAAAAAGTCAAGGCCGGGCGCAGTGGCTCATGTCTGTAATCCCAGCACTTTGGGAGGCTGAGGTGGGCAGATTGCCTGAGGTCAGGAGTTCGAGACCAGCCTGGCTAACATGGTGAAACCCTGTCTCTACTAAAACTACAAAAATTAGCCAGGCATTGTGGCGCATCCCTGTAGTCCCAGCTACTCTGGAGGCTGAAGCAGGAGAATTGCTTCAACCCGGGAGGCAAAAAAAAAGTTAAAAAATAACAGATGCTGGTGAGGTTACACAGAAAAGGGAATCCTTATACACTGTTGGTGGGAGTGCAAATTAGTTTAACCATTGTGGAAAGCAGTGTGGCAGATCCTCAAAGAGCCAAAAACAGCTACCATTTGTCCCATTACTCAGTATATACCCAAAGGAATATAAATTGTTCCACCATAAGGACACATGCACACATACATTCATTGGAGCACTATTCACAATAGCAAATACATGGAATGAACTAAATGCCCATCAATGATAGACTGGATAAAGAAAATGTGGTACATATTCACCATGGAATACTATGCAACCATAATAAAGAATGAGATCATGTCCTTTGCAGGAACATGGATGGAGCTGGAGGCCATTATCCTTAGCAAACTAACACAGGAACAGAAAACCAAATGCTGCACATTTTTTCTTATAAGTGGGAACTAAATGATGAGAACACATGGACACAAAGAGGGGAACGATAGACACTGGAGCCTACCTAAGAGTAGAGGGTGGGAAGAGGGAGAGGAGCAGAAAAAAATAATTGTTGGGTACTAGGCTTAGTACCGGGGTGATAAAATAATTTGTACAACAAACCTCTGTGACACGAGTTTACCTATATAGCAAACCTGCACATGTACCCCCGAACCTAAAATAAAAGTTAAAAAAAGAGAAAGTTCTGTGTCCCAGTAACCTCTTCAGTCCTGAGAAAACCATGATAGTTGGTCATCCTCCTATTTCTTAGCCTGGGCCTCGAAAAGATAGAGGATGTGGAAAGATCAAGCATTGCATAAATAGGTCTAACTTCGGAATCAGAGCAGATTGATGGGGTGGTGAAACTTCGGCTTCACCCAGGCCTGTCTCTACTGCTGAAGTAGAAATAATCTGGTCCAGCCTATTGCCTCCAAAGATGAGAAGTGAATCAGGGGATAAATGGAACATCTCAAGCATTGTCCATTCTCAGTGTAGGCATGCACGCTGTAAATGAACAAGATGATCTCTTGAGATACTTCAGGCTGAGGAATCCTGAGTTGCAAACCTCCAAGCATCTTTCCTTAATCTCAGCTTCAATTCACAACATGTAAGAAACTTGAATGGTAGGAAGCTGTGGGGTGGCCCAGGCAATCCTCTCTGAGTTTGCCATCTTGAGGAGAAAAGAGTGCTGTGTGCCTTTTAATGCAAGAGCCTTTGGAATGTGGTGAAAGAAGCTTCTGAAAGGCAGCCAAATCCTACTACATAATTGATTGCCGCAGCATACCCTGGCTGACCTGCTCTGATACCTCCCTGGTGCTGATGCATCTTTCTGCTGCCAGTTGTCTCTTCGCAGCTTGCTCAGATGCAGCTCTGGCAAGCTTCTGCATATGGAAATAGCAGGTTTCTCAGCTGCAGGAGGTGCCAAGGGCACTGTGCTGCAGCCCCTGCTTTCTGTCATTCTGTTAGCTCACAAGGATTCAATAAAGAGGGTCAGGGAATAAGGAGTAATCAGAGAGCCTCATAATTAGCTAAATCTGGGAAAACTCCCGAATCAGAAATTTAGCCTTTTTAAATTACAAAAATAGCCAAAAATGCATGCCATTTTATCTATCCTCTCACCAACTTCAAGGTTATGTATGGAGTTGGGGTTATATGTTCTTCTAGCAGAATGACCTGTCCCAAACTAAAGGGTTTCCCATAATCTTTCTGATTTTAGAGATAAGGGATTTCTTAGCCATTTTTAGCCCCTCATCAGGCTTCTTGTGTTCTAAGCTAGTCAGTGAATTAACTGATACATGTTTAATTAAGAATCTGTGTGCAATTGTGGTACAATAAAAAATATATTTAGTTTTAGTCTCTTGTTCAAGTCAAGAAGTTCCTAAAACCCTTGGAACTTCCCGACTGACAGGAGTGCCTTTTGTTATTCACAAGGAACCCCTTTAACCACATCTGGATTTATGCTAATGAGGTGACTCAGGTTGGAGCGCCTAGATATCTCCAGGATGGAGGCTGGTCACCAGAAAGGCTGAACTTTCAGTCCCATCCCCTGAACTTCAGAAAGGGTGGGAGGCAGGGCTCTTGAAATTGATTATAAAAAGTCTTGAACAATGGGACCCAGGAAGCTTCTGGGCTGGTGAACACAGGGATGGGCTGGGACAGGGTGCACCTGGACAGAGTGTGGAAACTTTGCGTGCCCTGCCCCATACTGTGCCCCAGACATCTCTTCCATTTGGCTATTCCTAAGTTGCACCTTTTAAAATAAGCTAGTAAATGTAAGCAAAGTGGTTCCCTGAATTCTGTGAGTCATTCTAGCCAGTGATTAAACCTGAGGGGGAGTCATGGGAACCCTTGAATTTGTAGTCAGGCAGAAGTGCAGGTAGCCTGGGCACCTGAAGTGGGGGCAGTCTTGTGAGACTGAGCCCTTACCCTGTGGGGTCTGTGCCAGCTCCAGTAGTTAGTGTCAGAATTGAATTGAATTGTTGGACATTGCTATGGTTTGTCTTCACCAAAACTCATGTTGAAATTTGGTCCCCATGTGGCTGAATTGGGAAGTGGCGCTTGGTGGGAGTTGTTTGAGTCACGGAGGTGGCTCCCTCATGAATGGCTTGGTGCTGCTCTTTAGTGAGTGAGTTCTTGCTCTGGCCAGACTGGGTTAGTTCCTGCGGGAGTGATTTGTTATAAAGCCAGATGTCCCTCAGGCTATTCTCTCTTCATACATGTTTGCTTCCCCTTTGACCTTCTCTGTCATGTTATGACAGCACAAAAACCCTCACCAGAAGCCAGGGCCATGCCCTTGAACTTCTTAGCCTGCAGAACCATGAGTTAAATATACCTCTTTATAAATTACCCCGTCTCAGGTATTCTTTTATAGCAGCACAAAATGGACTAAGAGGGACACCAAGTTGGTGTTGGAGAATTGAAGAATCAGTGTGGAATCCCTCCTCTGCCTGCTCCCCCACATTTGGCATCAGAAAATACAATGAACATACTAAGTACCAAGGAGGAGACACAAAAATAATAGATGGTTACTTACAGAGTTTGCAATCAACTGCGGGTTCAAACGCACATGAAAAAATGCACTATTCAAAGCCATTTTGATAGGTGCCCAACCTTCAACCTTGGTTTGACCTTGAAATCCCTTTCAACTTTAGTGTATTTTCACTCTATGATTCTCAGGCACACAGACAATAGGACTGTGAAATGGATCCTTGCCTCTTACGTGGCCTCTGAGGCTTGGTTTTGAAGCCTCAGAGGATCTGCCACACTCACCAATCATGACGCTGGCATGGCAGTGAGAGCAGGGTGCTGGCTGTTTGCTCACAGGGCATTTGAGATCTCATGCCAAAATGCAGGTTAGGTTGGCACAACTTTGCCTGTCCCCTGGGACATTAAGAAGGTTCCCCTCTCTACACAGTCAGGACATAGCACTCAAGCAGTTTCCTCCCTGACGTTTTACACTTTGCTTTTATATTTTCCCTGTCCAAGTGGAAGGAATACCACAGAGACTCCTGTTCTCACTGGGAAAAGACTTCTTAATATTTCTTGTTAATCAGAACCTTCCAGTGAGACCTTTGAATTCCTGTGTCCCCCAAACATTTTGTGGATCCAAAAGTGCTAAAAAGTGGGAGATTCTAATACTTCTGAGCAGGTAGTACAGCTACATGTATACCAAACACTATCTGAAGACTTCTGGGAAGACCTCTTGGCCAAAGGTACCTCCCCATCTTAGAGAATGATTCCTTTATGTGGGCCTTGGAGACATTCATGAAGTCTTTGGAGGCTCTTAAAAGTGAACCCCAGAAACATAACAGTTTAGAACCCTGGAGTCACCCAAGTAGAAGACAGCCTAGGAATAATCTAGCTCATGTCCTTAATTTTCTAGTACAGAGACAGAACTTGATTTGCCTGGGACCTTGCACCCAGTACAGCAGCTGAGCTAGGCTATTTCTAAGTACAGTTGACCCCTGAATAATGAAGGGGTTAGGTTAGGGGTGCTGACCCCTGGCACGGTCGGAAATCCAAGTGTAACTTTTTTTTTTTTTTTTTTTGGAGACGGAGTCTCACTCTGTCTGGAGTGCAATGGTGCGATCTCGGCTAACTGCAACCTCCACCTCCTGGGCTCAAGATTCCCCCGCCTCAGCTTCCCAGGTAGCTGGGACTGTAGGTGCACGCCACCATTCATGGCTAATTTTTGTATTTTTAGTAGAGACAGGGTTTCACTATGTTGCTCAGGCTGGTCTCAAACTCTTGACCTCGTGATCCGCCCACCTCGGCCTCCCAAAGTGCTGGGATTACAGGCGTGAGCCACCATGCCCGGCCTCCAAGTGTAACTTTTGACTTTCCCAAAACTTAACTACTAACAGTCTACAGTTAACTAGAAGCCTTACTGATAACACAGTCAACATAAACAGTCAATAATATGCAAAATAAAATTTTGTATATTATATGTATTATATATTGTATTTTTATACTATAGTAAGCTAGCGAAAAGAAAATGTTATTAAAAATCATAAGGAAGAGAAAATGTATTTACTATTAATTAAGTGGAAGTGAATCATCACAAAGGCCTTTATCCTCCTCATCTTCATGTTGAGTAGGCTGAGGAGAAGAAGGTGGAAGAGGAGAGGTTGGTCTTACTGTCTCAGGAGTGGCAGGGGCGGAAGAGATGGAGGAAGTGGAAGGGAGGCAGGAGAGGCAGGCATACTCAGTGTAACTTTTATTGAAAAAATCTGCATGTGAGTGGACCTGTGCAGTTTGAACCTGTGTTGTTTAGGGGTCAAATGTATTACCAGAACTCTTTCAGCATTATTAGGCTACCTCCCTAATGAATGAGCAAAGAATCATTAGCTAGCTGTGATTGATATGGTTGGGATGTTCATTTCCTCCAAATCTCATGTTGAAAAATGCGAATCCCAGTGTTGGAGGTGGGGCCTGGTGGGAAGTGATTGGATCATGGGGGTGGATCCCTCCTGAATGGTTTAGCATCCCCTTGGTGATGAGTGAGTTCTTGCTCAGTTCACTTGAGATCTGGGTGTTTAAAAGAGCCTGCCCTCCTCCCCACCACGTGTGGGTTCCTCACTGGCCATGTGACCTGCCTGCTCCTGCTTTGCCTTGCACCATGAACAAAAGCTCCCTGAGGCCTCACTAGAAGCTGAGTAGAGATGCCAGAGCCATGCTTCCTGTACAGCCTGCAGAACCATGAACCAATTAAGCCTCTTTTCTTTATAAATTACCCAGCCTCAGGTATTCCTTTATAGTAATGCAAGAACAGACTAACACAGTGACTATGACCCTAAGAGTAGCCTAGAGGGGCTAAGGTGTGAGAAGGAAGGAATAAAGCCCAATGTGGTAAAAGGACACTAAACATCATTCTTGCATTTCCCCTGGAAGTATGGACAAGGAGGCACAGCAATGGCCCACTGTTTCTGGTATTCTGCTCAGGGGCCAGGCATAGGGAGAAATGGACCATGTTTGTCTAAAGATCTTTATTAGTCTGCTCAAGCTGCCACAACAAAGTACCACAGACTGGGTGGCTTAAACAACAGAAATTTATTTTTTCATAGTTCTGGAGGCTGGATGACCAAGATCAAGGTGACAGAAAATTTGGTTTCTGGTGAGGACTCTCTTCCTGGCTTACAGAGAGTCACTTTGTCAGTATGTTCTGGCAAGGCCTTTCCTCTGCCTTTCCACTGCCCTGCAGAGGTTGGGGGTTGTGGTGGGGAAGATAGAGAAAGAGTAAGAGTGACAGAGAGACACATATATGTCTCTGGTGTCTCTTCCTCTTCTTATAAGGACACCCAAACTATCAGCTCAGGGTCCTACCCTCAGGACTTCATTTAACCTCAGTTACCTCCATAAAGACCTTATTTCCAAATACAGTTACCTTTGGGGCTAGGGCTTCAATAGATGAATTTTGGGGGGACACAGTTCAGTCCACAATAGGATTGTCATTTTATTCTGGGGAGAATCTCCAGCTAGTAGTACAGAGTTAATCTTGGCAGTGATGAGACTTTTAGCAAGAACTGGATTTGCCATTTAAGGCCTTTCTACTTTTAGCTGACAAAGTTTCCAGCTTCATGGGGCACAAAATATTATCCAAAACCTATTTTCTACCTAGTGTTTAAGTAATTCACGTATCTTACACATCCTGCTGGTGTAAGATACCCAAGCACCTTTCACCTCAGGTGAGTTGAGTTCTCCTCCTCTCTGCACCCACTATACTCTGTGGATAGAGCTCTTATAACTGCATTCATAATGTAGTTCTACAATGACCTATTTATCTATCTCCTGCTTTAAATGGTGGACTTCTTGAGGGCGGGGCCTATGTCTGTTCTTATTCATGTTTATATCCCTATGTCCTGCTCAGTGCCCATAACCCATCAGCTGATACATGTTCAATGGATGAAAAAATATGGCCTCCTAAAACTATCGATATACCATGACGCTAATGAAGCTTAAGTGTCAGGGCCCCTCATTTGCATGAGAACCTACCTAGTGATTTTAAATTCATAATTGGGTATTATTTTACTTAAAGAGACCCTTCCTCCTCCCCCCTCCAAAAAAAAAAAAAAAACCCAACCACCAACTATATAAATTTTAGGCTCCACAAAACCTGGGCACGCCCCTGGGTTGCTGAGATGGAGTGTGACTCTATTTAATTTATGTTCCCTGTTTGCCATTGGAGGAGAAGGAAGAACCCCAAGTACATTTCTCCTTTCCTGAGATTATTTTTGAGAGATATAATCTTGTCACTTAACCATCATCTGATCAAAGGAAATGAAAATGCTGGAGCAGTGTACCTGGCAGCATGGAATACATTAACTTCCAAAAATTATACTAATCAAAGACAAACAAGATGCCCAGGTGAAATTCCAGGTGATGTTTCTTTATTCATAATGTTTACGGTCAGGGGGAAATATGGCCACTGAAGTCAGCCCTCACACCCCGCATCCCTTTAGGAGCTCAGTCATTTGCTTGGACACCCAGCTTTGGAGGGCAGTAGTCATTTGCTCCTCAGAGCCTACAGTGTTAGGGACTGATCTTTAAGCCATCCTGTTACCCTCATTCTTCATACCTATCCAATGACAAGTCTAGCCAACTTGACCTCTCATAATGTCTCACATTAGCCCACTTCTCTCTTCTCCACTGTCACTGCCCCCGACTCTTGCCTCATTTTTGCAACCAGCACTAACTGGTTTTCCTCCTTCCATTCTTGCCCCACTTCAGTGTATGCTCCACATGATAGCCAGAATGACCTTTGCAACAATCCCAGCTGGCTGGGTGTCTTCCCTCGGTAGCTCCCTGTTATACTCACAATGAAGTTCAAATTCCCTTAAATAACACACGAGACCTTCAGACCCAACTTCTGTTTATTTTTTCTTCCTCATCTCCGCCTACCTGCTTGCTGGCACTTCAGGACTCATCATTCTGAGTTATTTGTTCCTCCTCGAAGGTGCCATGCTCTCTTTGTGATCTGGACGTTGGCACATGTAGACCCTCTGCCTTGAGGTTTCTTCTACATCCCTGGTTTGTCTCTTCCACTTTGAGTTTAGATTAGTGCTGTCCAGTAGAAATATAATGTGCTGTCCAGTAGAAATATAATGTGAGCCACATATTTATTTAATTGTAGATTTTGTAGTAGCCACATTTTTTGAAAGTAGAAGTAAAAAGTACATGAGCACTAACAAAACAATCATGAAATCTTATGGGATGCAATGACAAAAGTAGAAGTAGTCCTACCAAAACTGTAAGGTTGAATTTAAAGGAAAAATGCTTCACACTGCTTCAGTTTTATATTTAAATTAATTAATATTAAACATTTGGTTCCCCAGCCATACTAGTCACATTTCACATCTTTAATCACCCCATTCTGAATGGCACAGGTTTAGACTTCAGTTTCTCTGACATCCCATCTGCAGTAGGTGCCCTCCATATGTTACTACAGGAATCAGGGCTTAACCCTCTTGCAGTACCAGTTACACTGTGATATAGCTGTCTGCTTACTTGTCTCTGTTCTTCATCAGACTCAGCTTCTTGACAGTAACGCCTTTGTCTTATTCATCTCTGTATCATCAGCACCCAACAATTCTGGCCTAAAATAATTGCTTGGTTTGTTTGAACGAGGTTGAATGCCTGAAAAACAACAATCTTCTATGGGCCTATGAGGCATTACAAAATCAGGTCCCTCACTTGCTCACTCTGACCTCATCTTCTACCACACTCCCCCCCTTTGTTCATTCTGCTCCAGCCACACTGGCCTCCTTCCCATTCTGTGAATAACCTAAGTATGAGTGAAGCTTAGGGCCTTTGCATTATGTTCTCTGTGCCTGGAAAACCCTTCTCTTGAGGGCCAATTGGCTTCGCTTCTTCCCTTACTGCATTTAGGTGTCTTATTAAATCTGCCTTCCCTGACCAACTTCTTTCCAACATAGACCCCATTCCACCAGTTAATTTCCTAAGTTTATTTTTCATCACAATGTCCATCACCATTTGGCATGTTAATTATTTAGTTAGTCTGTCCTGACTGTAATGCAAGTTTCATGATAGCAAGCATGGGGGGCTTTTTCTGGGGTGATCAGTGATGCATTCACCTAAGTAACTTTTTTTTTTTAAGAGTTGGGGTCTCACAGGCCGGGTGTGGTGGCTCACGCCTGTAATCCTAGCACTTTGGGAGGCCGAGGCGGATGGATCACAAGGTCAGGAGATCGAGACCATCCTGGCTGACTCGGTGAAACCCCATCTCTACTAAAAATACAAAAAATTAGCCGGGTGTGGTGGTGGGCGCCTGTGGTCCCAGCTACTTGGGAGGCTGAGGCAGGAGAATGGTGTGAACCCGGGAGGTGGAGCTTGCAGTGAGCCGAGATCGTGCCACTGCACTCTAGCCTGGGCAACAGAGTGAGACTCCGTCTCAAAAAAAAAAAAAAAAAAGAGTTGGGGTCTCACTCTGTTGCCCAGGATGGAGTGCAGTGGTGGTGCCATCATGGCTGACAGCATCTTCAATCTCTGGGGCTTAGGTGATCCTCCTACCTCAGCCTCCCAAATAGGAATATAGGCATAAGCCACCAAGCTAGGCCTATACTCCCAACTTAGAATAGTTTCTGGCACCTAACAGGTGCTTGATAAATATTTATTGACAGCAGGAATGTTAAGACTATCACAGGGAAGGTTAGGGAATGGGAAAAGGCAATAAGGTACTCAGAAGTAGAGTTCCAGAAATTTCAATGTTTCTCTCATTTCAAGTTTCACAATGTCCAAATGGCTTGGAAAGCCACACAATGACCAGATTTTCATTGATTTATGTGTAAAACTTGAGGCAGGAGTAAAAAGATAGTCATGAGTTTTAGGAGCTTAAGGCTTTATGAGTATGTCCAATTCTCTACCCCCCAAAACAGGGAATTCCTGGTTCTCTAATGGCAGAAGGGTTGGATGGGTGGAATGTGGCTGTTGGAAGCTTCTGTGGCAGTTGGTAGAGACCACCAGTTGGACCAATGGAAGGGTCTCCAGCAGGACCCATTGAGCAGAAGGAGGCCAGGTGGGAAAGCTCCTGGGAAGAGCAGCCAGACTGGACACTGGGCTGCTTGAGTCCTGAGTCACAGTGAGTCATAGCAGAAAATATAGCTGCTGGGAGGCAGAGGTTGGGGTCTGAGTCTGCATACTGACCACTTTGGAACATTTATTCATGATATGGGGCAAGCTACTTAATCAATGCTTTGTCCTAGCGTGTAAAATAGAGATAATTTGTATTCCACAGGGTTGTGAAGATGATGTGACATAATATACGTGAAAATGCTCTGTGAACTGGAAAGTGTTTGACACATACAAGTTATTAGCTCTGGAGGCATTTTCCCATGAATTCTCTTGTCTACCTACCCTACACCTTCGATCACTGAATTTATTGTATATAACTCAGGGCTCTTGTAAACTTTTATTTTGTTATATAAAACTCAGGCTCGTTTCTCCCGAATGTCCCTCAAGGTTCAGAAAAACAAATCTCAATCTGGCCTTGGAGAACTTAAGGAGCCACATCCTGACATTTCAAGGAATACTGTTTTCCAATTATTTCATATGTGAATGTCTTATCTCCCCAGATAGACAGTAAGCTGCTTGTTGTTAAGAGCACAGACTTCAGTACTGGGTTTATTTATTTATTTATTTATTTATTTTTGAGACAGGATCTCACTGTTTTGCCCTGGCTGTAGTACAGTGGTGCTAATCATGGCTCATCGTGGCCTCAACCTCCTGGGCTAAATCGATCCTCCTGCCTCAGCCACCTGAGTAGCTGGAACTACAGGCACATGCCACTGTGCCCAGCCTCAGTATTGGGTTTAAAGTTAGTTTTGCTTACTTACTAGCTGTGTAGGACTTTGAGTACGCTGCTTACTCTCTTTAAGCCTTAGTTTTCTCATCCACAATATTGACATTATAATAATAATTTATAAAAGGCTGTTGTGAGAATTTCAAAAGATAATCTATCTAAAGTTCTTAACCCAGTACCTGGTACATAGTAAGAGACTAATCAATGTATCTTTTTGGCAATAGCTACCAGCACAAGGCTAAGCATCTACTTGTATTGGGCTTTTCTAAAGTACTTGATTGATTGAGAACTAAAAGCAAACCAAAGAAAGCAGAGTAATTCAAAGCTAATCTTGGTTTTAGTCTTCCAGCCTATCAAGAGGAACAGAAAGGTGTATGGCCTCCTGATCCAGGCAGAGAAGTAAACAGCAATATAGAGGCAATTTATTTTCTTGGATTCACAATGGATTACTTTCATTTGAAACATGGCAGTGGGTTTAGGTAGAGGGAGGGAATATTGGCAATTTTAGTCCTGAAATGTTGGTGGGATGTTTATGGGACACAAGTATGGGACAAGCATGACACAAATTTTCTAGGACATTTTCCACTTCCAAATCATCTGTCACATTTTCAGACCACACATTTTGATTTTTGTTCAGGAAATCTGATGGACACAAATGCAGGTGTACATGACCAATAATGATTAACATTTTATTTCTATGGTTATTTGTTTAATTTAACCACACAGACAACAGTTTTAAAACTCTTACTGAACTCTACCAACAGGTTCTAGGGGTCAAAGATAAGGTATAATTCTTGACCTCCTATTATGGTTGAGGAAACAGACACATAACTGTATTGAAATACTGAAGTGCTGTTCTAAGGGTTATGTACAAAATGATATGGATGTGGAACATAGGGGAAGAAGTGGTGGGGTCAGAAGAAATTTCACAGAGGAAATGGCGTATCTGAAGAATAGCTAAGATTTGTCCACGTTGCCCACAAGAAAAGACCATCTCATAGAAAAGAAATGGCACAAGCAAAGACCTGGAGACACATATGATGTTATTGAATCACAGGGTGGGGTGGCTGTCCCAGTTGAGAAAAAAGATTGAAAAGTTAATTTGGGTTCAGAGTGTGGAGGGTTTGAATTCTATCGTAAGCAGAAATTTAAACTAGGGATGACCTGGTGTCAGTAGGGAGGGTAAATGCAGTAGGGAGAGGCCAGGGGCAAGGAGGAGATGGGGAGGAGTGTTGAAAAAGTCCGGGCCAAAAATGCTTGGCCCTGAGTTAGGACTATAGCCGTGGGAATGGAGAAAGGGGATTAAATTCAGACATACTTCTGACAGAATGGACCCAACACAGGGCCCTCTTCCAATTATACGTACACACACATACACACAAATACACACACATATGAGAGAAAGACTCCATTAAGAGACACTTCCATAAATGAGAAGGAAAAATTACAAAAAATTCTATAGTAGTGAGCAGTAGGAGAGAAGAGTAATGGCCTATGATTGAATAAAATTCTGTGACCTTCTGCTCTGTGTTTGACCTGACCATGTGGCCTTGATGTGGAGACTATGACCTCTGTATCTCAGTCTGTATTTCCTCCTCCCTTCCTCCCTCCTTCCCCCAATACATACACAATCTGCTTCTGTGTCACATGTTAATAATAGCTGCCAGCTGGCCACCAGATCCTCCATCTAAAATTAATGATTGGAGCTGGGCACGGTGGCTCACGCCTGTAATCCCAGCACTGAGAGGCTGAGACAAGCGGATCGCTTGAGCCCAGGAGTTTGAGACCAGCCTGGGAAACATGGCAAAACCCCGTCTTTACAAAAAATACAAAAATTAGCCAGGCGTGGTGGTGTGCACTTGTACTCCCAGCTACTTGGGAGGCTGAAGTGGGAGGATCATCTAAGCCTGGGAGGTTGAGGATGCAGTGAGCCACAATCGTGCCACTGCACTCCAGCCTGGGTGACAGAGGGAGACCCTGTCTCAAAAACAAACAAACAAACCAACAAACAAAATTGTGTAGGGAGGAGCTTTGAAGATGGAAAGTCCTATTATTTTCTTCTTCAGGGTATGGTCCTCTTTCAAGTCAGCCTTGTTCGCTGGACACAAAGCAAAACTCAGCCTAGTAAAGGATGGGCTTTCAGAGGATGACAGTACTCTTTCACCTGACTTCTGGACCAGCCAGAGATCTGGTGCGGTTGTTACAGGAGGAAGAGCAAATTGGGCTACAGGTCCTGAAGCAAGAGGAAAGGCCTGGCAAGGATTTGGGAGGATGGAGAGAAATTGGCTGGATACATTTTCCTTGGTCTCTAAGACGATCAAGAACTATTTACCCAGCCAGGTGCTGTGGTGTGTGCCTGTAATCCCAGCACTTTTGGAGGCTGCGGCTGGAGCATTACTTGAAGCTAGGAGTTCAAAACCAGCTCCGGCAACAAAGTGGGTCCCTGTCTCTCCAACAAATGGAAAAAAAATTAGCTGGATGTGGTGAGGCATGCTTGTAGTCCCAGCTACATGGGAGGCTGAGGCAGGAAGAGTGCTTGAGCCCAGGAGTTTGAGGCTGCAGTGAGCTATGATCGTGCCATTGCACTCCAGCCTCAGTGACAGAAGACCCTGTCTCTAATTAATAAGTAAAACATTTAAAAAGTATTTATTGGATATTGTGTACCTGCTACCAAGGGCTTCTTTCAATCTGTTCCACAAAGTCTATTCATTTACCCAGCAAATATTTGTTAAGAACTTAGTGAATATCAGCCCCTGCCTTAGGCCTTAGAAATACAGAAACAATAAATGAGACCAGGACCATCTACCTCTGCCCTCACTCTCCATTCTAGATTTTAGCCAAAAGGCTGAGAACGATTGACCTCACTCTCTTTGTTAGTTCAGCTCTAAAGATTGTAAGACGAGGTTGGGCTTGTATGTAGGTGGGGAGTCTTCTCTTGTGATCTCATGTGTTTAGATAAGTATGCTAAGAGAATGCTAGACAATTTTGTCAGCCTCACCAACTATATTGTAATCTCTGAGCTTCCAATGCTCAGTCTATTACCTAACACATAAGCAATGCTCAGTAAAAGAGTGTTGAATGAAAAAAATTGCCTACTCTGAGCGGCAATTTTTAACTCAGTGTTTGATGTGTCAAGAACCTTTGATCTTGAAGTGTGGGACAGGACAACTGATAAGTGCTAAATCCTACTGTGAAAATTCCACTGTTCAGAGTTGCAGAAATACAAGGCATACATGAGAGTAGACTTAGTAATTTATGCTGCATCTTTGATTTCACAGTAACACTCAACACTCAGTCTCTCCCAGCATTAAGATTTGAAGCCACCTCATAGCTAGACTCATGTTATGGCTTTTAGCCAATTGAAGGAAGGAAAGTTTTAAATGAAGCAGTCATTTTATTTCCCTAAGACCAGGAAGGCAGTGATAGCAAAAGGAACATGGATGTTTTAAATATTAATAATAATAATTTTATATTTGCATAATGCTTATACTTTCCCAAAATATAGTTTGTGTCATTGGATACCATTTGATTATATCATGATAGATAGGATAGAAATTATGATCTCCTTTCCAGATAAGAAAAAGGAGGCAAAGTGAGAAAAAATGATTTACCTAAAGACACACAGCTGGGTACTGGAAAAATTGGACTGCAACTCAAATCTCTTGATGACCAGTATTATGCTGACTTCCATATTTGGTTTTGGAGGCACTAAGTTTCATAAAGAATAGGATTTTTTTTAGGTCACTGCTGAATCGTAAATGCCTAATAGTGGGTGTTCAATAAACATTAGTTTAATGCATGAATAAATTCCTTCCTTCCAATTCTTTGAATCTGTTTTAATTGCTTTAGTCCTAATTTCTTGTGTTAGTTGATTATCTTATTAATATTTGTATTTTTTCTTGCTCATATAGGCAATTAAGACTGTGCATTTCCCTCTAAATACTAGTTTAGTTGTATCCCACAAGTTTTGATATGTATTTTCATTATTATTATTTATCACTTAGTCCTAAATATTTTCAAATTCTAAAGAAGTTTAAATACATGTTTTTTAAAAATTATCTTTTAAAACTGGATATATATTGTAATTTAACTGCATTATGTTCAGAGAACTTGGTCTCTGGGAAACTGATTATTTTTAATATGTTAGAATATAATTTATGACCTCATATATGCTTGATTTTTATAAAAGTATACTTTTCACTTGTTACTACGTTTTACATATAATCAGTTGGATCAAACTTATGGTGTTGTTTAAATAATCCCCTGTAGATGTTTTAAGCAGAGATTCTATCAGTTACTGAAAGAGGTATGCTAGAATCTGTCACAATGGTGGTGTATTTGTCAATTTTTTTGTAAGTTTGTCATTTTTTACTTTACATAGTTTAAATTTTATTAGGTACATAAGAGTTAAGAAGTTTATATCTTCCTGGGAAATAAAAACATTGATGGTTATGTAGTAACCCATTTATTTTAGCAAAATTTTTGTCTGATAGTCATGTATTATAACTACACAAGCTTTCTTTCAGTTACTACACTGCCATTCTTTAAGTTTCAACCTTTCTTTGTCTCTTTGTTCTGAGTGTTCACCTTATAAATAGCAAATGTGGATTTTAAAAAGTGCTTTTTAAAAATTATTTCCCTCCAGGTGCTTTGGCTTATGCCTGTAGTCCCAGCACTTTGGGAGGCTGAGGCAGGTGGATTGCTTGAGCCCAGGAGTTCAAGACCAGCTTGGGCAACATGGCAAAACCCTGTCTTAAGACAAAAAAAAAAAAATAGAAAAATTAGCTGGGAGTGGTGGCACGTGCCTGTAGTCCTCGCTACTCAGGGAACTGAGGTGAGAGGACCACTTGAGCCTGGGACATGGAGGTTGCAGTGAGCCAAGATTGCGCCACTGCACTCCAGCCTGGGCAGTGGAGTAAGACCCTGTCTCAAAACAAAAAGAAAAAAATTTCCATATTGACTTTTTTAACCCAAAGAGTTTGGTCTGTTTATTGTAATTACTGTTATATTTAAATTAATTTCTATTATCTAAATGTGCACTTTCTATTTCTTCTGCTTTTTCTGTTTGCTTATTCCTATTCCTTTCTCTCTTTCTTTTGGATTCAGATTCTATGCCTTTATTCAATTTTTTCCCCTTTAATAGATGTTCTATTCTTATAATGGTTACTCTAGAAATCTTAACATGCATAATTTTCTTAATACAGGCTAAAGCTATTTGATACATTTCTCTTCTAACAATTTAAGGAAGCTTAGAGTGCTGTTACTCAGATTAATCTCCCCCAATTTTTATGCTGTCACTGTTCACATTTCTGTTTGTTTTACTTCTTATCCCATAAATTAGCTATTTTACTTATTGTTTTATATAATCAATTGTTTTTAGATTTCTGTCTATGTCTATATATTTGTCAGGCTATTTGTTTAGTATCCCTTCTAGCATCTCAAACCTTTTTTCTGATATCATTCTACTTCTCAGAATGTATTCATTAGAAGTTCATTTGGGTCTATTAGTAAAGTTCCAATTTTTAATTATCCAAAATTTTCTTTATTTTCCTCCTTATTTTTGTAAGTTTTTTTTTTTAATGGAGTCTCACTCTATTGCCCAGGCTGGAGTGCAGTGGTGTGATCTCGGCTCACTGCAACCTCCTCCTCCTGGGTTCCAGCGATTCTCCTGCTTCAGCCTCCCGAGTAGCTGGGACTACAGGCGGGTCCCACCATGCTCAGCTAATTGTTTTTGTATTTTTAGTAGAGACAGGGTTTCACCGTGTTAGCCAGGATGGTCTTGATCTCCTCACCTCGTGATCTGCCTGTCTCGGACTCCCAAAGTGCTAGGATTACAGGCGTGAGCCACCACGCCTGGCCTTCTGTAAGATTTTTAAAATATATACATTTTTAGGTAAACTTATTTTTCATTTCAGTCTTTTGAAGAAATGATGCTTTTCCATCTGCCTTCCACTGTGGTGTTGAAAAATCAGTTGTCAGTCTAAATATCATTCCTCTGTAGGTAATATCTTTCTAACTAGTCTTAACATTTCTCTTTGTAGATCTGTGGTTTTACAAAGACATTTTACAAAGTGTCTAGATATGTATTTGTTTTATGAGGGATTCTTTGTGATTCCTTAAGTTGAATATTTGCATCTTTTATCAGTTCTGAACAATTCTCAACCATTATTTTTCCCCAAGTTTTGAAAAAACCTTGGTAATATATATGTACATACATATATATAATGTAAAATGTACCATTTTAACTATTTCTAAGTGTACAGTTCAGTGACATTAAGGACATTCACATTGTTGTGCAATCATTACTACCATTCATCCCCAGAACTTTTTAAAAAGCTTCCCAGAGTAAAGCTTTATACCCATTAAACACTAACTATCCACTCCTCCCTCCCTCAAGCCCCTGGCAACCCATTATACTTTCTATCCCAATTCTAAGTACCTCATATAAATGGAATCATACAATATTCATCTTGTTGTGACTGACTTATTTCACTTAGCATAATGTCCTCAAGTTTCATCCATGTCGTAGCTTGTGTTGGAATTTCCTTTCCTTTTAAGGCTGGATAATATTTTATTGTATGTAAATGCTACATTTTGTGTGTCCATTCATCCATCTATACACATTTGGGTTGCCTCCACCCTATGGCAACTGTGAGTAATGCTGCTATAAACATGGGTGTACAAATATCTGTTCAAGTCCCCACTTTCTATTCTTCTGGGGAGTCATATGATAATTTTATTTTTAATTTTTTGAGAAACTGCCATACTATTTTATATAGCACTTGTACAATTTTACATTGACATCAGCAGTGCACAATAATTTCAATTTCTCTATAGCCTCACCAATACTTGTTATCTGTGTGAGTGTTTTTTTGGTAATAGCCATACTTATAAGTGTAAAGTGATATCTCATTGTGGGTTTTATTTGCATTTCCCTAATAATTAGTGATGTTGAATATCTTTTTATTTACTTACTGACCATTTGTATATCTCTTTGGAGAAACGTTTACTGAAGTCCTTTGCCCTTTTTAAAAATCAAGGGTATTTTGTTGTTGTCATTGTTGAGTTGCAGGAGTTTCTTGTGCGTTTTATATATTAATTCCTTATCACATACATGATTTACAAATATTTTCTCCCATTCTGTGAGTTTCCTTTTCAATCCATCAATAGTGTCCTTTGATGCACAAATGTTTTAAATTTTGATGTAGTTCAATTTATCGATTTTTTTCTTTTGTTGCCTTTGCTTTTGGTGTCATATCCAAGAAATCGTTGCCAAATCCAATGCTGTGAAGCTTGTCCCCTTATGTTTTCTTCTAAGAGGTTTATAGTTTTAATTCTTATGTTTAGGCCTTTAACCCATTTTGAGTTATTTTTTGTATATGGTATAAGGTAAGCATCCAACTTTATTCTTTTGTTATTATCCAGTTTTCCCAACACCATTTGTTGAAAAGACAGTATCTCTTTGAATATTACCTTTTTAATCCCTCTTTTGGGAAGGTGAATAGATACATACATACCTCTCACTTCATTCTCCATGTTTCTTAATATTTTGTAGTTTCCATTTCATGATTTCTCTAAGCTGAATTCTGTAAAATTTCTTCAGCTATTCTTCAATTTACTAATTCTTCTGGGTGAGTCTACTATTTAACCTGTCCACAGAGTTTCAAATTTAATTATTACATTAAAAATTTTTTTTCTGGAACTATTTGGTTATTTTTCAAATATGTCTGGTAATTTTTTTTTTTTTTTTTTTTTTTTTTTTTACAGAGTCTCAGTCTGTCACCCAGGCTGGAGTGCAGTGGCACAATCTTGGCTCACTGCAACCTCAGCCTCCTGGGTTCAAGCAATTCTTGTGCCTCAGTCTCCTGAATAGCTGAGACTACAGGAATGCACCACCACACTCAGCTAGTTTTTGTGTTTTTAGTAGAGACAGGGTCTTGTCACGTTGGCCAGGCTAGTCTCGAACTCCTGGCCTCAACTGATCCTCTTGCCTCTGCCTCCCAGAGTGTTGGAATTACAGGTGTGAGTCACTGTGCCCCGCCTGCCTGATCATTTTTGATAGCCTCTTTTTCTTTTCTCCTGTTTTCAATTAGTTCTCTTACTTTTAAATGTGTTATATATACTTAAAAAATATTCTGTAGCCATTAATAACTACATTTAAAGTCTCGGTAGGTCACTTTTTCCTTACATGGTGTTTCTGCTGTCCCTTACTCAGGGAATTTTGTTTCCTTGTGTATTTTGTGACTTTTGTAAATTGTGAGCTAACATTCTTTGGAACTTTTTTAGATTCTTAGATTCCTGAGTAGAGAGAATTTGTGTTTGCTTTTGCCAGGGGCTTGGGGTCTACCAACCTGAATCACTTTGAAGAAACATGAAGGAAATGTGAATTCAGGCTGTAACCTTATTTGAAGTCTCACATGTGGTTACAAATTCTCAAGAGAAGACTTTTGGACCTTGTACCAAGTGCCATTATTTTTTCACCATATTCCTTTGAGGGGTATATGTGTGTCTCTTTTAATTATTCACTGAGCATATGATCCTTTGCAATCCTGGATAAATGTTTGGGTTTCTAATCTTACTTTTGAATTTGTGTAGACCTGAGACTTATTGTCCTGTAGCCAAGTGGCCACTGAAACAAATGCTCTGGATTACTGTGGACCAGCAAATGTTCTAGAACAGCTACCAGCTTTAGCATTCACCCTCCTCTTTAGATTTGTGCCATGCCACCTTTGACTTTGGAATATTTCCTATATTTTTTGTCAAACAAAAGATGTTTTTAATTTTTTATCTGGTAGGTTTGAGAGGTTTTTAAGAAAGGTTTTTCAAATTCCTCTGTAATACTATATACCTCCACAGGTTCTTACAGTTCTAAACTCCGGGATGTTTCTAACTTGATCTATGTTTTTATGTGTGTTAATTCAATTTTCACAAGAAGTCTATGAGATAGGTATTATCATTATAATTATTTCTATTTTAAAGATGGAGAAACTGAGGCATAGGGAAGTTAAGTAATAAGCCCAAGGCCACATAGCTAATAAGTGGTGGGGATCTAAATCTGGGAATTCTGGCTTTAGTGCATATGCACGTAACCATTCCAATCAGTCACATTCCATTTCTGCTTTGTGCCTGCACTCCTCTTCTTGCTTACAGTCAGAATGGGGAAGCAATGCATGCCCATATGGAACCACTAGAAAATAACACAATATATATTCAAGCTCTTTGTATAGGTTCTTAAGTTCTACAGATGTTTGCAGAAAGAGTGATCAATGAGGAAGTTTCTTGACAGTTTTGGACTTGATACAGGTGTTAAGAGATGGATTTGAGTTGACTAAATAGGAAAAAAGGGGAAAGGAAAGGAATTCCAACAAAAGGGGGTGGAGTGGAATTTGAGCCTAATGTCAGAGGTAGAAAGGAACATCACAGTATACGTGTGAAAATACTGGTCTATGAAGCAGAAAGTCTTCTTCAAGAAGAAATAGATATTCAGCTGAGTAGGTAGGAAGGAGTCTGAAAGCCAGATAAAGAAATTTAGATGTAACCAGTAGAAATTAGGTTTAAGGAAGATACCTTTGTAACAGCATACCGGCTAGAAGTTGTCAAAAGCTGAAACACTGGAGATTTTACTCTGCATGTAAGCTAAAAAGTTATCCTGTTGCGTGGATGATGGTGGAAGACATGAGACTCCTGAGTCAGAGACAAACGACTCTATTAATCATAGCATAGTGGCAGCATGAATGTCAGTTTCATATCCATTCCCCATGCTCCTCAAATTCCACAGAGGTGATGCAGAATCAATGCTGTATATGTCATGAGTTTTTGCCAGAGCTGAGGAATCCCAAGCCTAGGAAACTCAAATCTTCTATAATGGAATGTGTGCATACCTGCCTGGCCTTTGCCTTGGAGAAAGACATTTTTATTATACTGTACAATAAACAAATCTGTTCTCTGCTCTAGAGGAAGACAGTCCAAAAATAAGGCCATCTGTGCCTCTGCTTACAAGATGGGAAGAAACATGAGAAATTAATGAGAAATTGTTTCCCAGCAGAAGTCATCTGAGAAATCGCAATCTGAATATGAAGTGTTTGGGACATTTCACGTAAGTTCCACAAAAGTGGAGCTCTTACCTGTTGTCAGTCTTGCTCATTGTAATAGTCCTAGAGATGAGTATATAATCTTAATAAATTTAGCTTTAATAAATGTTTGCTGGATGCATTTAGTGCCTAACAATTTTTGAGTGTTCACTATATGCAGGCCTAGTACTAATCACTTGACAAGTGTTAACTCATTTAATCCTCATAGCAATACTTTTATTATCCCATTTTACAGATGTTAAAACTGAGGCATAAAAAGTTTTAATTGGCTTGCTCCAGGTCATGCATGTAGGAAGTGGTAGAGCTGGTATTCAAACACCAACATATGATTCCAGAACTGATGGTTTTAAATAGTATAATAAATTGCCTCTCAAGGCCTGCCTGGTGGTGGTAGTGATTAAGAAAAATAGATAAAGGTGACTTTTAAAGGAATAACTGGCTGTCTTTGGTGATTTTCTGGATATAGTGGATAAAAAAATGGTGAATTATGGTCTCTGTGAAGATGGTAGAGTAAGGTACTCTGAAAATGAACTCCAACATAAAAGCAACTACAAATTTGCCAAAAATGATCAGAATCTACTTTTTCAGAACCCTGGAAATTAACCAAATGCTTGCAGCAACTCAGGGAACACGTATTCAGGAAAAATAGCTGAGTCTTCATAGGAGGGACAGACTTGTGACATTATAACTTGCCTTCGTTCCATCTCTAGCTCCCCAGCTCAGTGGCAGATAGCCACTTGAAGATAACAGCCTGCATTCTAGCACCAGTACCAGAAGAAGGAGAATGAATGTCGTCATTTGGAAATATTTGTCCTTGGTTGATTGTCTGGTGACTCCCTAAGAGATGGGCTCAAAAGTCATGTTTTATCTTGTTTCAGAGCTTGCCCAGCCCTAAAGTCACTATCTGGAGTCATTTGTTGAAAACACAAGTAAATGTTTTAGCCTTTGCTACTGAGACAATGGATAACAGTTGGGGCAAACAATAGATTAACCAAATATCTTGGGAGAAAAGCCTAAATGAGATGCTTTGGCGAATAAGGACTTTGAAAAGCTCTTACATTTCTGGGAATTTAGAAGGCCAGGTGCATGCCGAGAACTGTTCACATGCTCAAGAAAGACCAGAGAAAGTCCTGATTTCTCCCCTCTAGTTTACCTGAGCAAACAGTAAGTGAAGGCCAAGGCCGAACTGTAAACCGCTCGGCTGAGTGCTGAAGGCATGCCCCAATAAAGTTGCAGAATCCCTCTGTAAAGACTCCATCTCAAAAAAACAAAACAAAACAAAACAAAACCAAAAACCACAAAACAAAACCAAAAAACCACTGCCACTGGTAATGATAACTACATAGATAAATATAAAAGATGTTATTAATGTATTTTTGTTTGTAACTCCCTTTTTAAAAATCTGATTTAAAAGACAGCTACATAAAGCAATAATTATAAATTTATATTGATGGAAAAACAATGTATTAAGAAGTAATTTGTGACAGTAACAGCATAAAGCAAGAAACTGAACTATATAGGAACAAAATTGTGTATAACATTAAAAGTTGGTATTAATCCTAATTACATTGTTATAAATTAAGATGTTAATTATAATTCCCAGGGAAATTGCCAAGAAAATAGCTCAAAAGTATGTAGTAAAAGAAATGGTAAAGGAATTAAAGTGGCCCCCTAGAAAAGTGTCTATTTAACACAGAAGAAACTAGTAACGGAGGAACTGAGGTGCAAAAAAGATATAAGACATATACATAATACATAGCAAAATGGCACACGTAAGCCCTTTCTTTTCAGTAATTACATTAAATGTGAATGAATTAGCTCTCAAAAGGCAGAGGTTAGAAGAATGAATTTCAAAAAAAAACATGATCCAACTATATGCTGTTTGTAAAAGTCTCCCTTTAGATTTAAAGACACAAACAGGTTGAAAGTAAAAGAATGAGAAAAGATAAGTATTTCCTGCAAACAGTAGCAAAAAGAGAGTTGAAGTGGCTATCCTAAAACCAGACAAATGTGTCAGACTTCAAGACAAAAATTGTCATGAGAGACAAAGAAGAACATTTTATAATGATAAAAGAGTCACTCCACTATGAAGATATAACAATGATAAACATGTACACATCTAACAATATGGGACATTCTCCAGGTTAAACTATAAGACAGGCCACAAAGCAAGTCTGAATAAATTTTAAAATGTTGAAATTACATAAAATATGTTCTCTGACCACATTAAGATGAAATTGGGCTGGGTGTGGTGGCATGTGCCTGTAATCCCAGCTACTCAGGAAGCTGAGGTGTGAAGACTGCTTGAGCCTAGGAGTTCAAGGCCTGCTGGGCAACATAGTGAGACCCCATCTTTTAAAATGTTGGAAGTCAATAACAGATGTAAATCAGGAAGGTTCCTAAATATATGGAAATTAAACAAAGAAACTCTTAAACAACAGTGGGTCAAAGAAGAAATTGCAAGAGACATTAGAAAATATTGGGGTGAATAGAAATGAAAACATAACATAGAAAAATGTATGGGATACAGGGAATGTTGGAAGAATGCTTAGAGGGAAATTTACAGTTAGTTGAACACCTTCATTAAAAAAGAAGAAAGATCTCAAATCAACAACATGATCTTCCATTTTTAGAAACTAGAAAAAGAAGGGCAAACTGAACCCAAAGCAAGAAAAAGGAAGAAAATAATAAAGATTAGAGTGAAAGTAAATGAAAAAGAGATTAGAAAAATATTAGAGAAAATCAATGAAGCCAGAAGTTGGTTCTTTTAAAAGGTCAACAAAATAGGCAATCCTTTATCCATGCTGACCAGAAAAATAGGGAGAAAACTGAAATTACGAAAATCAGGAATGAGAGCAGGCACCTTACTATCAATCTTAAAGAAATAAAAAGAATTATAAGGCAATACTATGAGCAATTGCATGACAACAAATTTTATAATCTAGAGAAAATGGACAAATTTCTAAAAACACACAAAGTACTAAAACTCACTCAAGAAAGACTAGAAAGTCTGGATAGATGTATAAAAAGTAAACAAATTGAATCAGTAATCAAAAAACTTCCAACAAAAAAACCCAAAACAAGGCTGGCTGTGGTGCTCATGCCTGTAATTCCAGCACTTTGGTAGGCTGGGACAGGAGGATTACTTGAGGCTAGGAGTTTAAGGCCAGTCTGTGCAACATAGCAACACCCTGTCTCTACAAAAAAATTTAAAAAAGATTAGCTGAGCATGGTGGTGTGCACCTGTAGCTCTAGATACATGGGGGGCTGCAGTGGAAGGATCTCCTGAGTCCAGAAGTTTGAGGCTTCAGTGAGCTATGATTTGTCCAATGCATTCCAGCCTGGGTGACAGAGAGAGAGATCTTGTCTTTTTTTTTTTTTTTTTGAAACAGAGTCTCACTCTGTTGCCCAGGCTGGAGTGCAGTGGCATGATATCGGCTCACCACAACCTCCGCCTCCTCAGTTCAAGCGATTCTCCTGTCTCAGCCTCCCTAGTAGCTGGGACTACAGGCGCATGCCACCACACCAGGTTAATTTTTGTATTTTTTAGTGGAGATGAGGTTTCACCATATTGGTCAGGCTGGTCTTGAACTCCTGACCTCAGGTGATCCACCTGCCTCAGCCTCCCGAAGTGCTGGGATTACAAGCGTGAGCCACCGTGCCCAGCCCGACCATGTTTTAAAAGGGGGAAAAAAAGGAAAAAGACAAGAAAAAAAAAAAAAAAAGCCCATGACTGGATGGCTTCACTGATAAATTCTGCCAAATTTTCAAATAATTATCCTTAAGCTTTCACAAAGATTTTTTAAAAAAATAAAGGGCAGGGGATACTTCCTAACACCTTCTATAAGACCAATATTACCCTAATACTAACACCAGACAAAGACAACAGGGAAAAGAAAATAACAGACCAATATCCATTGTGAATATGGATGTACAAATCTTCAACAAAATACTAACAAATTGACTTCAGTAGCATATGAAAATGATTATCTGAGGGATCTTCAAAAGTTCATGGAAAACACATATGAGAAGAGAATGCATGGATTTCAATTTTTTGCACTAAAATGAACTTGTACTAACTTATAACATGTCTGAACAAGATCTAGATTGAGGCACTAAGAAAGATAAGGCATCAGTTTGAAAACAGCCCATATCAGAGCGACATGAATTTTGTTAAAATTGAAGCAAGAACAAACATCACATTTGTAGTGAAGCTTGAGTTGGAGAATGGTGAAATCACTGGTGCTTTACAAAAAGTTTATGGGGACAACGCCCCAAAGAAATCAGCAATGGATAACTCATTTTAAGAAAGGATGAGATGATATTGAATATGAAGCCTACGGTGGCAGACCATCCACATCCATTTATGAGGAAAAAATTAATCTTGTTTGTGACCTAATTGAAGAGGATCAACGATTAACAGCAGAAACAATAGTCAATGCCATAAACATCTCAGTTGGTTCAGCTTACCCAGTTCTGACCGAAAAATTAAAGTTGTGCAAACTTTCCACTTGATGGGTGCCAAAACCATTGTGCCCAGATCAGCTGCACAAAAGAGCAGAGCTTTCAAAGGAAATTTTAAACAAGCAGAGTCAAGATCCTGAAGCATTTCTTTAAAGGATTATAACAGGAGATGACATATAGTTTTACCAGTATGATCCTAAAGACAAGGCACAATCAAAGCAATGGATACCAAGAGGTAAAAAGTGGTCCATGCCAGGTGCAGTGGCTCACGCTTGTAATCCCAGCACTTTGGGAGGCCGAGGTGGGTGGGTCGCTTGAGGCCAGGAGTTTGAGACCAGTCTGGGCAACATGGGGAAACCCCATCTCTACTGAAAACACAAAAATTAGCCAGGTGTGGTGGCACATGCCTGTAGTTCCAGCTGCTCAGGAGGCTGAGGCAGGAGAATCTCTTGAACCCAGGAGGTGGAGGTTGCAGTGAGCCGAGATTGTGCCACTGCACACCAGCCTGGGCAACAGAGTGTGGCTCTGTCTCAAAAGACAAACAAACAAACAAACAAACAAAAAAAGTGGTCCAGTCAAAGCAAAAGTGAACTGGTCAAGAGCAAAGGTCACAGCAACAGTTTTTTGGGATGGTCAAAGCATTTACTTGTTTACTTTCTGGAGGGCCAAAGAATGATAGCATCTGCTTATTATGAGAGTGTTTTAAGAGAGTTAGACAAAGCTTTAGCAGAAAAATACCAGGAAAGCTTCACCAGAGAGTCTTTCTCCACCATGACAATGCTCCTGCTTATTCCTCTCATCAAACAAGGTCAATTTTGTGAAAGTTCTGAAGGGAAATCATTAGGCATCCATCTTACAGTCCTGATTTGGCTCCTTCTGACTTCTTCCTATATCTTAATCTTTAAAAAATCTGTAAAAGGCACCAATTTTTCTTCAGTTAATAATGTAAAAAAATGGCATTGACGTCAGATTTCCAGGACCCTCAGTTCTCTAGGGATGAACTAAGTGGCTAGTATCATCACTTACAAAAGTGTCTTGAATTGATGGAGCTTAATGTTGAGAAATTAGTTTATATTTTATATTTTTTAACTCCATTTTCACAAACATTTGAAGTCTCCTTGTACATCACTACCAAGTGGAGTTTATTCCAGAAATGAAAGATTGATTTGATATATAAAAATTAATCAATATAATATTAATAGGATAAAGGGAAAAAAATCATCATCTCAATAGATACAGAAAAAGCATTTGACAAAATCCAGTACCCTTTCATGATTTAAAAACACACCAGACCAGAAAAAGAAAGGAAATTCTTCAATCTCATAAAGGTCATCTTTGAAAAACCCACTGCTAACATTATACTTAATGGTGAAAGGTTGAAAATTTCTCCCTAGTATCATGAAAAAAAAGAAAATTACTATTCTCACTACTTCTATTCAAAGTTGAAGGATACAAGACCAATATACAAAAATTAGTTGTATTTCTATATATTAGCAATGAACAATCCAACAATGAAAGTAGGAAAATAATTTGATGCACAACAGCATCAAAAAGAACACAATCCTTGGGCATTGTTCCACTTTACACTCCTTAGGATGGCTATTATTAAAAACCAAAACAAAACAAAACAGAAAATAACAATGTTGGTGACGATATGGAGAAATTAAATTCCTTGGGAACTGCTAGTAGGAATGTAAACTGGTGCAGCCACTGTGAAAACCAATATGACAATTCCTCAAAAAAATACAAATAGAATTACCATATGATCCAGCAATTCTATTTCTGGGTATATATCTAAGATCATTAAAAGTAGGGACTTAAATAGATATTTGTGCACCCATGTTCATACCAGCCTTATTCACAATTGGCTGGAAGGTGGAAGCAACCAAGTGTCTATCAATGGATGAATTGATAAACAAAATGTGGTATATACATGCAATAGAATAATATTCAGCCTTGAAAAGGATGAAAATTCTGACACATGCTACAATATGGATGAAACTTAAGGACATTATGCTAAGTGAAATAAGGCAGTCACAAAAGGACAAGTATTATGTGATTTCACTTATATGAAGTACCTGGAGTAGTCCAATTCACAGAGACAGAAAGGAGAAGAACGATGCTTCCCAAAGGCTGGGAGAGGAAGGAATGGGGAGTTACTGTTTAATGGGTATGGAGTTTCAGTTTGGGAAGAGGAAAACAGTTTTAGAGATGGATGGTGGTAATGGTTGCACAACAATGTAAATGTACTTAATGCCACTGAGCTGTACAGTTAAAATACTTAAAATAGTTAAAATGGTAAAACAAAACACCAAACAAATTGAAACAAGAAGAGAGGAAAAAATGATGGCAGTACTTTCTAAATTGCTCTGCAGTTTTAATGTAAAACTTATAAAAATTCAAACTGCCTCCTTGGTTTTTGCAGAAATGGACAAGCAGATCCTAAAATCCATGTGGAAATGCAAGAGACCTTGAATAACCAAAATAGTTTTGAAAAAGAAAAAATTGAAGGACTCACAATTCTGGATTTTAAAACTTAACTACAAAGCTACAGTATTCTAAAGGGTATGGTACTCGCATAAGGCTAGACATATAGACTAACTGAATTAAACCGAAAGTTCAGAAATAAATCCATCCACCTGTGGACAATTGATTTTCAACAGGTTTCCAAGACTGTTCCGGGGAGAAAGGACAGTCTTTTCAACAAATGGTGCTGGGACAACTGAATATCTACATATCAAAGAATGAAGTTGGACTCCCAGCTTACACTGTATACAAAAATTAAGTAAAAATCGATCAAATAACTAACTATAAGAGCTAAAATAACAAAGCTTTTCAAAGGAAACAGGTGTAAATCTCTGTGACCTTAGATTAGGTAATGGTTTCTTAAATATGACACAAAAAGCACAAGCAATAAAAGACAAATAGAGAAGTTGGACTTCATCAAAATTAAAAACTTTAGTGCACCAAAGGGCACTAGCAAGAAAGTAAAAGTACAAACCAGAGAACGGGGGAAAATATTTGTAAATCATATATCTGATAATAGTCTAGTAGCCAGAATACATAAAGAACCCTTAAAATTCAACAATAAAAGGACAAATAATCCAATTTAAAAATGAGCAAAGGACTCGAACAGATATTTCTGCAAAGAAAATATACAAATGATCAATAAGCATGTGAAAAGATGCTTAACATCATTAGTCATTACACAAATGCAAATTAAGACTACAATGAGATACCACTTCACATCCACCAGGATGGCTTTAATTAAAAAAAAGGAAAAATAAGTGTTGGCAAGGATAGGGAGAAATGGGAATCCTCATACATTGCCGGTGGGAATGAAATGGTGCAGCTGCTATGGAAAACAGTTTGGTAGCTCCTCAAAAAGTTGAAAATAAAGTTACTGTATGATTCAGCAATTCTGCTTCTTGGTATATACCCAAGAAATTGGGTATATACCAAATTGGATATACCCAAGAAATTGGGTATGTACCAAATTGGATATACCCAAGAAATTGGGTATGTACCAAATTGGATATACCCAAGAAATTGGGTATGTACCAAATTGGATATACCCAAGAAATTGGGTATGTACCAAATTGGATATACCCAAGAAATTGGGTATGTACCAAATTGGATATACCCAAGAAATTGGGTATGTACCAAATTGGATATACCCAAGAAATTGGGTATGTACCAAATTGGATATACCCAAGAAATTGGGTATGTACCAAATTGGATATACCCAAGAAATTGGGTATGTACCAAATTGGATATACCCAAGAAATTGGGTATGTACCAAATTGGATATACCCAAGAAATTGGGTATATACCAAAAATGGATGTTCATGTACGTTTTGAATGTATAATTCAAAAACATATGTTCACGCAAAAACTTGTACACCAATGTTCATAGCAGTGTTATTCATAATAGCCTGAAAATGGAACAAACCAAATGTTTATCAGCTGATAAGGGGATAAACAAAATGTGGTATATAATGGAACGTTATTCAACTACAAAAATGACTGATATACTGATACAATGCATGTTACAACATGGATGAACCTTCAAAACATTATGCTGAAAGAAATAAGTTAGACACAAAAGACTGCACATTCTATTATTTCATCTATAGAAATGTCCAAAATAGTCAAATCCATAGAGACAGATTGTAGATTGGTAGTGCCAGGATGAGGGGAAGAGGAAATTGGGAAATATGGGAAATACTCTGGAATTGGATAGTAGTGATGGTTGTACAACATTGTGAATATACTAAAAATTACTGAGTTGTGCACCTTAAAGTTGGTAAAATGCTGAATTTTATGTAATGTGGATTTGATCTCAACTTTTTAAACAAGGGATAAATCAAAGATGAGTGACTCCACTTTAGATTTTATGCCTGCGTAAATTTAGAGAATAATATTGCATTAACAGAGATAAGTTAGTTTGAAAAGGGAGCCTGCTATTTTAGGACAAATGGCAAATTTGACTTTAAACATGTTCAAATGCTTCAAACTGAAGGCTATACATTTGATTGGAAACTATGACTTCCAATAGATGCCTAGTGAGACTTCAGGGTTAGAAATAAAATTTAGAAACCTTCAACACAGACTCTAGTAGGGACTGGGAGTATGAAATACCTCCTAAGAAGAGAGCCCCATCTTTGCCTATCATTGTCTACTCTCTCTCTGAGAAGGCCCAATCCTTTAAAATAAACCCTTACCAACTTCAAAATGGCCCACCCTGGGATAACAAAATGAATGAAATGTAGGAGTAGGGGTAATGCTATTTTTGTTTGAAGCTGTCCAATCTGCAGTAGGGCTTCTTCCCTCCTCTTCCTCCTCCTCTTTCTCCTCCCTCTCTTCTCCCTCCCTCTCCCCCTCCTCCTCTCCTTTTTCCTCCTCTTCTTCCTCCTCCTATTCCTCCTTCTCTTCCTCCTCCTATTCCTCCTTCTCTTCCTCCTCCTCCTTAAGACAGAGGGCCTAATCTTTTAATGAGGAAAATCTACTGTTCATTTTCTCAAAGCATTAAGACACCCAGAAAGGATTGTGTTAACATTTTGGTGAATACTCTCCATTGGGAGTTTTCAGCAGAAGAGTGATATGACCCAATTATGTTTCTAAGAGATCACTCTGGTTGCTGAGTGGCGAATAGACGGGAGATGGTATTTGGTGAGACCAGACAGGATGGTTTTTCCCTTTTGGCAGCGAATCTCCCTGGAAATAAAATTTGTCAGTTGCTCTTTCAAAATCAGGTTCTTCTCTGATTTTAAGGTGAAATATATATATATATTTATACAACACACACAGAAACACGCATACACACCAGAGTTCACACAGAATCACTGTAGTTTGATCTTTCATCAGTGAAAATATTCTAAAAACTATACTTCATAGTTGAGTTACCAAAGAGCTGTCACCTGCGCTGTGTGTGTGTCTCTCTGTGTATGTGTCTGTGTGTGTGTAGCAGAAATAATTTCTTCAGAAATATTCCAGATTTTATAACCCACTGGGAGAATCTACAAATAGACTTTTGATTTTAGTTTCTCATGGTTATAAAACAAATACATGGCCGGGCGCCATGGCTCACTCACGCTTGTAATCCCAGCACTTTGGGAGGCCAAAGTGGGAGGATCACCTGAGTTCAGGAGTTGGAGACCAGCCTGCCCAACATGGTGAAACCCCATCTCTATTAAAAATGCAAAAACTAGCCAGCCATGGTGGTTCATGCCTGTAGTCCCAGCTATTCCAGAGGTTGAGGCAGGAGAATCACTTGAACCCGGGAGGCGGAGGTTTCAGTGAGCCAAGACAGAACCACTGCACTCCAGCCTGGGTGACAGGGTGAGACTCCATCTCAAAAAAAGAAAAAAAAAACAAAAACAAAAACAAAGACAAGTTTTGAATCTAGGAACTGGTCTGGATGTAGACAAACATGTCCACTATGGTTAGTTTGCACATAAGAGAAATGCTCCCTTTACAGTGTAAGTCACAGAAGAAAGGGCATTCATACTTTTGGCTGCATGAAGTCTGTACTGCTGTAAATGAAATAAAAATTTCCCACCTTCTGCTGACTCTTCCAAAATTTCATTTCTCTCCTCCAACTCCTACACGGCCCTCGACTTGCTCTCTTAAGGGCGGAGCCCAGTTTTTCACCAAATAAATGGAGGTCCTCAGGCAGCTTCCTGCTCTACCACCTCTCAGCTGGCACAGTCCTTCACCCACGTGGAAGGAGCCACACAGACACTTCTCTTTTAACTTCTTTGCTCTTGTCGCGTGTGTTCGAACCGGCAGGTCTGATCCTGAAATACGGCCTCAATATGTGCCGCCAGTGTTTCCGTCAGTACGCGAAGGATGTCTGTTTCATTAAGCTGGTCTAAACGATCTTCCTTCAAAGGATTATCCAAGGCATCTACTCAATTAAAAACATGATAGTTCTTTGTACATAAAATAAACATTTGAAAAAACCCTTCAAAAAAAAAAAAAAAGCTTCTTTGCACCACCCTGAGTTAAGCTGTTAAGAGAGGTATTCCTCTTTAAAGAAAGGAATGCTTATGGAATGAATGGTGTTCCTGGTGACACACCTCATAAAAATTCATCACCTTGCCTTTCCTCTCCAGTTGTTTCTTTTGAAGGCAGTGGATCTTTTGTTTCAATTTTGACTTAGGACTTTCTCAACCTCTGCCATGTGCAGTTTTATTGCATTCACTCGCAGTTTCTTGATACACTCCAGTTCCTTGATCTTGGCGATGCTACTCTCTTCTGGGGTCTTCAACTTCTCAGGCTCTTTTACGGGCCCCTCGTCCCCTGTCCCTCCACTGAATGTTGGGTTTCTTAGGGTCTGCTTTAGCCTCCTGCACTTTCTCTCTCTCTCTCTTTCTCTCTCTCTCTCTTTCTCTCTCTCTCTCATTTTCCTTGTTACCTCTTTTATTCTTGTGATTATAACAATTGAGTACGTGTGAGTGATTTCCAAATGGACATTTCTCCCAGAGTTTCAGACTATGCATCCTACTGTCTGCCAAGCGTCACCACTTGGACGCTTCATTGACACCTCCAACTTGGCATGTCCCAAATTAACTCCCCTACAAATTTATTGCTTCTTTTTAAAGTTAGCCTGCAAAACATCTACTGATTTTAGTTCAGTCATCACTGTATCAGTCAGAATTCTTTTAGGGTAATCATAGAAGAGTTTAGCTTCCTTATATAGACCTTGAGCTAAGAATGTAAAGCCCAGAGCTCATCATTTTCTTTTCTGAAGTTCTCCAGCACACTTAGAAGCAATTAATCAATCCCATTATGGTTTGTATTTTCACTGAAATATTCTATGGCAGCAAATACTTGTTCATCCAAAGCTTTCCTTCTATAGCAGAAGTCAGCAAGCTATGACTCCTGAGCCAAATCTGGCTTGCCCCTATTTTTGTAAATAAAGTTTTATTGGAACATAGCCACGTTCATTCATACACATATGTCTGTGGTTGTTTTTGTGCTACAACCACAGAGTTGAGTAGAGACAGAGACTATGCAGAGTCTAGGTGGAGTGTATGCAGCAGAGACTATGTGGCTTCCAATGCCTAAAATATTTATCATCTGTCCCTTTTCAGAAAAAGTTTGCCAACCGTCGTTCCATAGGCATTTGATTAAAGGTGTCAATGTGATAATTTGTGTAACTGTTTGCCACTGCATAATACTAATGTCCTCTTAACCATTGGAAACAGGGCATTAGGAAAATCAGAGGATGAATTCCAAGTAACCTGGAACCTGTTTAGACAACTCATTCTTCAGGTTCTATACCCCTGGAATCTTGTCTGCTACCAAATTCTCTATCAGGGTTTGTCAGGGAAGCAAAACCACCAGAAGTTGAACCTTACACAATTGTGAGATGTGATTATCCAGTCTCTGTGAGGCTGTTGTCTTTGTGTCTCATGCTGGAGCATGAAGTTTGCATGACTGGCAGTCAGGAAGTGGGAAGATGCATGTAAATGGAGAAAAGGAGGAGGAACAAGCTGAATCCTAGAACCACCAACCAGAACCCAGAAAGATGGATGGATCCTGTGTCAGTCTCTCTTACCTCTAACTTTGATGATGTGGGTGTCTACAGGAGAAGCTGGCACACTTTGTCTTGGAGCTAAATACTCCCCGGCTCAAGAGTTAGAAAAGCTGAAGGAAGATCCAGGAGGAGGTGGAGAAGCTAACTGCAGGACTGGCTGCTGCCCCATGCCAAGGAGATGAAGCAGCAGATAAGTGATATCACGTACACGTGAGCTGCATTGGTGCCTAGTGCTCCTGCACCAACCCTTTGCATGTCAAAACATTCTGGGTGCTGCTTCACTTCCACCTTGCAGAACTCACACAAAATGTCTCTTACGGTTTACCCCAGCCAGAAACATATGAGGAAGAGCAGTCTGGGAAATAGCCATTTTAACCAAGTTAACAAATTACAAACCACTATAATCACATTCCCAATTAGCAATTGTAATCAAGTTATTTAAAATTTTAGTGAAAATATTTAAAATTTCTAATTAAATTATTAAATTTCAGTTTCCCTGTGTATCTGGTCTCAAGTAATGGTGCATCGCTAAGTTTCTAAAGCTAGGTACCTAGATTTCTTCCTCTTCATCTTTATCATTAGTCACGCACCAAACATATTTAGGTTCTCAATGTGTTTCTAATGTCTGTCTTTTAGCAGAGAGCTAGCTAGTTAAGGCTTTCATTATCTTTTGCCTTATTGCTGTCACTGCATCACCAGCCTCCCTGCCTCTCCTTTTGTCCTGCTTAAATCCATCCCCTTTCTATGGCTGGAATAAGCTGCCTCAAACATAAATTAACCTGCAATATGCTTTCTCCATTTACTTCTCCAGAAAGTTATGATTGACAGTGGAGACTGGGAGTAGGGGGATATTGTGTAAGGTTATGAGTAGCTTCCTTGCTTTTTCTGTAGTTCCTTGTGTTTTTTAATTGTGGTAAAATATAATAGCATAGGCCAGGCACAGTGGCTCATTCCTGTAATCCCAGCAGTTTGGGAGGCCGAGGCGGGCGGATTATGAGGTCAAGAATTGGAGACCATCCTGGCCAACACGGTGAAATCCCATCTCTACTAAAAATACAAAAATTAGCTGGGCTTGATGGTGCACACCTGTAGTCCCAGCTACTCAGGAGGCTGAGGCAAGAGAATCGCTTGAACTCGGGAGATGGAGGTTGCAGTGAGCCATGATCACACCACTGCACTCCAGCCTGGCGACAGAGCGAGACTCCGTCTCAAAGAAAAGAAAGAAAGAAAAGAGATGGGAACAACAGACACTGGGACTACTAGAGAGGGGAGAGAAGGAGGCAGGCATGGGCTGAAGAGCATAGTATCAGGTACTATGCTCACTACCTGGGTGATGGGATTCTCTGTATCCCAAACCTCAGCATCACACAACATATCCAAGTAACAAACCTGCATTTGTACTCCATGAATCTAAAATAAAAGTTGAAATTATTTTTTAAAGAAGTTAAAAAAAATAAACCTAGGTGTCTCCAAGGCAAGGACCTCTTGCTAAGGCTGGGATATCACTACCATTGGCAAGTGGGAGAGATCCTTTAGTGTAGGTCCTGGGGATCAGGCCCATTGGGGGTGTAGAATATACGAATGCTTGCAGAAGAATGTAAGCATCACATGTAATAGAGTAGACTTGGGAAATTTCTCTACTGCCAGGTGATGACTATACAGGGCATCTATTTTAAAAAGTATATAAAGTTCAGGTCATTCCAAAGGCCACTGGGCAAAAACCCAATTCCTCTGTGGTGTAATAGTCCTTTCCTGGAGCAATGCCAGAGGCCCCGTGAACCCTTTTTTATTCCCCAGTGCATTTAGATGGAAACATGCTTTATGTAACTTCAATTCTCGAATTCTTGAGAATGTTTCTCCAAATGCCTTTCAATGACTATAGATGTTGCGATTGTTTTGTAGACAATATGGTTCTAAACCCAAAGGAGACTCAGTGGGCTTGGTTCCTGGCACATCAAAGGTAAACAAATGCATTTAGGACAAAATGAATAGTGGTAGATGCCCCCCATGAAGGGCCAGATGTGGGGAGTAGGCTGACTCAGCAGCCACAACAAAAGAGAGACATCCTCACCAGAACCTCCTCCTCATGCGCTTTCAGAGCCCTTAGTCACACACAGATGTGTAGTGTTTCTAAACAGTGAGCCTGGTACTAGAAAGACCTCGCCATTTCTGTATACACATGGAGGGGAGTGAGTGAAAAACTTCCCAGCTCAAATGCCCCTTCCCTGTATGGTCAACTTGAGAGCAAGGAGTCGCCCAGGTACAACCTGGTTTTCTGCACAGGATCTTGTCCATCATATGTATTTGATAAATGTTTGATATGAGATCCAATTCCAGAGGCACAAATTGTGTTTTTTTGGTGAAACTGATGTGGTTTTCTGCACATCATAGGAAGTGTATTTTTCATGGCTGGTATCATCCATAACATCATCCTGATATGCTCAGTTTTCTGAGCCAACTCTTTTTAAAAACTGAAAATGCCATATGAGTTAACAAATAGCAAATAAGTGGTATGATATCCTAAATGCTTAAGTATTTAAGGAAAGTATTTTAAAAAAATAGCATGAGGGCCATTTTAGTAGTTAGGGTACAGGGAGGAAAATGCCCTTAAATAAATGAATAGTAAAGTGGTCCAACAAAAAAGATCACATCTGTTTTCATCCTGGTCATCATAGCCCCCATATGTTTCATATTGCTAATTACATTGTTTTAATTTTACTTAAAATGTATTATTCTAGATTAGGCATACCTTCAGGCTTGGTAAAATAAGATTGCTCTTTCAGAGATGTAATATTTTTATTCCTTAGCAATTATGGAGTGAATCCAGACTTTCTTTCTAATTCTTTAAAATAATGGGGGCACTCCTTTAAAATAATAAAAGGGAAAGCTCCTCTTTAAAAACGAAATCTCTGGTGTCCTTTCTGATGTTCTAAGATAAATTTTAAAGTACTGCTTGGACTTTTGATCTCTTTGGTCTCATTTTCTCAAAAAGGGAAATTTCTTCTTTAAAAAAGAGTGCTTTATGAACATATCTTTTGTGTCATGATTGCTGTTTATACACCTGTCTTTATCACTGAATGATGCCCTGATGTCAGATGCTCAGCAAGTCTTCACTGAACACCGTGGAGAGCTCTGTGCTGTGCTAGGAGCTATAAATGAATCCAACACAAGATATTTATTGAGCTCCTCCACTCTGTTGGACATTGGAATACAACATTTAAAAGGATAGTCCCTATGTTCAGAAAGCTCAGAATCCAGGTGAACAAATAGGCATACAGCAATTTGGACAGTCTTGTGCTAGAAGTGAGTGCCCTGGGAGGAGTAAGAGGGAGCCATTGCTCCAATGGTGGGGAAGAGGGACTTTTTAGAGAGCAGGTGATACATGACTCTAGGCCTTGAAGGATGAGTGCAGTTTCACCAGTTAAAGAAGAGTTAGGTGAAAATAGTGGGAGCATAAGTTTGGGTAGCTAAGGTGGTTGCAGGAAAACTTGAAAACCAGGGGGAAGAACTTGAACCTGAATTGCTAAGTACTAGGAAGCAGTCAACTGCAGACTTCCTGATGGCATGACTGGTGCAATGTTGAAGGAAGATTGGCCAGACATAATGTACTGGAGACAGGTGGCCTGGAGGCAACCATGTAGTTCTTGCAGCACCAGTCATTGGAAGGTGAAAAAGCTTGGGCCTGGGGGATGAATGAAGGATTGGAGAGGAAAGGAAGGGACAACCACACGGAGGAACAGTGCTTGGCACAGGGAAGGAGATGAATACATGCCTGTTGAGAGAATGAATATTTAATGGGTAATTAACAGGACTTGAAGTATCAAAAAAAGGGGTGAACATGAAGCATGGCTATGACTCTAAGGATTTGAACATAAATGACAAAAAAAATGGTTTATCATTGCATTGACAGGGATCGCGGGTATGAGCGATGAAATGGATTCAAAGAAAAAGACATTAACTCAGTCCTGGTAAACTCCTGCTGGGTACAGTTTTGCTTCTTTCTCCTGAGTATAGGACTTAGTATACAGCAATTTATCGTAATCATTAATAGGAAGTTAATAGTGCAAGTAAGTAAGGGAAATGAGGGCATGGCTTTCAATGTTGTGTCCTAAGATGGCTCATCCTAGGGATTTTCCCACAGTGCTGCTAGGGCTTTTAGCTTCTTTGGCCTCAGTTTCCTCATCTGAAAAATGTGGAAGTTGATCTGTGTCTAGCTAATGTCCTTCTAATATTAATAATGAGTGACTCTTCTTTTTGTTGATATCAGTGTTTTTTTTCTCCTTAAAAAAAAAAAACTTAAAAAATAAACCCCAACTCTTTAGGCCTATTTCTTCCCTCCGATGTGAGCAGAGAAAACGAATGTATGAGGCACAGGAGAAGCTAAAGGACTTATGAGCTGAAGGACTATTTCTCACTGGTTTAAAGGATCCCGTTGCCATAAATGGAAGTGGTGTTTGGAGTGTTGTTTTTGCCACATCTCCTGGACTTAAATGGAACGAAATTCTCTTGCAGAGTTGAAGAGAAGGGAGGAGAGGAGGGGGTGCCTGGGCTGGAAGCTGGCTGCTGGTCTGTGCACTGAAGGTCCAAGTTCAAATATGCTTGCAGGAAAGCTTCAGTTCAATGCTCTCTCCTCATACAATGAAGCTGTTGTGTGTCTGGAGGCCGGGAGAAGGCAGCTGGGTTTCTAGAGCTCAATGGCTAACATCTTTTTGATTCCTTTTGATTGTTCTCTGTTGGAGACATCACACAGGACACACTCATTTCTACGTGAGTCTGGAGAGTAAAATCCTGGCCAGTCATTGTTGTAAAGTCTCAGAAACAAGCAGCACATTCCAAACGGAGTTATCGGCCCTCATTGGCACATGTTTTCAGTGATTGCTGAGCAATATGTGAATAACACCTTTCAGTAAGACAAGGGGCAATTAAACGCTGTATCCTCACTTTAAACATTTGCTCTGCCTACGATGACCATTTTAGGTGGGCAAGTTCTTGGACTGCTGGGTCCTTTTGCCGTGTTAGTTTAATTTTGTAGACTACCCCTACAGGAATGTGTTGAACAAATGCCCATCTGATTTCAAAAGTCCAGAGGGATTCCATGCCCGCTGCTTACAGCATCTAATCAGATGGTGCCTGAAATGGCTCTGAACCTCTCCTTGGAACAATTTCTAGAGTGATACGTATATGTATATTGCACTAAGCGTCTGTGTGATATTTTTTCTGTGATTTCTCTTTCAACAGAATGAAGTGTAAGGAAGTTAGCACAAAAGGAACCTGGAGTTTAGAGGTGGGGTGGGTGGATACATTTCGATATAATAGTTGACATTTATTCAGTGCTTCTCAGTGTCAGGCACTGTTGAGGTACTTCATGAATTTAATTCATTGAATCCTCAATATTAGTCTATAAGGTAGGTGTTATTCTCTTGATCACCTTAAAAATGGGAAAACTGAGGCACAAATAGGTTGTCATGAAGCTGATAGGTAGTTGAACTAGGCTCCTAAATCTGGTACTTAGAGCTAGATACTATACTAATTTCCTGTGAGCTGGGTGTTCCCCTAACTTTTGTGTCTCTTTGTTTCCTGATAGCCATGTTGTGTTTTAGTTCGGAATACAGCTCTTAACTGTTCATTGACTTTATGCACTGATTCCTATACATAAGATAAGTAGAAAGTGATGGGAGAGTAAATAGGGGGTGGAGAGTAAGGGAGGAAGTCAGCATTGAGTCCACACTCACACATATGCACATGCACATTCTCATACATGCACAAACACAAAACACACACACACTCACACACAAATCTGCCCCCTTGATTTTACATTTACATCATTCATGTGCTCCCAGAGGCTCCTTTCCTGCCAGGTTATACATAGACCTTCCCTGAGGGATCAGTTCTTCCCACTTCAGGTCATGGGAAGGGGCAGGAAAAAGATGACTTCTTTTCAAAGGGCCTGCTAGAAAACCATGTTTGGAGAGAACACTTATAAAAATTGATCAATTAAACAGCAACCGTAAACACCGAACATCTAAGAGTGAGACAATGCAATCGTCAACTCTCAGATCACAGCAGCAAACCAGTCCTGTCCTTTAGGAGCTCAGCATAGACAAAAGCAAACACCAGTTCTGACCTCTCCTCTCCCTGACATTCCTACAACCCAGGATGCCAAGATTGTCGTTTTGGGACATGTTTTGTGATATGCTGTCATGTACACTACAGTTTCTTACACCTTGGATTTAAAAACAACTCCAACTCCTGCAATCATACAATTGAATGCTGTGCTGTCATTACAATGAATGAGGTTGTATTAATATTGAAAGATACCCATGATATGTTCATTAGGTGATATAAGTTTGTAGAACAACATGCATGGCACGATTCCATTTGTATAACGAAGATAAAAATGCATGCATAATAGCAATAATAAAATATATAATAATATCTATATCGTTCTTATTATATAGAGGCATTATTGTAAGTGTTTTACATTTATTAACTTATCCTCAGAACAAATCTATGAAGTGGATACTAATAGTATCTCAATTTTATATGAAGAAACCGACATATAGAGAGGTTAAGTAACTGGCCCAAAGTCACCCAACTAGTAAATGGGCAAGTCAGAATTCAAACTCAAGCATACTGGCTCCAAAGTGTTTATTATTAACCAATATGCTGTACTGGCCGGACATGGTGGCTCATGCTTATAATCCCAGCACTTTAGGGGCCGAGGTGGGTGGATCACTTGAGTTCAGGAGTTCGAGACCAGCCTGGGCAACGTGGAGAAACTCCATCTTTACGATAAATACAAAAAATTAGCCAAGTGTGGTGGCACGCTCCTGTAATCCCAGCTACTCGGGGGGCTGAGGCAAGAGTATCACTTGAGCCTAGGGAGTGGAGGCTACAGTGAGCCTAGATCATGCCATTGCACTCCAGCATGGGAGACAAAGTGAGACCCTGCCTCAAAAATAAATAAATAAAGCTCTACCGTAAGTAATGTGTAAGTACAGAAATATTCTAGACAAATACACAACAAACTGCTAATAATGGTTAGCTAAGATATGTGGAAATGACAGGTGGGATGAAGGATGGGAAAGGATATTTTAATTTTATATACTTTTATACTTTTTGGTATCATTCTTAAACTATTTTATTACTTGTTTACAATTTTTAAATTCCATTAAGGAATGCAGATAACCATTGAATCTGTGGTAGCCTAGTTAAAAATATTGAACAGATTATTTCCAGGAATCAAGGTATGGTGAGGAATTTGGATATTTAACACTGTCAGCTTCAATAACCCACACTTAAATATGAAGTGTCAGTGGAGGGGAAAAAACTTGTGTCCTCCACGTACAAAAATGAAGTATTTTGCATATTTAAAAAGTTAACCAATAATTATCCTTTTGGGGGACAGTCAGAGGGCCCCGTGGATCCAATCATAACATGCTTGGCTCCATCCTGAGACCAGATATTCTGGTTAGGAGGGGCAGTTACTGTTTTAAAGCAGGAGTGGTCTCCTTGTCTTTGAAAAAGGCAAAGACAGATTGTTCCTCCCCTCTACAGAGCAGTGTGGATAAACAGGGCCACCCGCAACCACACTAGTGGGACACCTCAGGCTTCTGTGAGGTAGTCTCACTCCAATAGATTGCAGAAGCTCTTTTACCAGGTCCGCTATCAGCTCATCCATCTTCACCCTTGGACTAGAGCTGAGGTTTCTGGAAGAAGGAGTGTGCCATTGCCTTTCATGCCGGGGCCTTCCTGGTACAAGCCACGGTTAGGCAACACTCAGCCCTGAGTGGTGTCCCACAGAGACCATCACCCCTTTCAGGGGCTCACAGGGGGCACTTTTACAAGAGGGACTGAGTTTCTTTTTTCCTTTTGCTCTTTCTTTTTAAAAATCTTAAAAGTAGAGACAGGATCTCTCTATGTTGCCCAGGCTGGTCTTGAACTCCTGGCCTCAAGCGATTCTCCTGTCTCAGCCTCCCACAGTGCTTGGATTACAGGTGTGAGCCACTGCACCCAGCCCAGGGACTGAGTCTCTGGAAAAGGCAGCCTCTGAAGGACTATCAGCCAAGTCCAAGAACAGCCATTCACTTGGAATACTTCTGGCGAGTGCAAATGAGATTTTCTTAGTTTTTCCTGGGCCTGGATGGACTTCATTTTAGGGCACGGCATGTTTTCACTGTGATAAATATAAAGAGGTTCCATCTTCATATCTCCTTCCTGTGGTTGAGAAGATAGACATGGGAGTCCAGAGAAACCAAGGTGGCTAGTTTGCAGAACAGAGTACCGAACAGGAGAGAGTTGTACCCAGAGAGAGAAAGCTTTGGAGATTTGAAGAGGGTCTCCCCGAAGCCTTCAGCTGAGTGAGTGCTGGTCAGCACATGCATGTGAGAAAACTACCTTAAGCTAGGAAAGGAACCACGCCAAAGAAGCAGAGTACAGGGCTATAATCTTTCCTCCCAGCCAGAGTGAAAACCTCATAATTAATAGGGTTTTGGGTAGAATACTTAGGTATTGTCTCAGTGGTAGGACAAATTAGCCTTAGACCAACAGTCGCATCTAACAAAGTTTTTTTCCTTTGTTTTTCTTTATTTTTAGTTAAAACTTCTTTTTCACCTAACAAAGTTTAAAAGTAACATAACTATGTTCCAAAACAAAGCTTATAAATATTTATAGGAAGCCAGGTGTGATGGCACATTCCTGTAGTCCCAGCTACATGGGAGGCAGAAGCAGTAGGATCGCTTAAGCTCAGGAGTTTGAGTACAGCCTGGGCAACATAGAATCTGTCTCTTAAAAAATAAATAAATAAATAATTTTAAAAATAAATTTACAGGGATACAAAAATATCTAGCACTAACAAGGTAAAATTCACAAGGCCTGCCATCCAATCAGAAAATCATCTGGCATGTAAAGGAACAGAAATCTGATTCACAGTGAGGAGCAAAATAAAAAGAAGCAGACCCAGAAATGACACACTTGATAGAATTAGTAGACAACGTTTAGTAGTAGTTATGTATTTTATGTGTTCAAGAAGGCAAAGATAGAGCATGTTAGATAGAGACATGGAAGACATAAAAATAGACCTGAATGAAGTTCTGGAGATGAAAATGACAATATCTGAGATTTAACATCCAGCAGATTAAATACTGTGAAGAAAAGATCAGTAAACGTGAAGACATAGCAATACAAATGATACCAAATGAAACATAAAGAGGAAAAATAATGTTTTGGGTTTTTTTTTTTTTCTTTTCTGGAGACAGGTGTTGCTCTGTCACCCAGGCTGGAATTCAGTGGCATGACCTTGGCTTACTGCAACCTCTGCCTCCCAGGCTCAAGCGATCCTCCCACCTCAGCCTCCAGAGTAGCTGGGACAACAGGTGCATGCCACCACACCTAGCTAATTTTTGCATTTTTTGTAGAGACGAAGTTTTGCCATGTTGCCTAGGCTGGTCTCGAGCTCCTGAGCTCAAGCAACCTATCTGCCTTCACTGTGCCTGGCCTAAAAGAATGTTTAAAAGTGAAAAAGCATGAGTAAGCTATGACAAAACTTCATACAGCCAAATATACTTGTAAATAGAGTTCTCTAAAGGAGAGGAGAAATAGGGATGGACAGCAAAAATGTTTGAAGAAGTAATGGTTGAGGAATTTCCAACTTTGATTAATGCTGTAAAGTCAAATATCCAAGAAACTTAATGAACCCCAGGCAAAATAAACAAAAAGCCTCATGAATAATTACATCAAGAAACATCATTATCAAATTGCTCAAAAGCAGAGATAAAGATAAAATCTTAAAAACATTCAGAAAAAAAACCCCTACATTACATATAGAGGAACAATGATAACAATGGCAGAAGACATCATGTCAGAAACAATGTAAACCAGAAGACTGTGGAACAACATCTTTAAGGTACTGAAAGAAAAAAATTTGTCAAAACCCATCAAAAATGTCTTTCAACAATGACAATTTCAGGCATTTCAAATGGCTCTTCCAGACTTATAAAAAGTAAGGGAATTTGTAACCAGCAGAGCTGCGCAACAATAAATGTTAAAGGAAGTTCTATTGGCAGAAGGAAAACAATATCAGAAGGAAATCTGGATCTATACAAAGGAATAAAGAGCAATGGAAATGGTAAATATATAGGTAAATATAAAAGATCTTTTATTATTTAAAAAAATCTCTTTAAAAATAATTGTGCAAAACAAAAACAATAACATTATATTGGAAGGTTTATAACATAAAGAAGTAAAATGTATAACATTAACACAAGGAAGGGAAAATGGATATATTGTTTTAACATACTTTGTGTGAAATGGTATAATATTATTTGAGGGTAGTCTGTATACTATAAACCTTTTGTTACAAAAATAATAAAAAAGAGTTATAGCTAATGAGCCGACACAAAAGATAAAACAGAATCATTTAAAATACTCAATTACAGAGGGGCGCCTCTGCCCGGCCGCCCCTACTGGGAAGTGAGGAGCCCCTCTGCCCGGCCAGCCGCCCCGTCCGGGAGGGAGGTGGGGGGGTCAGCGCCCCGCCCGGCCAGCCGCCCCATCCGGGAGGTGAGGGGCGCCTCTGCCCGGCCGCCCCTACTGGGAAGTGAGGAGCCCCTCTGCCCGGCCAGCCGCCCCGTCTGGGAGGTGTACCCAACAGCTCATTGAGAACGGGCCATGATGACAATGGCGGTTTTGTGGAATAGAAAGGGGGGAAAGGTGGGGAAAAGATTGAGAAATCAGATGGTTGCCGTGTCTGTGTAGAAAGAGGTAGACATGGGAGACTTTTCATTTTGTTCTGTACTAAGAAAAATTCTTCTGCCTTGGGATCCTGTAGATCTGTGACCTTACCCCCAACCCTGTGCTCTCTGAAACATGTGCTGTATCCACTCAGGGTTGAATGGATTAAGGGCGGTGCAAGATGTGCTTTGTTAAACAGATGCTTGAAGGCAGCATGCTCCTTAAGAGTCATCACCACTCCCTAATCTCAAGTACCCAGGGACACAAACACTGCGGAAGGCCGCAGGGTCCTCTGCCTAGGAAAACCAGAGACCTTTGTTCACTTGTTTATCTGCTGACCTTCCCTCCACTATTGTCCTGTGACCCTGCCAAATCCCCCTCTGCGAGAAACACCCAAGAATGATCAATTAAAAAAAAAAGAAAGAAAGAAAGAAAGAAATTGTATCCATGGGGTTGACAATGGTTCTTGAGGTAAGGAAGTTCCAAAGGATAGGATAACCTTGGAAGAGTGTAGGGGTTGCTTGGGCAAGCTTCCCCTTCCTGCTTGGAAAGTCTTCTTCCAGAGTTAAATCTTGAAATTTTTGAGTTTTGTTCTATGATAGAGACAATATGGTAGTATACCCATGATCTCATAAGAATTATATAATAATAAAAACTTTATGGTTTTTCAAATTACAAAAAATAAAAAAAATAAAAAATAAATAAAATAATTACAAAGACAAGGCAAGAATGTCTCCTATCACCACTGTTTTTCATTATTGTACTGGAAGTTCTAGCTAATGCAATAAGACAAGAAAAAAAGGTACACAGATGGGAAGAAAGAAACGAAACTGTCTGTTTTTGCAAATGACATGATTATAGAAAATTCCAAAGAATAAACAGGAAAAAACCTCCTAGAATTAATAACCAATTATGAAGAAGTTTCAGGATGCAAGGTGAATATTACAAAAGTCAATTGCTTCTCTATACAAGGAATAAACAACTGAATTTTGTAATTAAAAACACAATACTATTTATATTATCATCCCCAAAATAAAATACTTAGGCATAAATCTAACAATATAAGTACAATATCTATATGAGAAAAACTATAAAACTCAGATCAAAAATAAAAAAGAACCAAATAAATAAAGAGATATTCCATTATCATGGATAGTAAGACTCAATATTATCAAGATGTCAGTTCTTCCCAACTATATCTATAGTTCTGAAACTATATCTATAGTTCTGAAAATTCCACCAAGTTATTTTGTGGATATTAACAAACTGATTCCAAAATTTATACGGAGAGACAAAAAACCCAGAATAGCCAACACGATATTAAAGGAGAACAAAGTCAGAGGACTGATACTACCTGACTTCAAGACTCACTATAAAGCTATAATAATCAAGACAGTGTAGTATTGGCAAATGAACAGACAAGTAGATCAGTGGAACAGAATAGAAAGGCCAGAAGTAGACACATATAAATATGGTCAATTGATTTTTGACAAGTGAGCAAAGGCAATACAATGTCTCCATTGTAAGAAAGATAGTATTTTCAACCAGTGATGATGAGCAAATGACATCCACATGCAATAAAATAAAATAAAATCTGGACACAGACCTTACATCTCTCACAAAAATTAACTCAAAACGGATTATAAACTTAAACATAAAATGCAAAACTATAAGACTCCTAGAAGGTAATGCAGGAGAAAATCTAGATGACTTTTGGATATGATGATGCGTTTTTATATACAACTCCAAAAGCGTGATCCATGAAAAAAAAAATTGACAAGCTAGACTTCATTACAAAAAAACTACTTTTCAAAAAAACAATGTTAAGAGAGAATGAGGTGATAAGCCACAGACTGAAAGATAATTTTTGCAAAAGACATATCTGATACAGGAGACTGTTATCCAAAATATACAAAGAACCCTTAAACCTCAACAATAAAAAAATTAACAACCCAATTAAAAGATGGGCAAAAGACCTGAACAGACAGCTCACCAAAGATGATATAAGGATGGCAAATAAGCATATGAAAAGATGATCCATCTCATATGTCACTAGAAATTGCAAATTAAAACAACAATAACACTACACAACTATTAGAATGGCCAAAATTCAAAACATTAATAGCACTAAATGCTGGTAAGGATATAGAACAGGATGCATTCATTGCTGGGGGAAATGCAAAATGGTGAAGACACTTTGGAAGACAGTTTGGCAGTTTCTGACAAAACTAAATATATTGTTATCATACAATCAAGCAATCATGTTCCTAGGGGTATTTATCCAAATGAGATGAAAATTTACGTCCACAGAAAAACCTACACATGAGTGTTTGTAACAGATTTATTTATAATTGCCAAAACTTGGAAGTAAACAAGATGTTTTACAGTAGGTGAATAGATAAATAAACTGTGGTACATGCAGACAGTAGAATTTTATTCAGTGCTAAAAAGAAACAAGCTATCAAACTATGGAAAGACATGGAGGGTCAGGCGCGGTGGCTCACGCCTGTAATCTCAGCACTTTGGGAGGCCAAGGCAGGCAGATCACTTGAGGTCAGGAGTTCGAGACCAGCCTGGCCAACATGGTGAAACCCTGTCTCTACTAAAAATACAAAAAATTATCTGGGTGTGGTGGCATGCACCTGTAGTCCCAGCTACTTGGAAGACTGAGGCAAGAGAATCACTTAAACCCAGGAGGCAGAGGTTGCAATAAGCCGAGATCACACCACTGCACTCTAGCCTGGGCAACAGAGCAAGACTCAGTCTCAAAAAAAAAAAAAAAAAAAAAAGACATTGAGGAAACTTAAATGTATATTACAAACTGAAAAAAGCCTATCTAAAAAAGCTACATACTGTATGATTCCAAATATATGACATTCTGAAAAAGGCAAAGCTATGGGCAAAGAGCAGTAAAACTAAGTAAAAACATCAGTGGCTTCCAGAGGTTGGTGGGCAGGGAGGGATGAAAAGATGGAGCACAGATGATTTTTAGGGCAGTGAAACTATTCAGTATGATTCTATAACGGTAGTTACATGTACTACGCATTTGTCAAAACCCAATGAATGAACAACATCAACAGTGAACCCTAATATAAAGTGTGAACTTTGGGTGATAATGATGTGTTAATGCAGGTTCTTTCATTATAATAAATGTACCACTGTGGTGGGGGATGTTCTTTCATTGTAATAAATGTGCCACTCTCATGGGAGAGTGTTTTAGTCCATTTTCATGCTGCTAATAAAGACATACCCAAGACTGGGTAATTTATAAAGGAAAGAGGTTTAATTGACTCACAGTTCTGCAGGGCTGGGGAGGCCTCAGGAAACTTACAATCATGGCAGAAGGGGAAGCAAACAAGTCCTTCTTCACATGGCAGCAGGAGAGAGAAGAATGAGAGCCAACTGAAGGAGGAAGCCCCTTACAAAACCATTAGCTCTCATGAGAACTTACTCATTATCACAAGAATAGCATGGGGAAACCGCCCCCATGATTCAATTACCTCCCACTAGGTCCCTCCCACCACACATGGAGATTATGGGAACTACAATTCAAGATGAGATTTGGGTGAGGACATAGTAAAACCATATCAGAGAGATTGTGTGTGTGGTGGGGAGGTAGAGGGACATACAGGTACTCTGTACTTACCACTCAATTTTGCTGTCAACCTAAGACTCCTCTAAAAAATAAAGTATATTTTTAAAAAGTATTCAAAATGCTTAATTCAAAAGAATGCATAAAAAGAGGAAAAAGAACCCAAGAACAGATGGAATAGAAAAAAAATGGCCAGATGATAGATTTAAATCCAATGATATCAATAATCACATTAAATCTAATTAAAAGGCAGAGATTATCAGATTAGATAAAAAAATTAAAAATCAATTCTATACTTCCTCCAAAGAGATTAGTTTTTGTTTGTTTGTTTATTTGTTTTGAGACAGAGTCTCGCTCTGTCTCTCAGGCTGGAGTGCAGTGGTGCAGTCTTGGCTCACTGAAACCTCTGCCTCCTAGGTTCAAGTGATTCTCCTGACTCTGCCTCCTGGGTAGCTGGGACTACAGGCATGCACCACCATGCCCAGCTAATTTTTTGTATTTTTAGTAGAGACAGGGTTTCACTATGTTGGCCAGGCTGGTCTCAAACTCCTGACCTCAAATGATCCATCTGCCTCGGCCTCCCAAATGCTGAGATTACAGGCGTGAGCCACTGTGCCTAGCCAAAGAAATTAGTTTTAAATATAAAGACACAAATGGGATAAAAGTAACAAGATTAAAAATCATACACCATGGTAACACTCATCAACAGAAAGTTGCAGAGGTTCTATTAATATCAAACAAAGTAGATTTCAGAGCAAAGAATATTACTAGGGATAAGGAGAGTAATTTCATAGCAATAAAAAGGACAATTCATCAATAGGACCTAGTAATTCTAAACTTTTATGTACTTAATAACAGAGCTTCAAAATACATGAAACGAAAACTGTTAGAAATGCAAGAAGAAACAGACAAATTCACAATTATAGTCAAAATTTTAAATCCTCTCCCTCAGTAATTTTAGAACAAGTAGACAGGAAGTCAGCAAGCATATAGAAAGACTGAATAACACCATCAATAAACTAGGCCAAACTGGCAGTTATAGACCTATCCACACAACAACAGTAGAATACATATCTTTTTCAAGTGCACATAGAACATTTACCAATTAAACATAAGTTTCAATACATTTAAAAGGATTTAGATCATACAAACTGTTCTCTCAACACATGGAATTAAATTAGAAGTCAATAATAACAAGATAACAGGAAAATCCTAAAATATTTAGAAATTAACACATTTTTAAATAATCTACAAGTCAAAGAAAAAATCAAAAGGTAAATTAGAGGCCAAGAGGGGTGGCTCATGCCTGTAATCCCAGCACTTTGGGAGGCCGAGTCAGGCAGATGGCTTGAAGTCAGGAATTTGAGACTAGCCTGGCCAACATGGTGAAAACCTGTCTCTACTAAAAATACAAAAGGTAGTAGAGTATGGTGGCATGCACCTGTAATCCCAGCTACTCGAGAGGCTGAGGCAGGAGAATCACTTAAACCCGGGAGGCGGAGGTTGCAGCAAGCCGAGATCATGCCACCGCACTCCAGCCTGGGCGACAGAGTGAAATTGTGTCTCCAGAAAAAAATGGGGGTAGGGGGCATAAATTAGGAAGTACTTTGAAATAAATAAGAGTAAAGTAAAAATATAACATCAAAATTTGTAGAACACAGCTAAAGCAGTGCTTAGAGGGAAATTGATAGCACTAATTATCTATGTTACCAAGTGTTCCAGAAAGTGACAAAACCATACTACTGACAAGTTTATTTCACCCAGTGTGGTAGAAAAGGCACAACTCCAGTAAATATGTCATTTAAAATTTTTTTTAAAGAATAAGAAAGGTCTCAAATAGATTTCCTCAATTTTCACCATAAGAAAGAAAAAGAAGGCCGGGCGCGATGGCTCACGCCTGTAATCCCAGCACCTTAGGAGGCTAAGGCAGGCAGATCACAAGGTCAGGAGATCAAGACCATCCTGGCTAACATGGTGAAACCCCATCTCTACTAAAAATACAAAAAATTAGCCAGGCATAGTGGCGGGCGCCTGTAGTCCCAGCTACTTGGGAGGCTGAGGCAGGAGAATGGCGTGAACCTGGGAGGCGGAGCTTGCAGTGAGCCGAGATCGCGCCACTGCACTCTAGCCTGGGCGACAGAGCAAGATTCCATCCCAAAAAAAAAAAAAAAAAAAGAAAAGAAAGAAAGAAAGAAACAAGAAGAGTAAACTAAACTCAGTGCAAGCAGAAGAGAAAAAATAAAGATAACAGCATAAATCAGTGAAATAGAAAACAAAAAAAATAGAGAAAATCGTTGAAACAAAAGCAGATTCTTTGAAAATATTAATAAAATTGATAAACCTTAGTCTGATTGATCAAGAAAAAGACTAAATTAATAATATCAAGAATTAAAAAGGGCACATAACTACGGCTCCCACACACACTGAAAGGATAATCAGTAAATATTATTTACAATTTTATGCCAAGAAATTCAACAATTTAGATAACATGGAACAAAAATTTTAAAGACAAACTGTCAAAGCTAAATAAATTAAATTTATATTACAAATTTTCACATAAAGAAAACTCGAAGCCCATATAGTTTTACTGGTAAATTTTATCAAACATTTAAGAATGAAAGATTACCATTTCCACATAAACTCTTCCAGAAATTGAAGAAAATACTTCCCAGCTCGTTCTATGAAATCCACTCTTTGTGACAACCTATTCAGTTTCCAGCATTGCTTTGTTATTGAAATCAGACGACATTACAGGAAAAAAAAATCATAGACCAATAGCTGTCATTAGATAAATGGGGAAAAGAACCATAAAATCTTTAGCAACGTTGAGTCTAACAATATATAAAAAGAATAATACGGTACATAGTGTCCAAGTGGGCTTTATCCCAGAAATGAGAGGTCTATTCACTATGCAAAATCCAATTTATAATCCATATATTAACATCTAAAATAATAAAAACCATATCATTGTGTCAATAGATGCAGAAAACAGTTTTTGACAAAATCCAGTATCACCGATATAAACTCTTAGTAAAGTAGGAATAGAAAAAAACATTCTCAATGGGATATAAGGCATCTGTGAAAAAACTACAACAAACATCATAGTTAATGATAAAAGACTGAATGCTTTCCCCCTAAGATCAGGAAGAAGTAAGCATGGCCACTCTCTCCATTTCTATTTAACATTGTGCTAAAGTTAGCCAGTGGAATAAGGCAAGAAAAAGAAGTAATAGACATTCTGATTGAAAAGGGATGAGTATGACTTCTTTTTTTGCAGGTGAAATGATTGCCTGTGTAGAAAATCCTACATAAGTTCAATACACAAAAAGTAATTGTATTTCTCTATTCTAGTAATGAACATGAGACACTGAAATTTAAGATCAATACCAGCCAGGCGTGGTGGCTCACGCCTGTAATCCCAGCACTTTGAGAGGCCGAGGCGGGCAGATCACGAGGTCAGGAGTTCGAGACCAGCCTGACCAACACAGTGAAACCCCATCTCTACTAAAAGTACAAAAAAATAGCTGGGCATGGTGGCACGCGCCTGTAATCCCAGCTACTCAGGAGGCTGAGGGAGGAGAACTGCTTGAACCCAGGAGGTGGAGGTTGCAGTGAGCTGAGATCACGCCACTGCACTTCAGCCTGGGTGACAGAGCGAGACTCTGTCTCAAAAAAAAAAAAAAAAGCAACAAACAATACTTAAGAGTACATTTAATAAAAGGTTTGTAAAATCTGAACACTGAAAACTACAGAGAATTGCTGAGAGAAATTAAAGAACGACAAATAAAGTGGAGAGATATGATGTGTGTGTTCGTAGATTGTAAGATTATGTGTTGTTGAATTGGCAATTCTCTCCTAAACTGATTTGTCAATTTAACACAATCCAATCAAATTCCTAGAAGACTTTTTTGAAGAAATTGAAAAGCTGATTTTAAAATGTATGTATGTGAACATTCAAAAGACCTAGAATAGCCAAAACAACTTTGAAAAAGAACCAAGTTGGAGTACCAATAATACCTGATTTCAAGACTTTCTGTAAAATGACAACAATCAAGATGATGTGGTATTGGTATAAAGATAGACAAATAGATTGATGTAACACAATACAGAGCAAAAATGGAAATAAACCCATACGTATATGGTCAATTGATTTTCAAGAAAGGTGCCAAAACAACTGAATGGGTAAAGGACAATCTTTTCAACAAATGGTGCTGAAGCAATTAAATAGCCATATGCAATAAAATGAACCTCAACCCTTACCTCATACCATATACAAAAATTAACTTGAAATGTAATATTGACTTGAATATAAGACTAAAACTATAAAATTTCTAGGAGAAAACACAGGAGAAGGTCCTAGTGGCCTTGGGTTTGGCAAAGATTTCTTAAATATAACACAAAAGCACAAAATATACGAGCAAAAATTAACAGTAAAGATGAAATCTTTTGTCCTTCATAAGGCACTCTTAAGAATGTAAAAAGTTGGCCACAAACCAGGAGAAAAGATTTGCAAATCTTATATCTGACGAAAGACTTATAACTAAAATATACAAAGAATTCTAACAACTTCATTAAGAATATGAATAACCCAATAGAAAAATGGGCACAAAATTTAATAGTTACTTCACCAAGGATGATATACAAATGTCAAAAAAGCACATAAGAAGATGCTCAGTCTCAATGGTTAGTAGGCATATGCAAATTAAAATGAGATACCATTATGTAACCACTACAATGGCTAAAACGAAAGCAACTGACCATTCCAAGCACAGGTGAGGATGTATGTGGAGAAACTGGAACTCTCATTCATTACTGGTGGGAATGTAAAATGATATAATCATTTTACAAGAAAATTTGGCAATTTCTTTAGTGAAATGCATCCACTGTATGATCCAGTCATCCCATAACGAGGTATTTACCCCAAAAACATGTCCTCACAAGACTTCTTCACAAATATTTATGACAACTTTATTTGTAATAGTCCCAAACTGGAAACAATCCAGATGTCCATCAATAGGTGAATGCACAAGCAAATTACGATAGATCCACACAATGGAATCCTACTCAACATTAACAATGAATGAACCACTGATGCACACAACAAATGGATGAATGCCAAAGTTATACAGAAAATACAAACTAATCTGTAATAACAGAGAGCAGATCAATAGTTAGGGGATAGGGTGGGAAGGGGTGGGAGGGAGGGATTACAAAGAGGCATGAGGAGACTTGGGAGCGACGGCCATATTTATTATCTTGACTGTGGTGATGGTTTCACAGGTGTATACATATGCCAAAACTTGTATAAGTCAAAGCGTGCACTTTAAATATATGCAATTTATTGCATGCTAATTAGACTTCAATAAAGGTATAAAATAAGGAGAATTCATTTCAGATTACTACCTACCAGCACACAAACATATAACTGAAACAAAAATACCATTGCTATGTACAATGTAGTCTGACATATCCATTCCACTCCATTTAACTGAAAATGCAATGTGGTCATGATCCACTAAGTTGATTTCAGGATTCCTGAATGAATTGATACCTGTAGTTTGAAAAACACTGTTTTCAGATATATTTGAAAAATGAATGGCTTCCATCCAAAACAGTCTCTTAGTTACATTGACAAGCACCTCTGAGACAGTTTCTGCCTTTACTACTAAATTTCATCTCCCCTTCTATTCACCTGGTTAAGAAATTACACAGCCTTAAAGTAAAAGTCCTAATCTTCCAGTTTCCTGCATGGGAGACTGAGATTTACTCTCACCCTTTTGCCATCATCATCTTATTATCTTGTTGGCGAGATTGTTGATTTTATGATCTTGTAATAAAAACTTTTCTGTGATGACTCTAGTCAGGAGGAACACATGGGGAGATTTTGGGGAACACTGAGATGGCAGCTACCTGACTGCACATGTACTAAGGTTGTCAAGGCCTTTGGACTTCACTAACATGGGTAGCAGCTGCTATTAACTATCGTTTCCTCCATAAAAGAAAGCAAGCTGGCTCTGGCAGTGAACCCACTCTTTATGACAACCTATTTAGTTTCCTGCAGAATTTACTATTAGTTGTTGTTGTTTTTGACTGTGCATTGAAGACCATATGGAAAGAGGTTCCTGTTCGTCCTGTTTGCTAATGTACAGTATATTAACAGTGGTTAACCGGGTCTGTGTACAACAGGGCCCAGCAAAGAAGAGAAAAAGGCAGCCAGGTACGGTGGCTCACGCCTGTAATCCCAGCATTTTGGGAGGCCGAGGCAGGTGGATCACCTGAGGTCAGGAGTTCGAGACCAGCCTGGACGATATGGTGAAACCCCATCTCTATTAAAAATACAAAAATTAGCTGGGTGTGGTGGCAGGTGCCTGTAATCCCAGCTACTCAGGAAGCTGAGGGAGGACAATCACTTCAACCTGGGAGGTGGAGGTTGCAGTGAGCCGAGATCATGCCACTGCACTCCAACCTGGGTGACAGTGAGACTCCATCTCAAAAAAAAAAAAAAGAAGAGAAAAGGCACTAAGCTCGGGGAGGGAAAGGGAGAACAAAAAAAATGATAAAGAAACCTGGGCTTGGGTTAGTTTCAACTCTGCTGTGAATGAGTCTTCCTGTATGCAACTTGATAATTATGTGCCTGGTGGTCTCTCTTTGATTACACATCTCTCCGTGTCACAGGCTGTGGAGTCATTTGCAAATTCAGTCCATTTTGTGTTCATAAAGATTTTAATAAATTAATCTGGAACCAAAAGGAAATGAAACTCAGGCAGAAGTTTGAGTTGTGATTCTGCCCTCAGCTCTTTTAAACAATGGCTGAAGATAAGAAACACAAAGTGCTGCCATTATTTCCCAAGACCATGATCTTCTCAGTGGTTCCAGAAGAACTAGTGGAGTAGGTGCTCAAACCAAGCCTCATAGCACACTCAGGGGACACAGGACTGTAAATAAGAGCTTAAATTCCTAGTTGGGGCTGGTTGCGGTGGCTCACGCCTGTAATCCCAGCACTTTGGGAGGCCGAGGTGGATGGATCACCTGAGGTCGGGAGTTTGAGACCAGCCTGGCCAACATGGTGAAACCTCGTCTCTACTAAAAATACAAAAATTAGCCAGGCGTGGTGGCAGGCACCTGTAATCCAAGCTACTTGGGAGGATGAGGCAGGAGAATCGCTTGAACCCGGGAGGCAGAGGTTGCGGTGAGTCAAGATCACGGCACTGCACTCCAGCCTGGGCAACAGAGTGAGATTCCGTCTCACAAAACAAAAAACAAACAAACAAACAAACAAACAAAAAATGAAAATATTCCTAGTTGGGGAAGGATGGCCTAGGTCACAGTTGATTTGGCTCCAAAAATCTTACATCTAGATTGTGCTCTGTTAAGTAGCCAGAGGTTGTAAGTTCAGAATTTGAACCATATTGGCATAGGAGAATCAGAATGCATTAATGGTATTGCTTCTGGGCAAGTAGATTTCAGTATCTAGTTCACACCTTCCTTATTTAGGAACTAGGAGAGAGCATGATGTAATGATCCTACTTGGACCTTGGTGTTAGGCAAAGCTTGGTTCAGATTCTATCTCTGCTGCCTGCCAGGCTTGTGACCTTGGGAAAATCGCTTAGCCTCTCTGAACTTTAGGCTTCTCGTTTAGATCACTGTTTCTCAACTGGGAGTGATTCTCATCCTCCAAATTCTCCCAGGGACCATTTAGTAATGTCTGGAGACGCTTTTGATTGTCATGACTTGGATGTGGGGATGCTACTGGCATTTAGTGGGCAGAAGCCATGGTTACTGCTAAACATCCTACAGTGCACATTCAGCTCCTCACAACAAAGAGTTATCCAGTCCACAATGTCAATAGGGTTGAGGTTGAGAAACCCTGGTTTAGAGATAATGTATGCAAAGTGTCTGGCTTAAAATAAGTAGATGCTGAATGAATGGTAACTACCATTGTCAAATGATCAATTCAGTGTGGCTGATTAAAACCCAGATTCTGGAGAAATCAAGACCATCCATGTCTGTCTTATATTCAGAAAAAGTCCCTAACAGTGGGAGCCACAATCTGTCAAACAGTTAGCACAGGTATAGCAAAAAGGTTAAAAGTGGTTCCTCTGGAGCCAGCCTGCTTGGGTCCAGATCCTGGCTCTACCATGAACTGCATATGTGTTCTTGAGTAAGTCACTGAACCTCAGCCTACTTATCTATAAAATGGGTACAAAATGATATCCGCCTCACAGGGATGTGTTAAGATACAAAAGAACCCAGTCTGCATAGAAACTACTCAACTAATATTTGCTGTTATTACTGGGGAGTCATTATGAGGCTAATGCTGAGAGGGGCACTGGTTTTAATATGAAGCTCTGAAGTTTTTGATGTGGAGTATGAAGGGGAACACACCAAACAGAAATAGATAATCCATGCAGCAGTAGAAAAGTGCATCAACCCACTGAGGACCCACTTTTTGTTGTTGGGCAAGGTGCCAGGTATCTATAACTAACATCTCATTGAATCCACTTCACAGCTCTTTGAAGTGGCTTTTATTAACCTCTTTCAGTCTCACTTTACAGATGTGAAAATAAGCTCAGAACAATTAAAGCAATTTGCCAAAACTCACACAGCCACTAAGTGGCAGGGCTGGGGTTTTGAATCCTAGTATGATTCTGGCATGTGTTTTTTGTGGACTGAAATTCAGAAATGCTCTACTCAGGGCAAATTCTCAGAATAGGACACATTTAACCAGTTTTCTATATGTAAGGAAAGGAAGAGAAATCTAGTAGCTTGGCTGCAACAAATGGCCTGGGGTATGTAGAGAAGAGAGTGACAGGCAATCTAGACAGCAGGATGCAATTAACAGGAGCAGTCCTCGCTTTTTTTTTTTTTCCATTGACTACTGCTAAATCCAAGGAAGTCACCCTGTATTGCCATAGCAGCATAAAGCTACTTAGGAAGAACATTTCTTGGAAATGTCTGAGGCCTGATAGCCTAAGAGAAAGGATATGGACTCAGTCTCTCCAGGAGAGACTTTATCGAGGGTTCCTCAGACATCCCTCTTTGCCCTAAATGTTTCCATGAGGCTAGTGTGTGCATGTGTGTGTGTGTACACATGCGCAAGCATGAGCTTGCACTCCTGCACTTGGGACAGAGGGAGGAAGGGAGAGTGAGAGTGAGAGAGTGTGGGATGGGGCCATAATAGTCTGGGACTGAGAAGCCAGCAGAACCAGGGAAAGGTTCTAGGTAGTTGCTGTCACCTTCCCCTAAGCAAACAGCTCTATTTAGATAAGAGTGAGAATGGTGCCTAGAAAAAGCCAGAAGGTCTGATTTATCCCAATACTAGCTGTGTTAAGAGGTTTACCCATCAACACTCAGGGCTGGGGCCGTGGAACAAGTGTTGTTTTGTGGATTTCTGGCTTTCCTGAGGGCCCCCTTCACCTTATCCCGTGTTGGAAGGCATCACACACTGCTCAACCTGGGACAACCCAGCCATCTGGCCTGCCTACTCTCTTTCAAGCTGAGGTCTTCTTCAGACTTCAGCTTTGTGGCTTTCTGCCTGGAATAATGGGAGCTGAGGCCTTCTCAGAAACCCTGGGCCCCACTCACCCAGCAGAAGCTGAGGAGGAGTTGGTGTCATTGTGTGTCCTGTGTGTTCTGTTGAGGGCGTAGGAGGGTCTGCTGTTCTCTGGGCAGAAATGCTCTCTCAAGTTCACTAACCTGGTTGTTTAAATTTAGGAGAGGAAACAGATGCTGGCTGGGGCGGAAGTCTAAGGAGAAGAAGGGGTCTTGGCAGTGGTTTGCTGAGGCTGATAAGAGCATGAGATGTGCTCCAAGCCCGGCCTCTGCTGATTTGCTTTTGGGCTTTTCTGACGTCGCCCTGAGCCATCACCATCAGAACTTGGCTTTTCTACAAGTTCCTCCTCCTGACTGACCTGGAGGGGGTGCTATTTTTAAGTTGATCTTCGTGACTTCCTTTTGGCTCGCATTCCCACTCCCCTCTCTCAAATGCCCTGAGAGCAGCTTCCTGCTTAGGCCAACTTTAGCACAAGGTGCTGCCTGCAAGGCCCTGGGAGGTGAGGGCCGTCTGCCCTGGACCGCGGCCCTGCCAACAGGGGTGCTGAGGGCGCTGTCCTGGCAGGCAGGGGGCAAACCCAATTGCTCTCATGACGGGGTTGTGCAGAGGACGCCCAGCCTCCTAGAGACTCGCCTCAGATGAGTCCTTCAGCAGGAATCATGCGGTCCCACCTGCAGGTTCCCGCCGCTCCCTGACATATAAATGGTAGGAACGCCGCGGTCAGTTCCTCCAGTCTGGGCTGGGGCTGTGCTGACCTCTGCGAGCTGCGGGGAACACCCCTCCCTCCGGCCTCCCCGGCTCCCGGAGTTCCGGAGGAGTGCGTCCGGCCGGCGCAGCACCAGCATCCTCAAATTGTGTCTTGGATGAATCAGGTCGACAGTCCCGCCCCCTCCACCAGCCGCAGTAGAGCAAGGGAGAAGAGCCGACGCCACTGCGACTTCTGGGGGGTTGTCGGGGCCACAGTCCCCGGCGCCAGGGCCCCCTCAGCGCTGCTCCTGGGCAGTCTCTGTGTCCTCCTTCCCAGGCTCAGGGGAGCGGCCCGTGCTGCCGCGGAACCCAGCCGCTGCCAGGAGGCCCGGTGCTCATCGCCTCTGGCACAAGGGGCAGCTGGCTGCTGCAGAGACCTCCTTCCTTGTCATCTGCTGAAAGGGGACTGGCAGCGTCCCCAACTCCCATCGGGGAACACCAATCTCTACAACCAGGGCATGAACAGCCTCTCAGCGGCGACTCCTTCCTCACACAAGCAGGGCTGAGGACCGCAGGCCACAGGGTAGGGAACTGGCACTTCCCCAAGGCGCAAGAGAAGCCAGGCTCAGTTTTTAGTAGGTGGGAGTTCTGGTTCAGCGACCCCAGTGAAATCAGGAAGGAAGAGCTAGTGGATCTTCCCCCTTGCGCCCGCCACTGTGATGCTCAGAAAATCATTTCCAGGTTAGTCTGGGTCAAGAAACTAGGTCTCACTCTAGAGATTCCCTCCGCAGTGGAAGAGCTGACCAAGGGCTGTCTTTCTGTTGAATTCAGGATTCTAAACTCTCAGCCTCTGTTTCCCATCTGCAGAAATGAGCAAATCCCACTTCTCAAGGTTGCAGTTGGATTCAATGTGGGGTTCCAGGCAGTGTAACACAGGCGGCTGGGCATGGGACTGCCTGAGGTCAAGACGGGCTCTGCCCTTTGCTAGCAGTGCAAACTTGGGCAAGTTGCTTGACCTTGCTCAATGTCAATATTCTTATCTGTGAAAAGAAGAGGTGATGAAAATGACAGGCTCTATTATAGGGCTATGTCAAGGATCCAGGGAGAGCCTCTGACAAGAGTATTCCAAGGTTAATGAAAGATTAGAGGATGTGCTAGTGTGGTCCAGGCCCGGAGAGAGCCCTGGAGTGTTACCATTATTGTGTTACTGCATGGGGAAGTCTGAACATGGCTCCTGGCTTTAAGGGAGGCATGACTCTTTTTACCATGACTTTAAGGGAGGCAGCATGGTATGATGTGTGTGTGTGTGTGTGTGTGTGTTCCCATACTGTATGCACACTCATATACTAGCAGTAAGGTAATGGCGGTTCTGGGTATGGTTCAGACTTTGCTGCTGCTTTTTTTTTTAAGTCAAGGTCTCATCCTGTCATCCAGGGTGGAGTGCGGTGATGGTGTGATCCTTGCTTACTGCAGCCTCAACCTCCCAGGCTTGACCTCCCTGACTTCCCAAGTAGCTGGGACTGCAGGTGCAGGTCTATAATTTTTTACACCACGCCCAACTAATTTTTTCTGAATTTTTTTTGTAGAGACAGGGTCTTGCTATGTTGCTTATGCTGGTCTTGAACTCCTGGGCTCAAGCAATCCACCTGTCTCGGCCTTCCAAAGCACTGGGATCACAGGTGTGAGCTGCCGCACATCCCAGACTTTACTTGTAGCTACTACATCTACTCCCTCTTTGGGCCTTTGTCATCATCTCTGAAATGGCGAGTTGCACCTATTGCTTTCTACGAGCCATTTTGGCTTTACCACACAAGAGTTTAACATCTTAAATGATATTTATAAAAGGGTATGTGCATCCTCCCTTCATTTGGTCAAGACACTGCAAAGAGTGAATGTTTGGAAAGTAAAAGAAGGGACGGGGTTGTGAGGCCCATGTGCCTATGTGCAGTTTTCTGTTGAGGCTTCACCCTTTGCCCTCCTCCCTGAGATTCTTGGACCTTCTTCCCACAGCCCCTCCCACCAGCTCCCATGCAACCGCACCCCAACTAGGGGATGCCCTGCCTCCCTGCAGATGTTTCCAGTTTGCAGACAGCATAGAGTTCACGTTGGTCATTTGTTCCATTTGCTCAGAAACAACAGCTAGCATTATTGGCAGGAAATGGAGAGGGCGCCAACTCCGAGATAACACAAAAAGCCCTAGTCATGGGCACTAGGCGTGGGTGGGGTAGAGGGAGGGAGGGGGCATAGGATGGACCATCTGCAGTGACCTAGAGTTCTGTTGGCCCTGCTGAAGTCACGGTCACTGAAACCGTGTCGAACTTTCCTCTGGGACTGAGCAGGCCAGTTGACTTATCTTAGAGGGACAAGGACAGAATGAGATTTTATCTTGGAGGCCTGGGAGAGAATGGAGAGCCTGGCTCCCCAGCCCAGCCCTGAGGCTAAACTCCCAACCTAGAATAAATTTTATTTATTTACTTCTTTGAAAGCAGAAATGTTTCCAGGGTTAATGAAAGATTAGAGGATGTTTTGTATTTCAGGTCAAGAGAAAATACAAATAAATGTAATGCAAATTAAATTACTGGCCTCATGTGCCTCCGTGTTTGCCGATGTGCAGTTGTTTTGGCTGGGGTTGGCTGTAATATCCCCACTTGTTGCTGTTTATTCAGCAACCCTCACACCCTGTGCAGGAGGTGGCCCCTTTATAGCAGTGAGTAGTGCTGAGTGATCCGCCAGGCCTTCTAAAATGAATGACACTCAAGAAACAGAAACTGTGATTATTGCTCTGAATACTCTAGTTCTTGATATCTGGCCCTTAGAGGGCTTCACCTGCAGCAACTGAGGTGGCCTGGGTGGCTCTTGGGGGCTGGTGACCTGGAAGACTAAATGTCTGGAAGCTGTGAACTGTCAGACCTGGGGCAGCCTTTCCCCGGGGTTCGCAAAGTCCACCCAGCAGGCCTGCTTATGCTGACAAACCACTGCTTCTTGGCAAGGGTGGAGAAAAGAGAGGAAAATGGTACTGCCTCCCACAGTCTCTTTTGGATACTTCCTATTTCTAAAGCTGGAGGTACCACTGGGGCAGTTGGAACAGGGATAGAGCACCTCCAGAGAAAGACTGAGACAATCAGCCCTTCAGAAACACAGGGTCTATGGAACACACCCCTGTGGCTTCCCAACAAGTCTGTATCTCACAGTTCAGTAGCCCACAGGGTGGTGGGTGTGGAATGACTTTCCTTTAATTCAACCTCTACCAAGCACCTTGTAAGTGGAAGTGGAGCACTGGTTGGGCACTGGAGTGGCTCTGATAGTGAAACATCAACCCCCAACCCCACCCAGCTGCAGCACTCACATTCCTGGTAGCTGCCCAAGGTGGTGGTGCAGGGGACCAAGTGCTGTGCTAACTGCTGTGCCTGGGTTACTTCATCCAGTCCGCAGAGGGGTATCTTATTTATCAAAGGGGGAAATGAAGGCACAGAGATTAAGCAGTTTGGCTAAGGTCATCCATTTAGACACAGAGTTCAAAATAAGAAAGACACAGCATATTCAGAAACACATGGCTGGAGCCTGACAGTGATTTCTCCTCTGGAGCACGTTGGGGTGAGTGGAGTGGGGCGGGCCTGATGCCCAGTGAGGAGGCACTAGAGTGCGTGCCATGCTGGACGCACAGGTGGCTGTGTCTCACTGCAGCTGAACATCAATTAGGCACAGCTTGAGAGGGCCTGAAGGGCACTGCTGATGTGGGTAATGTAACTGATTAGCACCCACTATTCTACCCACTAGCATGGGTTGACTGGCCAACTGGCAAAGGGCAAGTGCAGTGATGAAGAAGGAAGGGTCAGCTGTGTGCTTGATTGGAGGGCCCTAAGCTCTTTGGCCCAGGTTTCAGAAAACGGGGACAGAGTGACAAACGAGCCAGTGAAGGGGGCTTGCTAGCAAAGAAACCTGGCTGCTTTTCTAGTTTTGACCCTGAACTGGCTACTCTGGGCCTCCGTTCCCTCTGGTGTTACATCTTACTCCAAATGTGTTGTGTCCTAAAAACCCCATCATGAACACTGTGATTTGGGGCAAGATCAGTGGTCAGTGATCAGGAGTAATGTGTCAGACTAAGCTGGTAACTAGGGCCAGAGGTGGTTCCAGGTCTGGCAGATAGAATTGTGAACAAGACAAGCAAGGGGACAGACCAAAGACAAGTAAATGAACAAATGAGCTCTGACTGCGAAAGTTGTGGCATAGGAAATAAACAGAGAGGATGGAAAGAGCATGTGGACGTGTGTGTGTGTGTGTGTGTGTGTAAAGGGCACCATTTGAGATAGATCACAGAGATGAGGGAATGAAATGGTTGTTATAGGTAAAAATGCTGAAATAGCAACTGTAATGTAAATATTAGACATTCTGTCTGAGGTTTCCTTTAACTAGACCCAAATAGGTCACGTGGTGTTTTCTATCTGTAGTGGTTTGTGATTGAAGTTAGAAGATGCAAAAACCTACTTTTTGTTGAGGAAGAGGTCTTCCAAATATCCCTTCTGATTCCTCACTGGACATAGAGTGGTATAGCCAGCATTCTTACAGGGAAGGAGAAGACAGACCTGAGAGTACTACATAATACATTCAACTGGAATTTATTGCAGGTTTCTTCTGTGGCAGGTATATTTTAGGATCTTCATGCTTTGGGGAGAAGGGAAGTGGGAGGAAGACATAAAAATGAATAAGACATAATTTCTACATTTAAGGAGTTTACCAGCTAGCGGGAGAAGCAGTCATGTAAATAAATAACTACAGAATAGTGTAGTAAGTGCTCCAAGAGAGGAATGTGTAAAGCGATGTGGGCGTGTAGAGGAAGAAGCCATCAACTCAGCCTGACAGTAACTTCAGTACTTTGTGGAAATAGGTGGGGTGCACATCAATAAAAATACATTCTTCCTGGGGGAATGATAGCATTATGGTTTACCCAGTGCGATTCCTAAGGAAGCATTTCCTAAATATTGCTGGATGTGGGTGCCCGTGAGTGCTGTATTAAAAGACTCACTTCAAATGAGGGGACATTTTCAGTCTCATCAGTTTTTTCTCTTTTGCCAAAATTGATCATCGAAAATGTCATTTTGGACCACTTGTGGGAGAAAAAAATCCTCACCCCCAAATCATGGGGGTAGTGACAGGTATCCCTGCATGACAGACTGGACCAATCAACCTGCAATATGCCTGAAAATAAACGCGTACTCCTTCTAATGTGAGTTCTATGGAGTCATTTCTTATACCTTGCACACTGCCAAAAATGATGTGCAGCTCCTCATGAAAAACAGGGCCTGACAGAATTATTAAAACACCGGTAGCCAAGGAATGATATGGGGCACAAAGGCATCCTAGAAAACCTAAGCCAAGTGTGATTACCGAGACCGAACATCGGCTCTGACACTCCTGGCTGCTCACACACAAATGAATGGGACAAAGCTCTGCCACTAACCAGATGAACAAGGCAGTCTAGTTTATTAAGAAAAACGACCTCTTTTCTAGCACTAAAACTCCTCAGAGAAATTTATCCTATGAAACTTTATGTAAGAGACATAGCAACAGATAGTATTTTCGATCATGATGAAACACCGAGACATACTTCATAGTACAGTTTTTTTATATTAACCTTTCATACAAAGCAGAGGGACTAAGGTCATCTGGGAAGACATTTCAGCAGGGAACTAAAGTAAAACGGTTTTGCAGTGCTGTTGTCTGATCAGGGAGTAGATGCAGGAGTTGCGGGTAGGGAGTGTAGAGGAAGGGCCTGTTGGCTGCTCTCCATGGGCCTGGAATAAAACTCTTGGCTGAGCTTTGACAGGAGCTGGAGAGTAGACAATTGACACAGAATGCACAGCCTTCAATATCTGGCCCAGCCTAGGAAGCAAGTCTACCCATTAGGATACTGAAGAATGTCTGCCCAAAATGGCAATTTGGGTTTTGGCATAATTGATATTGGACTGTTTTTGTGTGGCTCATTGAAAGAGCCAGGGCTTTGCAGCCAAGATAGACTTGGGTTCAGGCCCTAGCTCTGCCATTTGCTGCTGTGCTGCCCAGAGTGAGTCAATTCTCTCCTAGCCTTAGTTTTCTATCTGTGAAATGGATCTAATAATACTTCCCAGCAGGACTGATATAGAATTGTGAGTGATGTATGCAAAACACCTGGCATAGTGCCTGGCACATGTGAATTGGCATTTTATCAATGGCAGCTCTTACAGTAATAATTACGAAATGACCTTGTGCAGTAGGAGGGGAAGACACATGCCATCAAAATCAGAAGGTTGCTTATCTCCCACTGTGGCGGTAAGGTTTGCATGCAATTCCGTAAGAAGTTTTGTCCCATTTGGTAGGTAGCAGGTTAAAAGAAGGAGACCAGGACATTGCCCTACTGTAAACATTTGGGATCAGTAGTTGGTATATCCAGAACTCATTCCTACGCCTCCCGGTGTTTAGATAAAGGGCATGAGAATCAACACCGGGATCCAAAGTCTTCCTGGGTGAAATCAAGGGATGAGGCCCTACCACTGTGATAGGGGTGGGGACACCCGGCCTGAGCACCCAGAAGCCTAGGACTGTGATAAAGAGGAGGCTGGGTGGCCAAGAGACATGAGGGCATTTGGAGAAATCTTGGAAGCTCTCCAGCAAAGGCTGGGAAAATTGACCAGTGGGACCTGAGCTCACAAGAGGGGAAGGATAGGTCAGAGGTTGACAGGTGCCAAGGGAAGGATCAATGACGTAGGTGGCTAAAAATTCCACTGCAACCCCCTACTGGCAAATCCCTCCTGGTCTTCCCCATTCTCATCTTAAGCGAGGAGACCAGGAGCTGGGCTCCCATCCTGGTGCTGCTTTTGTTTGTTTGTTTGTTTGAGACGGAGTCTCGCTCTGTCGCCCAGGCTGGAGTGCAGTGGTGCGATCTCACCTCACTGCAACCTCCGCCTCCCGGGTTCAAGCAATTCTCCTGCCTCAGCCTCCTGCGTAGCTGGGATTACAGGCGCCCGCCACCACGCCCAGCTAATTTTTGTATTTTTAGTCGAGACGGGGTTTCACCACGTTGGTCACGCTGGTCTAGAACGCCTGACCTCGTGATCCGCCCGCCTCGGCCTCCCAAAGTGCTGAGATTACAGGCATGAGCCACCGCGCCTGGCGGTGTATGATCCTGAGCAGGTCATTCATTCTGATGAGATTGATGATACCTGCCTTGTGGGGTTGTTGAGTTAATTCAGTAAAGTTGATTGTGGGAGGAGCTTTGCACATGACAAAGCAAAACACAAATACTGTGTTTATTGGAACAGTCACAGGTTTGAAAGGCAAAGCTGCTTCTCAACCTTCTGGAGTCAGGAGGACTGAATTTGGTACTGCCCAGGAATATTCTATGGGATTGGATTGACTTCAGGCAGTTGGCTACCTATTCTCGACCCCTTTGCCTTCCCTTGATTCTCACTTCTTTCATTTTCTGCACCATCTGAGGTTGCTGGTTAAGCAGTTTCAAAGGAGCGTTTCAAGTTCTTCCCGTTTTCTTTCTCGGCAGCAGCCTGGGTCCCGAGTGACAACAGAAACGTGCTTCCCTCTGGTGGCCACCATTGAGCATAGCGCCTCAGCTGGGACGCAGGAGTCACTCTTTCAGACACTTGAAGCTGACGCTACCGTGCTAAGTCTCCGGCAGCTGAAACGCTTCCTCACTTTCTGAGTGCCTTGAGTTCAGTTAGCTGAACCCTTCTCTTTCCCCCAGGGCCTGGAGACCTCCTGACACACTCGGTGTGGGTGGGGGGGTCTGGTGGGTGAGGCTGAGCGCCCAGAGCAGCTCCCCTTCGTGGGGCAGGATTTCCTGTTGCTCAGAGTGAAGGAACCTTGACCTCCCTTTCCAGGCCTCACCCTCCCTCCCACCAACACTGGCATGGAGTGAAACTCCTTGTGCTCAGACTACAGCCTGTGAGTCTTGGGCTCCTTGGATTGGCCTCAGTGGCTGGGCCCTGGTTAGAAGGCCCGTGTGGACAGAGGCTCCAGATCAGCCCCCGGCGCGGGAAAGCCCAGCCTGACCCCCGGGGCTTGATGGAGAGGCAGAGCCCGGAGAGTGGTGGGGGAGGGGCCTAGGAAGCGCCACCTTCAGGGCTGACCCTGAGCACTTGTCTTTTCTAAGCCTCAGCTGTCGGCTAGCAAACATGAAGCTCTATAAAAATGTAAGGCTTTGGGGAAGTGGTGATGGGGCCAAGAGGAAGTGAGCAAGCTGATTTTGTGCAACTCTGCAGACAGCCGTGGGGTGGGAGACAGCCTTGGGCAGAAGCCCCACCTTTCGCCTGCCTGACATCCGGTCTTAGCTGCCCGTGGACCAGCTCTAGGGCTCCAGAGGCCTTTTCCCTGGGCTCCTGCTAACACTGCATCTTGCTGTTTTTGTAGGCTGGCAACTGGGGTTTTTTAGGGTTTTCTGAGAAGCTGCAAAGGATCAGATGAATCATCTCTGCTGCCAGCCTCTCAGATTATTAAGCGGAACCCCAAGGGCAAGGTTGCAGCCTTGTGGTTGAGCTGTGCCCAGTGGCATCAGACCCAAGTAGGCCCCAGGCCAGGGTTTGGGACAGGTGAGGCCTTTCCCCTCCAGTCACTCTTCCTGTGATTTAAGCCAATGGTTTCTCCTAGATCTTTGCTTCCCTGATGGAGTTCAGGTTCTTTTAGTAGAATTTTAAAATTTATTTTTAATTAAAAAAAAAATAGAGGTGGGGTCTCAGTATGTTGGCCAGGTTGGTCTTGAGCTCCTGGCCTCAAGCAATCCTCTCACCTCAGCCTCCCAAAGTGCTAAGGTTGCAGGCTGAGCCACCACACCCAGCCTCTTCTAGTAAAATTGAAAACAGCCATGGCCTTTCTTTTAGGTGGGAAATTCTCCTGAACCACAGTTAACTACAGTTAACATATATATATATATATATATACACACACACACACACACACACACACACACATATGTGTGTGTATATATGTATATATATGTATATGTGTGTGTGTGTATATATATATGTGTGTGTATATATATGTGTGTGTGTGTATATATATATATAATATATATATATATATTTTTTGTTTTTAAGAAAAAAATTGTACCTTGATCCAATAAAAATGGTTTCCTTTCTGGCCCAGAGCTCACCTTGGGGCCCCAGCCTTACCAGCGACCTGCTCATGCAGTCATCTCTCTGGTCCTGCCATCTCTTCCTAGCTCAGAGCAGTTGCCAAATCTACATTATACTTGTGCTTTGTGCCCATAGTCTTGGTGGCTACTTTCTTTTTTAGATCTGAGAATACTGATCTCTACTGATTTTGATAGCATGGCAACATCAAACCCAGGGACTCCTTGTACTTTTGAAAGGTTTGTAGAGTTTATTTGCTCATTTACTTACTGAGGGCTGCCATTCGGAACCTGGGCTCCGAAGCAGAAGCCTGGGTTTGAATGCTGGCTTCGCCACTGCCTAGCTTACAACTTTGGGCAAGTTATTTAACCCCGCAGAGTCTCAACTTGCTCAGCATAATGGTAGTATCTATTTCATTCGAGAGCATTGAATGAGTCTGTGAATAGAAGCTGCTTAACACTGAGTAGTTGGTATGATGCAGAGCACTTAAGAGTCCTCGCTGATTTATTGTTTCCTTATATACCCAATGCCTAGTTTATGCCACCTGATTCACTGAAGTGCTTTCCTATTCATTCATCAAAAATGTACTGAGCACCCATGATCTGCCAGGCATCATAGTAGGGGCGAGAAATGCAGAAATGGAAAGTGGTGGTCCCTGTCCTCCAGGAACTTACAGGCTAAGCGGGGAAGTCATATACACACAGCACAGTGTGGTCCCAGAGGAGAGGTGAAGACTGGGAAGTTTTCTTCAAGGTCCTGTTGGGTAACAGTCTTGGAGGAAAAGTATTTGTTTTCTAGATGGACTTGGGGGAGAAGGGCCCTGCAAACCAGACAAAGAGTGTGTGCACAGGGGAGAGGAAGTGAAAGAGAATGACTCTGAGCCACGAGTTGCTCAGTCTGGTGCAGCCAATGGTGTCTGTGCGGACCCAGGTGACAGGAGACTGCAGAGGCTGGGAGACCCATCAGAAGGGTATAAGCCACTCTAAGGAGTCTGGACTTGATCCTAAGGCAATGTGCAGACCAAATGGTTTAGAAGGGGCAGGGGTCATCCTGGGCATGGAGCTCTGGCGTGGTTCCTCTGGTTGCCTGAGGCACCGAGTAGGAGGCTGCAGCATCTCCTACTTGAGATGTGATGAGGCACATGACCAAGAGTGGCTGTGCGCCATGGGCTGTGGGTGCAGCGGTAGGAATGGGCAAATGAAGTGACCTTCTGCCCCAGCCTCTCTGTCCTCTTTCCCAGATTGCCTTTTGGTTTTCAATCTACGGTCAGGTTCCAGGCCAAAATGTTAAGTGACTGTGAAAGTCCTTCTCCTCTGTTCTCAAATCACCCCACCCAGCACTGATGGACCTTGTCTATTCAGAGAACATGAAGGAAGGGCTTCTCTTGTTCACAGAAAAGAAACCCCCATGGTATGTGCAGAGAATTCTGAGGGTAGAATTCCCAGATGGGCAGAGGTGGCTGGGCTGGTGACCCTAAGTGTGTCTCCTGCCTTTATTCTCTCTAGTGGGTTATTCTTTCATGTGGTATCTTGCCTACAGCATGCTGTGTTTGGACACAAACCCCTTTCCTTGGTTTCTCTGACCCAGCTGAGATGGACTGATTCCAAAAGAACTCACCTATGTACTGGGGTAGGGGAGGGAGGGTTTTTTGCAGTATTTAACTAAGGTTCAAAGAGTGCTATATAGTGAGAAAGGCTTCTTTTTTTTTTTTTTTTTTTTTTTTGGCAGAGTGCTGCCTCCTAGAAATTTCTCTTGGTAACTTCCTTCTCTGAAGCACAGATAAAGAAAACAATTACAGTAGAAACATTTATGAGGGACACATTGGAGGCCGATGAAGCTTTTCAAGTTCCAGCAGTGCAGGGATGTGGGCAGAACTGACATTGGAAAATACTAGAATGATGGAAATTCAGTTGGAGAGGACTGCCCTTTTTAATGTCTGGGGAGTCTGCTCAGGGAGAAATGACAAGTCTGGCGGGGACAAGTATGGGATTTGGTAAGACTTGGATCAACTTGGGATACAGGGTGGGGGTCGGGAGTGGAATCAATGAATGATGCCAGAGCAGATCAACTAACAAGAGGACCCTGATGAGCCCCAGGCAGAGGCGTCTCCCTTATGCCCCACTCTGAAGTGTTTGTTAGTAAACACCAGAACGCCATTGTTGTTACTGCTGAATTTTATTTTGGGCTGTACATATTTAGATGCTTAAGGTAAAAATGATAAAGCCCTCAAGCCACTGTGTGGGTTTGGGTCCAAGTGTTCCTTCTTGCTGCCTCTCTAACACGCCTGGTTAAAATAATCCCTTTGGATGGTGCTGAGAAGCACCTGAACCAAGTGGGTCCCCAAATAACAATGGCGTGCAAGTGTCTGGTTCCCAGAAGTTGGTGACTAGGTAAGCAGCTTCAGGGAGAGGGGGCTGATTCCCAGACAGTCGCCTGTTCCTGCGGGGATGGGGCTGAGGCTTGGGGAATGTGGGCAGGAGGATATGCCATTTGATTCTGTTGCACACGTTCTTTTCCCTTCTTTCTGTATGTCTGGTCATTCTGCTATTCTGTCGTTCCTCACATAGGTTGGACATTGGCCGGCTGCCAGCATAAGTGCCAGTGTGATTTTGCTAGGGTGTGAGCTGAGAAAGAGAGGTGGAGGCTAAGCAGGTGTGATGCTTCTCAGAGGTGCTGAGTTTTTGCCCTTCTGAGCAGGGAATCTTTGCTTATCCCTTTGACCAAGGATCTTTGCTGCAAAGGCTGGGTATCGGCTGTGCTCAGCAAAGCGTCAACTCGTGCAAGAACTTAGCAGGAATAGTTCTGGCTAAGGTTAGGAGGCTGCCACCAAAGTCTCTTTTTTGTTCCTCTGCTTCTCCCGTTTGCCTCCTTATCATGAGATCTTTTTGCTAAGCTGGCAGAAAGATTGCATAGTCAGTGCTTCCAGCTCTGCTCCCACCTGATCCTGCACTGTCCTCTGGTCCCTGAATGAATGAACTCTGATACCCAATCTTGTCTCGAGCCTTCTCTATGCCACTCATGGCTCCTCTTCTGCTCTTTCCATCTTTTTGCTGAGAGTTCTGAGCTCTGTACTTCCTCTTGGCCCATCTCACTTCCTGAAACACCCCTGAAGAGGGTTGCTTATCTTGATGGAACTCAAAAAGCCAAAAAGCTGCAGGCAGAGGCGTTGAGGACATCTGTTTGGGGAACTAAGAGCAGCAGCACTTTCAGATTCAGTCCATATAGAGCTGTCCTACAGCATTCTGGAAACTTGAGGATGTGCGGTGCATAAAGGGGCTGGAAGTGACCCACCTGTGATGAGCCCTTTCTAAGGAGAAGGGTTTCCAAGAGATCACCCCACCAGAAAAGGGTAGGAATGAGCAAGTTGGGAATTTTAGACTGTCACTGCACATGGACCTCTGGGAAGACGTCTGGCGAGAGCTAGGCCCACTGGCCCTACAGACGGATCTTGCTGGCTCACCTGTCCCTGTGGAGGTTCCCCTGGGAAGGCAAGATGCCCAACAACAGCACTGCTCTGTCATTGGCCAATGTTACCTACATCACCATGGAAATTTTCATTGGACTCTGCGCCATAGTGGGCAACGTGCTGGTCATCTGCGTGGTCAAGCTGAACCCCAGCCTGCAGACCACCACCTTCTATTTCATTGTCTCTCTAGCCCTGGCTGACATTGCTGTTGGGGTGCTGGTCATGCCTTTGGCCATTGTTGTCAGCCTGGGCATCACAATCCACTTCTACAGCTGCCTTTTTATGACTTGCCTACTGCTTATCTTTACCCACGCCTCCATCATGTCCTTGCTGGCCATCGCTGTGGACCGATACTTGCGGGTCAAGCTTACCGTCAGGTAGCCTGCGGCGTGGGGTGGGCAGCAATTGAGGCAGCTGGGAAATGAGGCTACAAAGCCCAGAGCCCAGACTTTTTGAGTAAAAATGTATCCAAATTGGCCCTTGATGTTGAAAGAGGGCAATAAGTGTCTTTTTGTGATATGGTCTGTGAGGGGGTTAGCAACAATGGGCTGGGACTCAGGAGCTAGAATCAGAGGAATGCTCCAATCCTTTCTCCACTGACTAGGGGTGGGTGCTCAATCCCTCCAGCTGTAATTACTAATCCTTGGCTAAAAATGATGAAATCTTGATGCATCTTTAATTAGTAAAAAATGCTCTTCAGTTTTAGAAATGATAAAAGCCTACTAGATAAGACTTATTATTTTAGGAGAAGCAGGCAGATAAACATAAGAGGAGATAAACTGATGGTTCTGTTGTTTTGCAAATGTAGGTTATTATTTTATCTTTGCTTCCTATTCTGTGCCTACTTCAATGTTGAGAAAGGGATTCTTGGAATATATATATATTCCAATATATATATATTTATTATAATAAATATATGTATCCTATATATATTCATTATAATAAATATATGTATCCTATATATATTCACTATAATAAATATATGTATCCTATATATATTCATTATAATAAATATATGTATCCTATATATATTCATTATAATAAATATATGTATCCTATATATATTCATTATAATGAATATATATCCTATATATTTATTATAATGAATATATATCCTATATATTTATTATAATAAATATATCCTATATATTCATTATAATAAATATATATCCTATATATTTATTATAATATATATATCCTATATATTTATTATAATAAATATATATCCTATATATTTATTATATTAAATATATATCCTATATATTTATTATATTAAATATATATCTCCTATATATATTTATTATAATATATATATCCTATATATTTATTATATTAAATATATATCCTATATATAATATAATAAATATATATATCCTATATATATGTATATTTTTCCTCCTCCTCCTGAGATGTGAGAGCTTTTTTCGTAAAAATATTCTTCATTACATGTGACCATATGAATAGAACGAACTGCCAAATGGAGAAATCTACTTCCCCGGGTGACCTAAATTGCATTGGTCTCGTGTTTCTCGTCACTTCTCTGGAGGAAAGAGCAGAGTGAGGGAGCTACAAACAAGCTTTAGATGTAGACAGTCTAGGTTCAAATCCCAGATTAGAGATCTGATCTTGAACAAGTTGTTTAACTTTATCTCCTTTGGTTTCCACTCTGTATCACAGTGGTTACGATGCTCGGAACTCAGACTTACCTTGTTTTAGTTTTAGCCCCACCACTTCTAACTTGTAGAAGTTACTTGTTTGTGTTTCACTTTTTAATCTACAAAATGGGGATAATTGCACTATCCTCATAAAATGAAATGCGTTAACATATGTAAAGCTTTTAGAAACATACCTGTCACACAGTCTGTGCTCAATAAATGGTGGCTATCATTACTATTATTTTCACAATTGCCATCAATAAAATTGAGGTTATAATAAAATATCTCCTGTTTGTTGTGAGATTTAATTGAGATAAAAATCTACTGATACTTAACTATATTTGTTTCCTTTTTGTGGTCTGTATAGGCTGCTGTCAGGAAGGACAGTTTAAGGAGCAATGGGGACTCTTACTCTTACTGTCCTTTAAGGTCTCTGAAACACTTCAATACAATTTTGTAACTTCATTGATTCATTTAACTCAAATACCAAGTATGGATGCCCATGAAGATAGAGAAGCAGGAGCAGGCACAGGTAGAGGGGAAGTGTCGGGGAGGCATAGTATAATTTATGAGAATCTGCACAACAGCCAAACAGAACAGTGCCAAGAACAGCAGGCAAGCTTGCTTTGAGAATATCATTTCTCACCAGGCAGACAATCCTAGGAGACTTAGATGAATCTCAGCTCCCAGGAACTGAATAATTCTTAGGCTTACACCTTATTGGGAACAGAAGGAGTAAACTGAGTTCAAGGGGGACTTAAACTGCTGAATTCACCTGTGGATGTTTTTGAGTTAAAAAAAAAAAGAAAAAGAAAAGATAGGTAACAGTTGTATAGCTCTCAGTAAGTGGAGCCCTGAGTGGAGCACGTAAGCACTTGACTCTAGGCAACATCCTCCTTATCCATTCAAGAGTTTTCTTCTTTAGAAAAGTCCCCAGAGAAGTTTCCTGGATTTTTCTCCAATCGTTGTCTGCTCATCTTGTCTTCGTATCCAGTGGAGTTTAGCTGGAATCACCATAGGATATCAATGCTGCCCTCTCTTAGCAGAAGATTGGAGAATTAAGAGAGTATATGCCTTATCTCACCTCTCTCTCTCTCCTTTACCAGCTCCATCTCCCCTACCCTTTAGCAATTACTGCTGTGGACTCACTGACTCTCTTCATTCACACAGATACAAGAGGGTCACCACTCACAGAAGAATATGGCTGGCCCTGGGCCTTTGCTGGCTGGTGTCATTCCTGGTGGGATTGACCCCCATGTTTGGCTGGAACATGAAACTGACCTCAGAGTACCACAGAAATGTCACCTTCCTTTCATGCCAATTTGTTTCCGTCATGAGAATGGACTACATGGTATACTTCAGCTTCCTCACCTGGATTTTCATCCCCCTGGTTGTCATGTGCGCCATCTATCTTGACATCTTTTACATCATTCGGAACAAACTCAGTCTGAACTTATCTAACTCCAAAGAGACAGGTGCATTTTATGGACGGGAGTTCAAGACGGCTAAGTCCTTGTTTCTGGTTCTTTTCTTGTTTGCTCTGTCATGGCTGCCTTTATCTATCATCAACTGCATCATCTACTTTAATGGTGAGGTACCACAGCTTGTGCTGTACATGGGCATCCTGCTGTCCCATGCCAACTCCATGATGAACCCTATCGTCTATGCCTATAAAATAAAGAAGTTCAAGGAAACCTACCTTTTGATCCTCAAAGCTTGTGTGGTCTGCCATCCCTCTGATTCTTTGGACACAAGCATTGAGAAGAATTCTGAGTAGTTATCCATCAGAGATGACTCTGTCTCATTGACCTTCAGATTCCCCATCAACAAACACTTGAGGGCCTGTATGCCTGGGCCAAGGGATTTTTACATCCTTGATTACTTCCACTGAGGTGGGAGCATCTCCAGTGCTCCCCAATTATATCTCCCCCACTCCACTACTCTCTTCCTCCACTTCATTTTTCCCTTGTCCTTTCTCTCTAATTCAGTGTTTTGGAGGCCTGACTTGGGGACAACGTATTATTGATATTATTGTCTGTTTTCCTTCTTCCCAATAGAAGAATAAGTCATGGAGCCTGAAGGGTGCCTAGTTGACTTACTGACAAAAGGCTCCAGTTGGGCTGAACATGTGTGTGGTGGTGACTCATTTCCATACCATTGTGGAATTGAGCAGAGAACCTGCTCTCGGAGGATGCCTAGGAGATGTTGGGAACAGAAAAAATAAACTGAGTTTAAGGGGGACTTAAACTGCTGAATTCACCTGTGGATGTTTTTGAGTAAATAAAAGCTAATAGCTAACTGGAGTGTAGCTCTTTGCTGGGGTAACTTGGGGCTTAAAGACCCAGCTGGCTGTCTTTGGCACTAAGCTTGCTTGCTACTTGGAGCCATGTGTTGGCATACTCACCTTCTTACTCTTAGCCCCAGAACACCCTGATCCTTATTCCTGGGTTCATCAGAGCATTTGTCAGCTTTATGAACCATTCATCTATTGTGAGAGAAAGAATCCTATTCATTTCCCCTGGTGTTTCATTCTCATAGGAGTAGTGGGGGTAGGGCAAAAAGAGACAATGGATAGCTATTATTTGTTGAGCCCTTTTCTTTTCTTTTGTTTCTTTCTTTTTTTTCTTTTTTTTTTTGAGACAAGGTCTCGTTCTGTCACCTAGGCTGGAGTGTAGTGGCTCGATCGCAGATCATTGCAGCCTCAACATCCCTGGCTCAAGGGATCCTCCCACCTCAGCCTCCCAAGTGACTGGGACCAGGTACATGCCATCAAGCCCAGCTAATTTGTTTATTTTTATTTTTTATATAGACAAGGTCTCTTTATGTTACTCAGGCTGGTCTTGAACTCCTGGGCTCAAGTGATCCTCCTGCCTTGGCCTTGCCAAAGTGTTGGGATTACAGGTGTGAACCATTGCACCTGGCCTGTTGAGCACTCTATATACACTAAGTACTTTGCATGCATTATCTCCTTTGATCCTGACAATCTGTGAGGTAGGTACCACTATAATGATCATCTCCATTTTGCAGAAGAAAAAACTGAGGCACAGGGAAGTTAAGTAACTTGTCCATAGTTTCATGATTAACAAATAATAGAGCCAGAATTTAAGCTTAACCCTGCCTTACAGGAGAACTCAAGCTTCTTGCCACCTATTCTCAGACATAAAGAGGAACTTGTAACATTAAAGCCCAAACTTTCAAGCTCATATTATGTACAATTAACAGATAGGCACAAACTACAGCTTTGTACGCTTGAGGACTTCCAGATTTTTGCCTTAGCTACTATTGCTGATCTCTAATTAATCAGGATACTAGACAGGATAGAGTGCCAGTCACATCTTCTGAGCACTGAATGTGGCTCTAGAGATTCAAGGTGTCATCTCTGGTTTGATCTATCCAAATTTGCTGCTGTGAACTCTCACTTTCAAGAAAATATTTTAGCTAGACAAGAGCAACAAGATGGAGATTTCAATTAAACAACATCAAAGTGGGTAAGCGTATCTGAAAATGAGATTAATTCTTAGCCAGTCCTGAAGGTTTATCCTGAACCTACTTTTAGGCCAGAGCCTGATAACCAAATTTATCTTGTTAACATTTCATTTCAGCAAAGGAGCTTTGCTTCTCCTCCTGTCAGCCCAGGAATCAAGAATTCTAGGTGTTTCCCCTCTAATTTGTGGTATTTAAAAGGCACTTCCAGGATGAGGCCCTAGGTTTATTCTAGGGCTTTGGGTGTCTCAGGCACACTGTTCACCTTGGAACAACTTTTGCCCCATTGGAGAAATGAGAGGAAGGGTCCTGCTGCCCTCAGTCTCCTGGTAATCCCCGCACCATGCTTCTTAATTTACAAACAGCTTCTAACGTAGATACACTACGTTGTACACTACGTTGCCATAGAAACACTTAACACTGCCCTGTTTTTTAAAACTTGATTTAAATGGACCACTTCCCTCAAGACAAAACAGCGTTCTGTCCTGAGTCATTTGGTATCCTTAGCTTCTGAGTTTCAGAACTGCTTTTACTTTTTTCTTTTCTTCCCTCTTCCTCCTCCTCCTTTCTGTCTCTCTCTCTCTCTTTTTTTCTTTTCCTGATTGCCACAGCTTAGCAAGTCCACTGATGGCTTGCTGGGAGTTGTGTTTTTTATCTTTGTCTAACGGGAATCTCCTGACTTAAGGTGTTCCATAAGCCCAGGAGTCCGTACAGTGAAAATAAATGTCTTTCGAAGTAAACTCAAAAAAGATGAATGAAGAATCACTGGTGAGGAGCTTGGTTAGAAGGGACAAGATCCACTCTGGTTTCAGGTTTAGAGATTAGTGTTACAGGAGCCGGGTGCAGTGGCTCATGCCTGTAATCCCAGCACTTTGGGAGGCCGAGGTGGGCGGATCACGAGGTCAGGAGATCGAGACCATCCTGGCTAAAACAGTGAAACCCCGTCTCTACTAAAAATACAAAAAATTAGCCGGGCGTGGTGGCGGGCAGCTGTAGTCCCAGCTACTCGGGAGGCTGAGGCAGGAGAATGGTGTGAACCCGGGAGGCGGAGCTTGCAGTGAGCCGAGATCGTGCCACTGCACTCCAGCCTGGGCGACAGAACGACACTCCGTCTCAAAAACAAAAAAGAGAGATTAGTGTCACAGGAATCTCCTGGGAACCCCTCTTCTGGCTTGCTCTCTCAGCTAAATGGTAAAGAATAACTGCGGGCTTTTATTCTAAAGGAATAAGATTAAAAAGGCCACCCAGACAAAACTGAGGTTTGCTTCCTCCCTTTCCTCCATATGAATAAGCTGGAACTAGGGTGGATGTTGAGCAACTGGGTTTATTTGCCTTATTTTAAAAATCAAGACAACTGGGGAAAAAAGTAGAGACCCATCTAATGAGAAGAAGCAAAGACTTTTTATTCTGAGCTTGCTATAGCAAGGAGGTCAGCTGTAGTCACTTGCATTTTGGCAGAGACTCAAAGGTAGGCAGAAGAGTGGGAAACATTTATAGTAGCATAAAAACACGAACTTAAGCACATTAAAATTTTAATGAGTTTATTTGAGCATTCAATGATTCATGAATTGGGCAGCACCAGACTACAAGTGGTTCAGTGCTCCACCAAAGGAGGTGAGAGAGGAAACTTTCATGAGGTATTTGTGAAAGTAAGACAAAGAAAATATATTTTATTGGTTAAAGTGGAAAATCCCTAGTTTGAGGTTAGTTTGGTGGTTTCTGATAGGTTAAGCTTAAGTTTTGTTTTACTGTTTGCACTGAGTTGGGTTTCAGTTTGCTTTATGTAGGAATCCAAGGCACCAGAGCCATCTTCGACTAATGGCCGTCCGATTAATTTTTTTCATCAGTGAAAAAAGGGAAAGGCTTTAGGTGTGCCTTGATTGGAGGCTGTTGGCTTGGGGAAGCTGTAGGCAGGGTAACTAGAAGTGGGGCAGCCTATTTGATTAACTGGGGGCACACATTTGGCTTTCTTGGTTGATCCTAAGTTGAAACTGGAGACAAAAATTAGGAGAGTTTTCAGTTATTAATCAAGTCCTGGCTATTTTTTAATGTCTCTTTTTAAAAATTTTAATTTTTTATGTTTTAAACTTTTATTTTAGGTTCAGGGATACCTGTGCAGGTTTGCCATATAGGTAATTTCATAGGTTTGTTGTATAGATTATTTCATCACCCTGGTTCTAAGCCTAGTACCCAACAATTATTTTTTTCTGCTCCTCTACCTTCTCCCACACTCCATCCTCAAGTAAGCCCCTGTGTCTGTTGTTTCCCTCTTTTTCTCCATGTTTTATCATTATTTAGCTCTCACTTATAAGGGAGGACATGCAATATTTGTTTTTTTGTTACTGCATTAGTTTACTAAGGATAATGGCCTCCAGCTCCATCTATGTTCCTGCAAAGGACATGATCTTGTTCTTTTTCATGGTCACATAGTAGTCCATCGTGTCTATGTACCACTTTTTAAAAATCCAGTCTGCCATTGATGGGCATTTAGGTTGATTCCATGTCTTTGCTATTGTGAACATACACATGTATGTGTCATTATGATAGAACAATTTATATTTCTTTGGGTATATACCCAGTAATGGGATTGCTGGGTTGAATGATAGTTCTGTTTTTAGCTCTTTGAGGAATTGCCATACTGCTTTCCACAAATTAGTTATACATGAATTGAACTAATTTTATTTAGTAATTGGTTCAATTAGTATACTAGTTGAACTAATTTACACTCCCACCAACAGCGTATAAGTGTTCTCTTTTCTCTGCAGCTTCACTGGTATCTCTTATTTTTTGACGTTCTCATAATAGCCATTCTGACTGGTGTGAGATGGTATCTCATTTTGATTTTGATTTGCATTTCTCTAATGATCAGTGATATTGAGCTTTTCTTCACATGCTGTTTGGCCACATGTATGTCTTCTTTTGAAAAGTGTTCATGTCCTTTGTCTACCTTTTAATGGGCTGTTTGTTTTTTTCTTGTAAATTTGTTTAAGTTCCTTATAGATGCTGGATATTAGACCTTTGTCAGATGAATAGTTCGCAAATACTTTTCCCATAATATCTTTTGCTGTGCAGAGAAGCTCTTCAGTTTAATTGGATCCCATTTGTCAATTTTTGCTTTTGTTGTGGTGGCTTTTGGCCATTTCATCATGAAATCTTTGCCAGTTCCTATGTCCAGAATGGTATTGGCTAGTTTGCCTTCCAGGGTTTTTATAGTTTTGAGTTTTACATTTAAATCTTTAATCCATCTGAGTTGATTTTTGTATATGGTATAAGGAAGGGGTCCAGTTTCAATCTTCTGCATATGGCTAGCCAGTTATCCTAGCACCATTTATTGAATAGGGAGTCTTTTCCCCACTGCTTGTTTTGTCAGTTTTGTCAAGGATCAGATGGTTGTAGGTGTGTAGCTTTACTTGTGGGTTCTCCATTCTATTCCATTGGTCTATGTGTCTGTTTTTGTACCAGTACCATGCTGTTTTGGTTACTATAGTCCTGTAGCATAGTTTGAAGTTGAGTAATGTCATATCCTCCAGCTTGGTTCTTTTTGCTTAGGATTGCCTTAGCTATTTGGGCTCTTTTTTGATTCCATATCAATTTCATTGGTAGTTTGATAGGAATCACATTGAATCTGTAAATTGCTTTGGTCAATATGGCCATTTTAATGATATTGATTCTTCCTATCTATGAGCATGGAATGTTCTTCTGTGTTTTGTAATTCTCATTATAGAGATCTTTCACCTCCCTGGTAAGCTGTATTCCTAGGTATTTTATTCTTTTGTGGCAATTGTGAATGGGATTGCATTCCTGATTTGGCTCTCAGCCTGGCTGTTCTTGGTTTATAGGAATGCTAGTGATTTTTACACATTGATTTTGTTTTCTGAAACTTTGCTAAAGTTGTTTATCAGCTGAAGGAGCTTTTGGGCTGAGACTATGGGGTTTTCTTGATATAGCATCATGTCATCCAGAAACATGGATAGTTTGACTTCTCTTCCTATTTAGATGCCCTTTATTTATGTCTCTTGCCTGACTGCTTTGAGTCCTGGCCATTTTGGGTTGATTGTTAAAGGGGCCATTGTTTGGCTTTCTGGCTTAAGATAGCAATCCGACTTCCTATAAGTCTGACTTACAGCAGGCTGGCTTACTATTTATTGATTAGCAGTTGGTTTCCTGAGCAGGTTGCTGCAGGTTGCAGGTCAGGATTCTATTTTCATGTATGGTGTGGCCATAGTCCACTTGTATATTCAGTTTCTTTTAACCAAATGCACATTTTCTAGAGAAACTCTGCTCTTAGCTACTATAGCTGAGTATGATGGGAATAAGAACACTTGGGCTGCATCTTGCTCCAACTACTCAGATGACAGATATCTTTAAAGACCCTTTGTAAATTCTAATATGCTCTACAGTTTTACAGTATTATAACTATTGGGAAAGCAGCACAATGTTTGTTTTCCTCCCAGATTTACCATCAAATCATAGTGGCTCTACTAGCTGTGTGAATGTGGGCAAGCGACTTAAGCTTCTGAGCCTCAATTTTCTTCATTTGTAAGATCAGATTAATAATACCTGTGTTGAAGTTGTTTTTGTTTTTTGATTTTTACTTTTTCTTATGGAAAACTTCATACATACAAAAGTAGAGTGACTATGTCTTAGTCTGTGTTGCTATAAGAGAATACCTGAGGGCAGGTAATTTATGAAGAAAAGAGGTTTATTTGGCTCACAATTCTACAGGCTGTATAAGAAGCATGGTGCTGGGACCTGTTTGGCTTCTGGTGTGGGCCTCATGCTGCTTCCACCCATGGTGGAAGGCAAAGAGGAGCCAGTGGGCAGAGATCACATGATGAACGCAAGGGAAGCAGGGTGGGGGGAGGTGCCAGACTCTCTGAAACAATCAGCTCTCATGGGAACTAATAGATTGAGAACTCACTCATTACCATGATGACAATGATGGCACCAAGACATTCATGAGGGATCCACCCCCATGACCTAAACACTTCCCACGAGACCCCACCTCCAACATAGGGGATCAAATTTCAGCATGAGGTTTGGAGGGTCAAATATGCAAACTATAGCAGACTAGAAGAACGACCCCTTATTTATCTATTATCCTGTTTGGTAGTTATCAAATTATGGCCAATCTTATTTCATTTGTGCCTGTATCCACTTACCCTGCCTGACTATCTTGAAATTTTAGATATTAAGTTATTTCATCTACAAACTTTTCATTTTCTATTTCTAAAAGATGTTTTAAAAATTATTTGGCTTATTCTTATTGCCTATTTACCTTCCTATTTATACATCTAAATAGAATGAAAGTTAATTCTATGGAATTAATACACCAAGTAATATTCAGAATACTAGTAGACACATCATTCATTCTCTGTAGCTCTGGCACTTTCATTTACTTTAGAGATACTTTTTTTTTTTTTTTTTTTTGAGACAGCATCTCACTCTGTTGCCCCGGCTAAAGTACAGTGGCGTGATCTCGGCTTACTGCAACCTCCGCCTCCCGGGTTCAAGCGATTCTCCTGCCTCAGCCTCCTGAGTAGCTGGGACTACAGGCACGCACCACCACGCCTGGCTAATTTTTGTATTTATAGTAGAGATGGGGTTTCACCATATTGGCCAGGCTGGTCTCGAACTCCTGACCTCGTCATCCGCCCACCTCAGCCTCCCAAAGTGCTGGGATTACAGGCGTGAGCCACCGTGCCTGGCTAGAGACACTTTTTCATGTCTTGGGCATTTTGCTGATATCTGTGCACAATCCATTTCTCTTTTTGCTGCTTTCTTTGGTTTCATGTTGCCATCTCTGAGCAATGCTGAGTGTGTTTGTTTTGCATGAAGTATTGTCAGAGATAAGGACTGCCTCTTAAAAATATAACAACAATATTTGCATTAATTATTCATTGCTGTGCAACAAATTACACCCGAAACTTAGAGGCTTGAAATAGCAATCCTTTATCATCTCTTATGGTTTCTAAGGGGCAGAAATTCAGGGGGCATTTTGGTTGGGTGGTTAATGCATGGTGTCTCATGAGGGTGCTAGGTCTGCAGTTCTCTGAAGGCTTGACAGTGGCTGGAGGATCCACTTCTGAGATGACTGTCACATGTCTGGTGAATTGGTTTTTCCATATGGGCCCCTCTGTAGCCTACTCAAGAGCTTGGTGGCTGACTTTCCCAAGAGGGAGCAGCATGAGAGACTAGGGTGGAAGTTGCACGCCTTTTATGACCTAGCCTCTGAAATCACATGCCATCACTTCTGCCATATTTTATTGATCACACAGGCCAGTCCTGATTCAGTGTGGGAGGGGACTACATAAGGGCATGAATTCCAGGAGCCATCGTGAAGGTTGGCTATGGCAATGCCATTATCACATCTCAAAAAATAAATTGAATAATTATATCCTAATAGTATCACTGTCCATATATTCTAAATTGTTTGCTTCAATCAGGATCCAAATAAGTTCCACATATTATAATTTGTCATATGTCTCTTAAGTCCCTTTTGATTCATAGATTCTCCTTTCCTTGCTTCCTTTTTTATTCATGTAATTTGTTTGTGAAACTCATAGAGGTTTTTGATGAGGAGCAACTGAGGTGATGTAGATAAAAACCTACCATCATGAAGGCTTGCTGCTTGCCCACATGCTGACTTCACATGAATTAGAGACAGGCTCCCCTTCCTCCAGAGAGGACATTATTGCATAACCTGGACAATCTATGTATGACCCTTGATGGGATGTGCTGGCTCTGGGATGTGATAAGTAGCACCCAGCTTAACTTCACCTGAGAGGTGATTCAATAATTCCAACTTTTAAAGCCAGTGGTCAGAGCACATGAGTCCCATTAGAATCAGGAGAAGCTGCTGCTGCATAGATGAATCTCCTTGCTTTGTCCCAGCTCTTCTCAGGAAAGCTTTCAGGAAGTCTGAAGACCGCAGCCCAAACTGCGGCCACCCACACTTCCACCTGCTCACGTGTTCCAGGTCCCAGGCACGCAGGCTACTGACAGCTGGCATGCGCCACCCGTGGCCGTACTCCCCAGATGAGCCTGCAGTGTCCACTTGGGAGCTGGGTTAGTTAGAAATCTGATTACTAGGATTCCTCTCAACTGTATAAGAAATTGGGCCTCCAAGATTGGTAGACAGACAAAAGGAGTGGCCTCTGATGATGCCAGGACCATTGGCAGCAGGACAGGGCATAGTAGAGCACATACAAATGTGTACCAGTGATGGCTGTGTGCATGTGCTTTTCTGAGTGTGGGCCAGAGCCCATTTACGCAGGAGGGAGATCTCTACTGCCCAGAATTTTCTTGGTTGCCCCGTCAGTAAGTTTATGTCTATGAAGAGCATGTGGTATGGTGCATTGTGCAGTGTATCTATACATGGCAGCACTGCTTGGACTAACTGGTTGTTTCCCTTTTCACTGGTCTCTTCAAACCAGGATAAAGCCATATTAAGCTCAAGCATATCTGTTTCCCTTAAACAGATTCAGAATTCCTGGGCTCCCTGGGTGCATTCTATCATTCCAGTTGAAAGTTTGCTTCCTTCCAGTCATGTGGCTCTTCATTCTACTCTCCTTGGCTCTCATTTCAGGTAGGATGGGGGACGGAACAGCTCCAGCCCTTTAAGCTGTGGCCTTTCCAGAGACTTTGCACTGAAGTCCTCACCTACTTGGAGTCCTTGCTTATTAACTCGAACCATCTAAGGAGTGGGATGGGAAAATAAAAGGCGATGAAAATAGGTCTTGTCCATATTAGTTCTTGTTCTTAGCTCAGATAAGAGAGTTTGTGAGGAAATTGAAAAGCTTGACTAAAATGATGACTCTGCACTCACTTTGGCAGCACATATACTGAAATTAGAATGATACAGAGTAGATTAGCATGGCCCTTGTGCAAGGATGACATGCAAATTCATTACGCATTCCATATTTTTCCCCAGCATCTCCACTGGAATAAAATAAAACGAGAGCTCTGTATTTTCTTTTAGTTTACCCAGGTTCCCCCTTCCCCCTTCTCCCCTCAAAAATATATGTGCACATATATGAGGACACGACTTTCCCCTTTCCACTTGTGCTTGACCCCAAAGATGAGACTTGGAACACTGGCCTTTTCCCAGCTCTGTCTGACCTTCAGTTGTGTGGCATTTAGAGTTGCTGAACCTTTCTCTGGGTCAGCATTCATACTTATAAACTGAAGATCATGCTATCTTCCTTGTGGGGTTGTTACGAAAACAAAATGTTATAAAGAACCTGAGCCTGCATTTTAGTGGTTTTTGCTATACTTCTGGAAGGCTGAGAGAAGAATGGGCTCTGCTGTCTCATCTCCTCTTCTTGGTCAGACACTTTCCCTGCCATGGTCAAGCTGGACATGGTGTGCGTGACTTCCTCATTGTGCAATATCCTGAGATGATAGAGGTGCCTATGCTGGTCTTGTACGGAGGGAACATGAAGTTCTTATCCCCTAAAGACAGAACATGACTTCCTCTGTTTTCAGCCCTGTGCAGCCAGCAGAAGCCTCCAAACATCACTTTCTTTCTGAGGGTGCTAAGGTAGGGTGGGAGCTAGGGACAGAGGGCCTCCTAACGGTAAGCCTCAGGCTCTTCAAGGCCCTCCGTCAAGCAATGGTAGGAGGCCTCCATATTTCACCCACCCTTAGGCCAGGGAAAAGGACTTCTCCAGAGTTGCTTTATTAGTTTGCTAGGGCTGTGATAACAACAACAGCAACAAAACCACAGTCTGGGAGGCTAAAACAATGGAAATTTATTTCCTTATGTTATGAAGGTGGTAAGTTCAAGATCGAGGCATTTGGCAAGTTTGGTTTCATTCTGAGGCCATCTCTCGGTTTGCAGATGATTGCCTTCTGGCTGTGTCCTCATGGGCCATTCCTCTGTTTGTATTGTCAGTGTCTTAATCTCTCCTTTTTATAAGGACATCAGCTGAATTGAATTAAGGACTACCCCAATGACCCTATGTTAACTTAATTATCTCTTTAAAGGCCTTATATCCAAATACAGTCACATTCTGGGGTCACTGGAGGTTAGGACTGAAACATATGAGTTTTGAAGGGGACATAGTTCAGCCCATAATAGTTGCCAATCAAAAAGAGGCAAAAATCAGCCTCCGATTCTTTAATTAATTATCCTTCAGGAGGGCAGGAGCTGCAATGTTTTGAGAGAACAATGGTGTGTGTGTGTGCACGTGTGCGTGTGTGTGTGTGTTTTCACAGATGCCATGGTCATGGATGAAAAGGTCAAGAGAAGCTTTGTGCTGGACACGGCTTCTGCCATCTGCAACTACAATGCCCACTACAAGAATCACCCCAAATACTGGTGCCGAGGCTATTTCCGTGACTACTGCAACATCATCGCCTTCTCCCCTAACAGCACCAATCATGTGGCCCTGAGGGACACAGGGAACCAGCTCATTGTCACTATGTCCTGCCTGACCAAAGAGGACACGGGCTGGTACTGGTGTGGCATCCAGCGGGACTTTGCCAGGGATGACATGGATTTTACAGAGCTGATTGTAACTGACGACAAAGGAACCCTGGCCAATGACTTTTGGTCTGGGAAAGGTAAGGAGCCTGCCTGGGGTCTGGCTGGATGTAACCCACAGCCATGGGTGTTTGCTGCTAAGAGAGCACTCTCTGAAGCCAGTGAGCCCCAACTCAGACTCCCACTGGGTACTTTGGGCCTGCCTGGCCTCTCTCTTCCTCCGGCAAACATAGGGTGGTCATTAACAGTGCTGGGGAATAGCTGGAAGTTGGGGACAAGGAGGGTGTCTGCGCCCTGGGGCACTTTTAGAACTTCTCTTCCCTTACAGCAATCTGGTTTAAGGACCTTAGAAGAGGCTGACAGGGTCTAATAGATGTGAGATCTTTATGTTGAAAGGCTTTGAAGTTGTTATTAAATGTCTGTGTGAGAATCGCTTGAACCAGGCGGCAGAGGTTGCAGTGAGCCGAGATTGCGCCACTGCACTCCTGCCTGGGCGATAGAGTGAGACTCAGTCTCAAAAAAAAAAAAAGTCTGTGTGCCTTGTCGGTCTAGAATCTTGAAGATTAGATTCTTGAGAGGTGTCTGAGGCTGCAAAAAATGACCCACGTGCCTGGTAACTGTCAACTTAAATAATTTAATAGTATACGGAGGTAGCCAGGTGCGGTGGCTCACTCCTGTAATCCCAGCAGTTTGGGAGGCTGAGGTGGGTGGATTGCTAGAGCCCAGGAGTTTAAGACCAGCCTGGGCAACATGGAGAAAGCCCATCCCTACAAAAAATACAAAAATTAGCTGGATGTGGTGGTGCCTGCCTGTAGTCCCAGCTACTCAGGAGGCTGAGAAGGGAGGATCATCTGAGTCCAGGGAGGTTGAGGCTGCAGTGAGCCGTGATTGCACCACTGCACTTCAGCCTGGATGACAGAATGAGACCCTGTCTCAAAAAATAATAATAATAATTTACAGATATAAATTTCATGGTCCAACTAGTAAGCACCCTATTTTGCTTTTAAGGAATGTGCAGTTTATATTTGGAGACCACAGGGAAGGTGTGGGTGGAACTGGAACCCATAGCAGAAAAGTCGAGTTAACAAATTACAACTCTTGGCTGGAGCTAAGACATAGGATTTCCAGATGTTCACTCAGGTTCCTTCTGTTGAATGATGAAAATCTCCTTTTGCACCAGAAAACCTCTGTCTCTCAGACAGAGGACTTATGGAAGGCGCTAGCCTTTCTTTCTTCCTTTTTTTTTTTCTCTTTCCCCTGTGCCTTCTTGTTGTTTCCATTTCTAGAAAGGATGTCCTTTTCTATCACAGTCCAGAGCACAATGCTGGTAGGAAAACAAACCAGAAGGGCTTAAGGGGTGCCCTTGGAAACCTGTCCCCATGCTAGAAAGAGAGTTTTGCTAACACTTGACTAGCTAGTGATTGATTCAGCAAGCATCCTACGGAATGTAACATCGTTCACACCCACAGTGTTTCTACTTTGTGTTGTTCTGCTTTTACTTAACTGTGCAACTTGACCTGAATCTTAGGCTCAGACAAGAGAACGTTCCCACCTGAACGTACTCCTTAGTTTAAATGAAACACAGACCTCTCCCACGTCTTATCAGAGGGGGTATCGTAGGTGGTCGTGGTGCCACTGCTCCCGTTGGGTTTTGGTGGCTGTCATAAGAAAAACATGGCAATTACATCACGAAATGAGCAGTTCTTTAAGGATAGGATTGGCCCTCTTGTGCCTCTGGCATCCCCTCCTATGGGGAGGAGACCTCAGTTTAGGACTGTAACTATGGGCCACTTCTAGTCTACGTGGGGCCTTTGTTCAAATCTGGAAAAGGGGCCCCTTCCTTCAGGTGCATGGAGTCCAGTGGTAGGGTGCATGGCCTGGCAAGCAGAGTGTGGGCTAAATGTCGGCCCCTGCTTGTCCCCTCAGCCTTGTTCCCTGTGCAGGGCACATTTATACAACTGCGCGTGGTACCTCTGCTTTACTCTGGAGTCAACCAGGGGACTCACTCTCTGGACATAGAATGACAGGCAGAGCTGCAGCTGGGAGGCAGAGGTAGGACCTGGCTATGGGCCTCACCTGACTTAACAAATCCTTTCTGATTCAGACCTATCAGGCAACAAAACCAGAAGCTGCAAGGCTCCCAAAGTTGTCCGCAAGGCTGACCGCTCCAGGTGAGTCATAGTCTTGGCGGATGAATGGGCTTGGGGCGGTGGGGTGGAGGTAGGGGCTGGGGTGGCAGCAGTATGATATGACAGTTGATTTGCACCGACAACTTTTCTACTGCACATTATTTCTCCACCTTAACTATGTATCCTTAATCTGAGTATTTGGTTTCCTCAAAAAAAAAAAAAAAATACAGTTTAGGACTCTTGGTTGCAAGCAGCAAAAAAGCCCTCTAGCTATTTTAATTAAAAGGGGACATTTATCATAAGGAGAGAGAGGTGTTTCAAATGCAGGAGCAGGGATGTGGCCACCCTTGGAAATTGTCAGGAACATCATCACGAATTTACCTCAGTCTCTAATCTGCTTCGAATCTGTGTGTTTCCTTCCTTCTGTCTCTGTATTGCCCTTGTATATTTCTCTTTTTTCCCCTAATAGTCATCCATTTATGGTTCCTAAGTTTATTTCTCCCCCATTCAAGAGACTGGCCAGTCTGAGACTGGATTCTCCTATTCCCAATCCACAGTTAATTTCTGAGGAAGGGGTTCATTGGCCCAGCTTAGTCAGATGCTCAGCAGGTCCCATCGAGGGTGGTCCAAAGGACAGGGTCACTCTAAAGGAATACGGTTCCCAGAAGCTACTGTAACTGGGTTGGGGGGTGGGCAGGGGTGCAAATCCCAGAAAAAGGGATCCAGAGCTGAGAATCAATAGGCAGTTTCTTCCAAGCAACATGAAATCTGCTGTGGTTCCTTCTAGGACGTCCATTCTCATCATTTGCATACTGATCACGGGTTTGGGAATCATCTCTGTAATCAGTCATTTGACCAAAAGGAGGAGAAGTCAAAGGAATAGAAGGGGTAAGTAGCTATTGTTGAGGGAGGGGGTGGGCAAGAATTAGAGAAAATGAAAGAGGTCAAGGAGCAGATTTCAAATGAGTGAATGAGAGCCTCTTCATATTGCCTGGTCACCTGGAGACCAATGCAGCCAGCCATGGGCTGGGGTAGATATCTGCTTGATGGTGACAAGGCATCACGAGAAGTGACAGAGGGAGCACTGGAGCTTTCTTAAGTGGATACATGTGTAGGTCAGGAAGGAAGGAGGTCCTGAGACAACCACACCAGGTTCCCATCTGCAGAGCCACCTACCTCCCCAGCACACAAACTTCGGGCTCCTGTCGAAGGAATGAGCTTCTGGGACCGCTGGGTAAGCAGGTATAGAAGAGTCTCCTTTTTCATATACACAGGATGTTGCCCTGTTGCCCAGGCTTGAGTGCCGAAGTATGATCATAGCTCACTGCAGCCTCATGCTCCTGGCCTCAAGCCATCCTCTCACCTCAGCCTCTCAAGTAGCTGGGCCCACAGGCGCCTGCCACCATGCCTGGCCAATTTTAATTGTTTATTTTTTTAAAGACATTGTCAAGCTCTGTTGCCCAGGCTGGAGTGCAGTTGCTCGATCTCAGCTCACTGCAACCTCCACCTCCCAGGTTCAAGCGATTCTCCTGCCTCAAGCCTGATCTTTAGGTCTCCCCATCCCTAAATAGAGAAGGGACTGTGTGCCCACCTTTCCCTTTAGGGCAGCATCAGAGACATGACTGGTCAGTAAGACAAGGCTGGTCTTACTGTTCAGAGAATCCTCCAGCATGTGGCAAATATGCCAACCTCTGAAGTGTACACAGAGCAGAAAGAACATTGCACAGTTGCCACTGTTTGGCTAATAGTAGTTTTGCATTTTTCTTTTTATGCTCAGAAATCACAGGAACACCTTAGGCAATGAAGAGTCTGTAGGCATAATTAAAAACAGACTGCAACCTCCCTTGGGTATGGAAATGTAGAAGAACAATATTTCAGAAAAAGACAGAAAAACACTCCTAGTAACCCTTGCTAGTGATACACCAGGATCCATAGCCAGAAGAATCTGAAATGCAAAGCAAAGGCTTCAAGGCCTCATACTTTCCCTGGGATATTTTGTTCCTGTGGTCAGAATAGGAGCCCTAAAAAAAGCAAAGTAGTGGCTCCCACAGCATTCTTGACCTTTTGTCCTCTAGCAGCCTTGGGAACTGTGAAGGTGGGGCATGTGGACAAGACAATGGCTTTCTCAGGTCTGCCCAAGACCAGCCCTTCTGGACACAATTGTAGTCTAGGTTTTTGCTAAAACCATTGTCACTTTTTTAAGGTGTGACCTTGGGCAACTTTATACTTTTCTGGGCCTGTTTCCTTTTCTATAAATTGAGGGTCTCATTTTCATACTCCCCAATATTTTTATTCGTTAGTTCAACAAAAAAGGACCATGCTAGCTAGATGCTGGGGATACAAAGATGGGCAAAAGAAATGCCATCTGTGTCCATGGAACTTGTAGAGGGGGAGGAAGACAAACTATCACACATCACACATCAACACCCAAATGTAACATTGCCACCAGGAGTCAGTGCTCTTAAGGAAAGGCACATGATACTATGAAAGATGAGGCAGTAGAACTCAACGCTACTTCTTTTTAGCAAGAAGTTGTACAGCCTGTTGTAGCCATGGCCTGCTTCCTCAAACTCGGGCAGATGAAATGTGGCAGCCTGAACCAAGGCTCCTAGCTTTGACATTCTTGGGCTCTGAAGAAGTTCAGCTGTGTTCACAGAGGTGAATGCAAGCCCTGTGTACCAAGCCTTCTTATTGACTTTCCTACTGATGGGCTTTGCAGTAATGATATCTGATCTCAGCCCTGAAAATAAACTTGTGTTTAGTCCCCATGAAAGCCCCATGACAGAGTTTGGAACTTTTGCTGCAGAAACACTCTTCAGGGGTAGGCAATAGATCTCAACTCCATTTTCCCTTTCTATTCCCCAACAAAGTAGGCAACACTTTGAAGCCCTTCTCGCGTGTCCTGACTCCAAAGGAAATGGCTCCTACTGAACAGATGTGACTGAAGATTTTTTTAATTTAGTTCATAAAGTGATGCTACAACAGAATAATCACCATGACAACTGGCCCACACCTCAGAGACTGATTCTGATCTCCCAGGAATTCTGAAGGACCCTCTATCCTTGACAACAATCATTTGCAGCCAGGTAGCAACGGCGGTAGTCAGAGGAGCTATGATAGACCACACCCAAGCAAGGCTGCCCTCAAATAACATCTCAAGATCTTAGTTCTTATGCATTCCATCAGTCAGAAGTGAAGAAGAGGTGGAGAATCTGGATTGGGGACCAGGAAATCACTTGTATTTTGTTAGCCAATAAATTCCTAGCCAGTGTTGAATGAACTCCAAGGTATGAGTAACTTCTTCTAGGGTATCACTGTAAAAATATTTCTGGAAAAGTTTCTTTCAAAGAATAACGTTCTAACTCATTTCTGAATTGGTATCAAATGCTGCCCAACCCAAAGAAAGGGAGATAGACTAAATCAGTGGTTCTCAGATTCTTTTGGTGAAAAGGCCATTCCTCTCATCCTTAATGGGAAACTTCCACCTGACTAAAGGGATGCTGCTTTTGATCAATGAGAAACCAAGGTGTGATAACTTAAGTGAAATATTCATTCAAATCAGGAAATACAAATCAAGAACAAGACATCACAGCCATGGGTGTGAATGAGGTTATATTGCCATTCATGCCAGAATTACCAACACTCTTAGCTCCCACCTGCATATCTACACCCTCTCTCCCCATATAGGGTCTCTCCTGCTATTTCTGGGAATTCTCAGGGCCTCCCACTCACTGTCTGTGCTGCCGTCATCACAAGCCTGCTTTTCATTGTGTTACGATCTCTTCTAATGGGTGTGCTGGCCAGCCTCAGTCCTCAGGATACTCAAGTGGCCTTCTGGTCTGAGCAGAGTTGGAACAGGGAGGTTGTTTGTTGAAATAATTCTGCACATGTCCTGTGTGTTTAGATCCAGACTCCCACAAAATCGTTCATGAACACACTTCCTTCAGCTTCCACCCTAAGTCCTAATTCCCCAAAGGTAGGGAATTCAAAGCTACTCAACGGCCTGATGGGAAGGGATGAGGGTGTGGACACCACACCTCTGTGTTTCTGTACAACCCACCTCCTTGCCAGAGGCTCAGATCAAACAACATCAAAAGTGCTCTCTTTTCCCTTAGCCACAAAACAGCCCCAATTCCTCCCCTGTGGCCCTGTATTGAATTTAAACAAATGGGATCATTAACCCACCAGTTCTGCAAATAGCAATACAGTTTGGGTTCAGTTAGGACATTCCATTCTACAAGGCGAGATAGCAGACATAGACCTTCCGCGGCAGATGAAGACATCTACAGATGTCTTGGAAGATTTACATTCACGATGTCTGGAGAACCATTTCCCTGTAGGTTTGTTCTGATTCCATGATCCAGGATTCAAGAGCTTTGTTCTGCTCTTACCTAGCAAAGATCTTTGAATTTGGGGTCAATCATTTAATTACTCATTTTATCCTCCAGCAAGGCTGGCTGCATAATGTGAAGACAAAAAACAAGACGCTGTTTAGGGCTATACCATTAAAAAAAAAAATGGGCAGCTTCAAGAAAACAGGAAAGAGCAATTAATTTGATATTTCTTGTACAAGTAGATAGCCAAGTGACAGTGCTAGCCAAGTGACAGTGCTTACTCTACTCTTGTAGCGATGTTTATAAGGTGCTGGCCCTGAACTGGAAAGCTGATATGGCCTCTAGCTTCAGGGATGGCAGAATTGTTTGATGTCAGCCCCAAGTTTGGGAACAGCTGAAAGCTCAAGAGGCCTCCCTGTGTGCACTTCCTACAGTCAGCGAACGGGAGAAGGCCATTCCTGGGTCTCTGCTGCCCTCGTGGGGTGGCTGCCCTGGTGGTGCTGTGGCCACCTCACTGAATTATCTCCCTTAAACCTGTTTTTCTTCTAGACCTGTTCACTCCCACAGAGAGACTAATTTTTTTTTTTTTTTTTTTTTTTTTTTTTTACTCAAACTGTCTTCCACTGGCTTCTCCCTCAAAATCCAACTTCCAGGAGCAGTTGCTCTCTCTCAGAAAGAACATGCTGTCTGGATCACGTCACCTGACTCTTTGCCTTTCTCGTCTCCTTGACACCATAAGTGCTGTGGGGCGGCTTGATGTGGAGGCCAGATGCAAGGAATTTGAAGTCAGAGGACTTGATTTAAATTTTTGTTCTGCCATTTATTTTTAGCCAGATGTCATTGAGTAAATTATTTCATCTCCTTGGACTTCAATTTTCTTAACTTGATTTTGCAAATAATAATAAGAATTATTATTATTAAGACAGAGTCTCATTCTGCCACCCAGGCTGGAGTACAGTGGTGTAATCTTGGCTCACTGCAGGCTCAACCTCCTGGGCTCAAGTAATCCTCCCACCTCACCCTCCCAAGTAGCTGGGACCACAGGCATGCACCACCATGCCTGGCTAGTTATTTTATTTTTTGTAAAGGTGGGATCTCCCTATGTTGCCCAGACTGGTCTCAAATTTTGGGGCTCAAGCAATCTTTCTGCCTTGGCCTCCCAAAGGACTGGAATTACAGGCAAGAGACACTACACCCAGACCCCAAAATATTATTTAATGTATTTTTGAAAGATCTGTGGTGGATGCTTCTCTCCCACTCCTGCTTCCTTTGGTGTAGACTGAGCTCCATTAAGGCAACACTCCTCAGTGACCCCCCACCATGGGAGGTAGAGGGGGCTATCTGACATGGCAGACTGGGAATAGGAACTGGGCATACATACTTTCTTTCTTCCTCTTCCTCTTTTACTCTTTTGGGTGCAGATTTGAAAGAGCACATGAGCTCTTCTGCAACTCCTTAGGGGAAGGTTGAACAACTGCATTGCTTGTTGGGACGGGTGGGCTTGCTCTGGTGCAGCTTATAACTCAGTAGTGGAGTTCAGTATTCTGAACTTCTTTGCAGCTGTAGTATAAGCTCTATTCTCCAATGTTGACCATGTTCATAATAAAGATGATATTTTGGTTTCTGTCTGCTCAGTCCTCTTATTTATATCTATATGTTTAGGGATCCTCAGTCCCACAGGTAGCAATTTCCCCTCCCCAGAGGCCATCACCAAGACCATTCATTGTGTTTTCTTCCAGAGGTATACTAAATATATAGATACACATATACTCTACTACATGTGAGTAGAGCATATTCATAATTCTGTTCAACAGCTTGCAATATATCATAGATATCTGTTTTTATTAGAACATATAGAGCTGCCTCATTCTTTTTAATGGCTACATTGCACTCAATGAACCAGTCTCCTCTCCATGTACAATGAAGATTTTCTCGATCTTTTGCTGTTTCAGAGAATTGAGCATAATGTATAAACATGCAAACTCTGGAGCCAGCCTACCCAGGGTTGAGTTCCGGTGCCACTACTACTAGCAATGTGAACTTGGGCAAGTTACTTAACCTCTCTGTGCCTCCATTTCTGTATCTAAAATGAGTAATAATTGTACCTCACAGTGTTCTGTGAGGATTCCACGAATACATGCCACGCACTTAGAATCGTACTAAAAGTGTAATAAGCCTCAGTAAGTTCTAGCCAATTTGATTACTGCTGCAGTTCAAGTTACGTAGGCAATTTTCCATGTATTTGAGTAGGATAAATCCTTAGAAATAGGATTATTTATAAATTCTTAGAAAAGAATTTAGAATGTTGTTGGCTATTGCCAAATGGTCTTCTGTGGTAGCTGTACCAACGTGCTCTCCCACCAGTAGTGTATGTGTGTCTTGGTTCCCCCCAAGTCTTGCCCACACAGGTAGCAAACTTTTTGAATTTTGCCAGTCTTACTGATAGAAAAAATTATGTAATTTTAGTTGTAATCATTATTTCCCTTATTATGAGTGAAGTCGAGTATCTTTTCATATATTTGAGCCATTTATATATTCTTTCCTACAAATTGCCCACCCCTATCCCTTGTCCTTTCTATTGAGTTGTTCATTTTTTCCCCTGTTGATTTACAAATGATCTTTATATATCTATAAGATGCTTTGCAAGTGTTTTCTAAGCTTGTCATTTGCCTTTTGACTTTTTAATGGTACTTTGGACTTTTAATTGTACTTTAGAAGTCAAGTTAATCTTTTCTGGTTTCTGGGATTTGTGACATACATTCAAAGGCATGCTCTACAAAAATATTTTTAAAAATTCTCCCATATTTTCTTCTAGTGCTTTTATGATTTTTTTTACTGTTAAATTTTTCACATCTGGGATTTATTTTCATATAAGAAGTGAAATATGGATCCTACTTTATTTTCATTTACATGGTTATCTAGTTATCTTGCTACCACTTATTGAATAAACCAATTTCTCCCAAATGATTTCATATGCCATCTTCATCATACTCTAAATTTCCTTATATATTTTGATGTATTTCTGGTCTTTAAATTCTATTCAATTGATTTATTTATTCAGGTACCATTAACATATTGCTTTAATTAGTGATGCTTAATAAAACAAGTACTTTTAGTTAGCTACTAGGGCTAGCCTTCCCATATAACTTTAATTATTTATTTTTATACATTTTTCTGGATTTGCTGTCTTGTTTATGGTTTACATAGGAAATTTAGAGTAAGCCTGCCCGGTGAAAAATAATCTTATTGATATTTTGTTGTTGTTCACCTTTGGGAACTCATCTGATGATATTTTTAATGGGATTTTTATATGTGATTATTCATTGGGATTTTGGGGGAATTAATGTTTAATCTTTATCTTTGGTTCTCATATAATGTTGTTATGCATACCTCTTATGCTATAGGATGGAGGTAGAAATCTCCATTTGCATAGTGCTTTATACAGTAGGGACCTTGTGTTTGTGTAGAGCTCTTGGATGTATAGAATGTTTATGTATAAGATATTTCATTTAATCTTCACACTAAATATTAGTGGTAAGTGTTATCTCTGTTTTCAAGATGAAAGACTTCAGGCTTGAAAAGTTTAACAAGTTTGCCTAAATGAATGCTGCTAGTTAGTGGCAGAGTTTGGTACCTGCACCCCAATCAAATCTGAGCTTGTTTCCAAGTGCCATCACCTTTGGTGGTGTTTTTGGCTGTGAATGAGCTCTGGACTTTTAATCTTGACCTCTGGAGAAGGTGGCAGGAACAGACAAACAAATAATAAAGATGGAGGCAGCACTGTGGGGGGTTTGACTTTATTTGAAATTTTTGGTAGATTGTTCATTTGGTTGACTCCTCCCAAGTTGATTCATGATGCTGGGTGAATACTCTGTGCACTGAGCTCTGTACCACACACTTTGGAAGGGTCCAAGGAAGGCAGTCTATGCCCCCAAGGGGCTCACAGGCTGTCAGTTCAAGTGGGAGGGCCATCAATCTTTCCTCTGGCCAGGAAAAGACTGACCATTGGTCTCCAAAGATGCTGGATAGCATTGCCAGATCACATCTAAACAACTCCGACTGCAGTTTCACACAGGTGGTGGTCCAAAATTTGTAAAAAAGTGAAAGTGATGTGTGAAGATAGGGCTGAGATGAGAGGAAATGGATTCAAGCCTCATTGGAAAAGCTGAGTTAGTTTGTTACTTTAATTTGAGCATAGACAATGGGGTCAAAGTCTGCAGAATGGTTCTCAGCCAAGTGATTGCTCTTTTCTTCTGAGAGTTTGAAAGTTGTGCTGGCATAGGTAAGTGATTCCCCTGGGATGGATGAAAGCTGCAGAGGGAGAAAAAGGAGGAATGAGTGAGTCCAGTCTGGAGCAAAAGGTTGCTCTTTAGAAGCAACCTGAGCACTTTGGTCAAAGAATCACTTGCCCAGTGTCTGGAAATCAATACCACCATTCTAGCAGATAATGAAGAGTATGGAGGGGAATTCCAATGACGGTAGCCCTTCAGTGTCCCCAAAACAGTGTGGTCATCTTACCTTGGCTGGAGGATCTGAGTGAGGATCTGGGGCCTGGGGCTTGGAGTGATCTGCCATGGTGCCAGAAAGAAGAGGGACCCATCTCAGCAATGGGCCTGGGGAAATGGGAAGCCTCTCCCTTCGATCTTGGGTGAAGGGTGGGGTGGGGAGGAGGTGTTGGCAGGTGGGTGGGGGGCAGGGCGGAAGAAAAATGAAGGGATTTGAATCTTCAGTCTGCAGACAGGGTGGGCTAAGCAGGTTTTATCACACTGCACCCTCCCCTACCTCCTCCCATTACTCACTCATAGCTAATTCTAGTATCAATGGCAGAGAGAGAAGGGCTGTCCTATCCCTTGGAGACCACTTACATTTTCTGTAGCTCTTTATGATGAGGAAGATAAAGGCTATCAGCAGCAGTGTCAGTAGAACCCCAGCACAAAAGGCAAGGATTAAATGTTTTTTGCTGTTTTGGCAAAGAAAGGCAGGGGATGAACTGTTGGGCTTTTGAAGGCCTTTCCTAAAGAGTGAAACCTTTCCTGCCTATGGATGGACTCCTGAAATGGTTTTCACACTGATTAATGAACTTTCACCCAGTGGTTTTCAGCTTTTGCTTTTGAGTTTCACATCCATTTGAGGCCTCAGAGGAAGCTGTGGCCTCTTCCTCTCCCCCTCCCTCAACCCACACAATGTTCATAATTCCCCACCCAGCAAATTTTACCTATAAGCTTAGGGGATCCATGGATCTCTTGAAGCTTAGGGGATGCCAAATTAAGAGCCATACTCCTGAGATCACAAACTGACTTTGTTCTTTTACTGTTTCTAGTCCTTTCTCCCCAGTCTCCCTGCCCAAATCCCCAAGCCGAGGCTGTCAGCACAACATCAAATCCCACGTGGTACAAGATGAAACAGATAGGAGAATGCTCATTTACTTGTGGTGGTTAGAGAGACAGGGTGCAGGGCTAGTTGTTGGGGCTGCTGTGGAGAGAGTGCCTTGTCTTTCTACAAGAAAACACAAAAGGAATTAGTGTATCTGTCACTTTTCATGATACCCTTCCAGCTTAAGTTTCCCCAGGTGCCCCATTCTACCCAAGCAACCAGTGGAAATTAAGGATGGGGCTGCAACTCTTACAAAAATGAGAGAACATTGTTTTTTAGATTCCAAGTACTTTTAAATGAAAAATAGAACTTAAAAATCAACTACATACATGAAATACAAGCCTAGTGTTCCTTTGATTAAAAAAAAAAATCTCATATGTTGCTCTCCTCAAAGATTTTAATAGGAACTCCTGAAGAGATATGCTCCCTCTGGCCTAAGGAAAGCATCTCCCAGCTAGGGAGAAACAACAAATGCTTCCCAAAGTCCTTGGGGAATTTGACCTTGAAACTGCTGCCCTTTTATGTTTGCCCTTTTTGCAGAGCAGCTATTAGCAGTGCCTAGCCAAAAACAGCCACAGTGGTTTTCCCAATGCCTACACCACAAATAGGGGAGCAGGACCCACCTAGTTTGATATTGAGCAGAGACACCCTTTACTCAGATTTGGAGGGCCAGGCAGGTCTCTGTGGTTCCCCCTTTCACCCCTCCTGGCATTAAATTCTGTGTCCTGGTAAAATTGGATTCTTCCAGTTTCAGAAATGCACTAGCTAGTGCCTTTCCATTACAGCCCTTCAGCACAATTTCTAGTTATTTTAACTCAGACGTGAGGCAGGTAATTATTCCTGTCGTAAACTCACCAGTGTCGGGTTTACATGTGGAGCCATTGCCTCCCATGCTGTCATCCCCTGAGAATAAAACAAGGTATCTCTTAGAAAGCTTGGAAGGGAGAGCCGGCTTAAGGGCCAGCTCTGAGACTGTGATTGTCATATAAGAGTAGTAACAATGAGAGGCAATTTGTGGGTGTTCTAGTGCCATCAGTGGTCACAGATCACTCATCAGTGGTTAACAATTCTGGTGTTGTTTCTGCAGCTCAGCAGCCAGCCTTCAGGTTTGCAGGTCCAGAAATTTGATCTTATCAGGGCACCAAGAAATGACTGATTTCTCCAGAACTGATTCCCACCAACCAACTCACAGGAGACTGATGTATAAGCCGAAATAACATTAGGTACATGTTGGTGCAATCAGTGAATTTTGCCTATCAGGGGAACATATAAGAATGCCAATGAAAATCATAAATTTGCTTGGTAAGCACTGAACTGAAGTAAGTATGAGAGAAGATGAATGGATGATTTTTATATTGACTGCCAACTGGGTCTGATGTATCAATCTTACTCTTCCCTGGCATTGCTACATAAACTTTGACAAACTTGCTCTTGGAGACCCTTACTCTAGACCTCATTAGACACTTCTAATCTGTTCACGTATTATCTTCTCAAGTTTGCCAATATTCTTGTTTAGGCTTTATATCAAAATGTATAAAATATCTAAAGGCAGGAAAGTGAAATCACCCAAACTCCTACTACTCATTAATGTTTTTAGTGTCTTTCCTTTTAGTCAGACTTCCATGCATTTTTTAAAAAGCTACTTGAGATATTTCTTTTTATAAGAGGTTATATCTTCCTTTTACACTCAGCATTTTGCCATACACATTCTTCTATGTCACTAAAAACTTTTTATAACATTTTTTAGTGGTGATAGGTCTTTCCATTATAGCTATGTACTATAACTTGCTTAACAAATTCCCCACTTACTGATAGAATTGTTTCCATTTTTATTTAAATCAATAACAATGAAAGAGATATTTTTGTGCATAAAACATTGTATGCATCCCTGATTTTTTTTTTTAGGAGGCCAAAATTTTACTTTGTATTTAGGCAAACTCATGGGAAAATGTTTTGGCTTTGTTATTTCTTCTATATTTTAAGGTCATTTCTTTAAACAAATGTCATCAATTATTTATTGTTTTATTGTTCAGCTCTCAAAAGTTAACTTCCAAGTCCTTGGACCTGTGGGAGGGTTGGGAGAAGGACACCTCATCGCCCTGTACCTGTTACAATAGCAGCAACAACAACATTACCAAGTACCTTACAATTCACCAAACATTTTTAGATCATGCAATGTCAGATAAGAAAAGGGCCAACGGGAAAATGTGTTGAGGAATCTGAGCCATGAGAATAGGAGGCCCACAGTCCGCAGCAGAATCGGCAGTGGTAATTTTTCTCACACTTTTTGCTCCTTTTCTAACTTGTAAGTCAGTGGTGCTCTTTGCAGACCATCATAAAATATTGACATAATATTTTTAAAATATTGAAATATATGCTGGTGCTAAACAGAGTATGAGCTTACACTAGGCTTTGCCACTGGAGAGGTGGAAGAAGATAGGATCATAGGTTTCTGTAAAATCCTGAAATTCACAGTAGCAGTTCTGAATTTACAAAAATGTTACCATAGCCGCTGTGAAAACATTAGGCCACCCCACCCTAACTTTCACATAAATGGACAAAATCATCGTACAATACCACAGGGAAATAGCTACTCACAAATCCAGGCCAAGAAAAGCAGGAAATATATTTCCCTTTCAGCACAACCCAAACAGTTGGCAGAAGCATAAATTAAAATAGAAGCGGTGCTATATATACTTTTTCACGTTTCATCCAGCACTGGAGAATCTTACTGATAGCGTAAAATCCATCAACTTAATAGAACCATTCAAATACAACCCTTCCTGCATCAAAGAAAACAAGTGATAGAAACCACTAACAATTAGACGACACTTTCTTTTGGTGAGTGATTATTTAATCTAGATTAAAAGCATGTGGTAAATGCATTTACCTTTCAAGAAAAAGTCCGGTCATAGCACGACGCAGTCGTCTAAGACTGAGCATTTCACTTGCTTCCGTTACGGCTTCTATGTTTCAAAAATGACGAAATAAAGATTACTGCCCCTGCCACTGCCAGCATCACATTGTGTGTAGCAAAGATCTTACTAAACTCAACGGTAGGCTTCCTCTTTGAGGTCAACATTATGATTTATTTTATTTTTTGAGACGGAGTCTCGCTCTGTGGCCCAGGCTGGAGTGCAGTGGCGCTATCTCGGCTCACTGCAAGCTCTGCCTCCCGGGTTCACGCCATTCTCCTGCCTCAGTTTCCCGAGTAGCTGGGAATACAGGCGCCCGCCACCACGCCCGGCTAATTTTTTGTATTTTGTTAATAGAGACGGGGTTTCACCGTGTTAGCCAGGATGGTCTTGATCTCCTGACCTCGTGATCCACCCGCCTCGGCCTCCCAAAGTGCTGGGATTACAGGCCTGAGTCACCGTGCCCAGCCCAACATTATGATTTTTTAATCTTTCTTTTGTACCTTTTCTTTGTGTCTGACACATGAATGACAGAACATAAGGAGGCAAGACAGGTTTCTTGCTAATTAAATATTTATTAAGTGTTTACTTTAACCACTGTGCCAGATTTACTGTGGAGGTCGCATCAGTATGACATTGTCATCAAAAACCTTATAATCTCATCTATTCTAACCAGGGAGATGAGGCTGATAATGAAAAATGAAGAGCAAACAGTGCTAAGAGTTAAGTACTAGCTGTGCAGACTTCAAATGTGTTAAGAGTGTTAAGATCCCTTCAAAGGGAAGGCGAATCATTTCTTTATAAATATTTATTTGTAAAATAATATTAATAAATATACTCATTAAGTAAATGCTATAGGCCATACAGTGAGCTAGTATTATAGGGTTTTTTTTTTCTTTTTTTTTCTTTCTTTTTTTTTTTTTGAGGCAGAATTTCATGCTTGTTGCCCAGGCTAGAGTGCAATGTTGCAACCTTGGCTCACTGCAACCTCCACCTCCTGGTCTCAAGCAATTCTCCTGCCTCAGCCTCCCAAGTAGCTGGGATTACAGGCATGCGCCACCATGCCCGGCTAATTTTGTATTTTTAGTAGAGACGGGTTTCACCATATTGGTCAGGATGGTCTTGAACTCCCGACCTCAGGTGATCCGCCTGCCTTGGCCTCGCAAAGTGCTGGAATTACAGACGTGAGCCACTGTGCCTGACCAGGTTATATAGGTTTAATAACTGACCAGATTATTACAGGTTTTTCGGAGAGCAAGGCAGAAAAGTTCCTTGCCTCACAGACTCTACCACATAATTGAGAAGAGAAATGAAAAACAAGTAAATGATAAGTCAATGACACATTGTATTAAGGGCCTTGAGGGAAAAAAAAGAGTGCTAGCTAGACAGAATACACTGGGAGAATGTCTTCAGAGAAGATGGAGGACTGGGGAAGGCTTCTCTAAGGAGTGCACATTTCCACTTAGAGAACTCGAAGATGAGAAGGAGCTAGCCAGGCACAGAGTCTGGGGAAGAGGTTTCCACGTGGAGAAGAGTAACTCACAGCTGGCAGAGCTGGAGAAATCAGGCAAGGAAGTATTCAGGTAAACCTTGAGCGTGGATAGGCTTTGGATGGATGGAGGGAGAAAGGGCTGTGGGAGGGGTGCCCTAGGCCCAGGGTTGGTTGCTGAAATTCAAGTGATGTATTTCTGGGATATTAGCACAGTTCAAGAGTGGAACATTTTGGCTGGGTGTGGTGGTTGACGCCTGTAATCCAGCACTTTGGGGGGCTGAGGCAGGAGGATCCTTTGCGCCCAGGAGTTTGAGGCTACAGTGAGTCACGATCATGCCATTGCACTTTAGCCTGAGTGACAGAGTGCTTAAATAAATAAATAAATAAATAGGGAGGGGCATTTGGAGAGGGTGGGAGATGAAAAATAGTTGACTTAGATGGATTGCAGCCAGATGGTGGGGAGCTTTAAGTCCAAGCAAGACATATTTGAAATATTTAAAAAATAAACACTAAATATTTTTGATTGAGATATAACATGATAAACATAGCCTTTATGACAGATTGTACCATATCATATAAGATAAATTGTGGGTAGAGACAAAGAAGCTAGATGGTACGGTGATATTCTGGGTATTGTGTAGTAAGGGTATAGGCTGAAACCACAGGGATCATAAAATTGGAGGACATATAACTTGGGACCTGGATATTGGGAATAAAACAGTAGGATGAGTCAATGATTACTTCAAGTTTTTGAACCTCAGTTGCTGAGATAATTCATTTCTTCATTCACTTACTCCAAAACATTTATTGAACATTTACTATGTGCTGTGTACCATTCTAAGCTTTAAGGATATTATGACGAGCGTGAGGGGCTGCCTTCATGGAACTTTCAGACTAGTAAAGGAGGCCCTTACCACACAAAGAAATGGTAAATTGTGATTGTTAAGTGTGCTGTGAAGGATCAGGACCCTGTGCCATGGATGCCTACAACAGAGGGGAAGAGGACCAGGGAAGCCTTCCTAGAGCCAAAAAACATAACAAAATGACCCAACACTTAAGCTGAAATCTGAAATGTGAGTTGCAGTTCCACTAGAACAAGAGGAAGGGAAAGTTCAGAGGGAACAGAACATTTAAAAATCCTGTGCCAGAAGGAAGGTAGGAAGTTGAAGGGCAAAAAAAAAAAAGACTAGTTTGACAAAAGCTGAAAGAGGAAGTATGTGAGGTGGCACTGGGTTGTGGGCAGAGGGTGGAGCATGATGAGGATGAGGTTGAATAGGCAGGAAGGGGCCAGTCCGTCACAACTTTTGTCTTTAAGAGAAGTGGGTTTATCTGTACTAAAGATATTTAAGCAAGGGTGACATGATCAGGTTTGCATTACGGAACAATCACTAAAACTGGAGCAAACAGATTGGAAGTTAGCCAGAATAGATATGAATAGACCGGCTGAGAGATTACTGCAGTGATACAGTTGAGGAGGGTAATAGTAATGTGGACTAGGATGGTAGCACTAGAGATGAAGAGATATATATGGATTTGGGAGATATTTAGGAAGGTGGCAGCAAAAACAAGGGGGGATAAAAGATTAGACAATGATCAAAGATACAACCAAAGGGCAAGAAGGAGGAAGAGGAGCCACAGAAGGAAACAGCGGTATTTCAAGACTTAGAGGGAGGATTAACTAATTAATCAGACATTTAGTTAGCACCTACGAAAACACCCTGTCAAGCTCTGGAGGTTCAATAATGAGTAAGACAACAGTTCTTGACTTGCGGGATCTGTCCGTTGCAGAGAGACAGATATCTTCATTCATCTACAAAAGCATGTTCCAGACTGGCCAGTCACATAAATAAGCATAATGAAATATTGTAGATGTGAGACATCCGTACAGGATAGAGTGAGATGCAATGAACAAAGAGGTCAGGCTACACAATAAGGAGGGAGGATAGGTGTCAAGAAAAGCCTCATAGAGGAGACAATGTTTGAGTTGCACCTTGAAAGATGAATAATTTTCTAGGCAGAGCGAGGGAGGAAGTGTATTCCAGGTAGAGGGACAGGGTAAACAAGGGCATGCTTTGGCACGATGGTTGAGTTTAGGGAAATGCAAGTATTTCACCATAGGTGGTGCTATGGGGAATGAGGATAGGATAAGGGTGGGTGATGGAAGAGGAAAGGCTGGAGAGGATAGATAAAACCAGGTAATGGCGGGCCCTAAACATATTTTACCCGTATAGGCAATGGAAAGACTGCTGAAGAGGACTAACACAAGCACATTTGGGTTTAGGCAACAGAGTGTAGGGGGGACTGGTGAGGTGCCAGACAGTGGGTGAAGAATCCTTTGGTGTTGCAGAGTTCCAAGTGAGAAACTAGGATGATCTGAATAGCGGCAATGGCCATGGGGAAGAGGTAGAGCAGATAGGTGATGAGTCTAGTCATTTATTAGGTGTGAGAGGAAAGTAAGAGAGAGAGGGGATGTGGCAATAACTAGGTTTCCTGCGTTGTATCCATCAACTAATGTTGATAATATAAAATAAGGGGTTATAGGATTGGGAAAAAATAATGAGTTTAATTTTGGACACATTGGGTTTGGGGTGCCTGTGGAACATTTAGGTAAAGATGTTGAGAGAGCAGTTGGATGCACAGATCTGGGGCTCACAAAAGAGATCTAGATTTGTGTGGTAGACAGTACTAGTTCTCACCAATAACCAGTTCTCCTCTCCTTCTTGTGTGGAGCCTCCCTTGTGGTTGGGTAATGTCATGTGACAAGTTCTGGCCAATGGGTAGTGAATGAAGTGATGCATGTCTCATTTAGCCAAAGCATTTAATTGCTAATGCAAAACCTGCTCTGACCCCCTCCCACAACAATGGAGATTTTATGATGGGAAGGTGAAGGTAAGAGTTCTAACCCTGGATCACTGAGTCAACATATGGAGGACAGTTTCTCTGGGGAGTCACTTGGACCCCCAGTAGACTCTATATGAGCAAAAAGTAAACTTTTCTGTATTGAGCTACTGAGATTTTGGGTAGATCTTTTCTTTTCTTTTTTTTTTTTTTTTAAGACAGGTCTTACTATGTTGCCCAAGCTGGTCTTGAACTCCTGAACTCAAGCTGTCCTCTCACTTCAGCCTCCCTAATAGCTGGGATCATTGCACCTGACACGTGCAATGTCACACACCTATGATCCCAGCTATTGTCTCATCTCACTGAACCTAATCTATCTTTCCAAATACAATTTGAGGTATAGATTAGGAAGTCACCAGTATACTCATGATAGTAGAAGCCATGGGAATGGATAAGGTAATCCACGTACAGTATGTATTACAGAATGAGAATAAAATTCCTAGGATAGAACTCTGAGGAGCACCAAGATTTAAGAGGGAGGCAGAAAAAGTAGAGTCAGCTAAGGAAATTGAGAAGAAATGGTGACAGCAGAAATAGCATAAACATATGTGATTAGGAGCCAGAGGAGGAAAGAAAGGAAGGAAAAGCTGTGGCCACCTGTGCCAAATGCTGCTGAAAGAGAGAGGCCAATTAACATGAGGACTGGAAAGAGTTGACTGGATTTGGCAATTAAGAGATCATAATCTCTTTTGCTTAAGTAGCCTGGGGTTTGGTAGTAGTAGGAAATTTACCTTCAATGGGCTGATGAGTAATGGAAATTCCCAGGTGTATAGCAGATTAGGTATGTAAGGAAATCCTCTTGTTAAAAAACATAACACTTGTTGGATAAAATATTTTAAACACCATAATTTAGAAGCACATGGCTAAAGTAGATGTGGGAAATAAGAAAGTTGATTGAGACCTGAAATGGGTGTTTGCTCTGGATATAGCTACCAATTTTTGGTGACCTGAAGGTTGGGTTTAAAGGCCATGTGTGCAAGGTTAGGAAACCAAGTCTAGAGCCTGCACAAAGGTGGCGATTTGGATTGTACCCTCTGAAAAGGGACCCCTGGTGGGTGAATGAGGAAAAAAAATCCATGCCACAGATAGAGATGGTGGAGACCTTTGCTGTATTAGTTTTCTATTGCTGCCTAACATATCACACATTTAGAGGCTTAAAACAATACACATTTATCTTATAGTTTCTATGGGTTAAAAGCTTGGACATGTTTTATCAAGGTTCTCTGCTTCAAGGTCTCACCAGGCTGTAATCCAGGTATTGGCTGGGGTTGTGTTCTTATCAGAGGCTTGACTAGGAGAAGATATACTTCCAAATTCCCTCTGGTTGTTGGATGAACTCATTTCCTTGTGACTTACATGACTGAGGGCCCTGGCTTCTTACTGGTTGTCAGCTGGAGCCTGTTTGCAGGTCCTAGAGGCTGTCTACAGTTCCCTGCTTTGTGGTTCTCTCCACAGGCAGTTCACAACATGGCAGTTTGAATGCCACAGAAGAGTCTCTCCAGCCTGTTAAGACAAAGTTGTATATAACATAATGTCATGATGGAAGTGACAGCCTGTCACCTTTGCCATATTCTGTTGATTAGATGCAAGTCATAGATTCCACCCACATTCAGGGGAGGGAGGATTATACTTGCAGTAACACAAGGGAGCAGAGATCATGGGGCATTGTAGAATTCTGCCTGTCATACTTGCTTATCTCAAGCTTGGCTCTGGATAGAAGGGGACAAAAAGAAAAACAAAACAAAATACGCTTCCCTTGGACATTCCTAACCACAAACCTAACTTTAGGAGGTTTTAGGCCAGACTTTGTACTGTCTGTGGACCTCAAAATTCCAAGTTTAAATTGGTTGTTTAAGTTGGACGCTGGGAGAAGAAAATGCAAGTTATCTGTAGAAGAATGCCTCTTCGACCAGGTGTCAAAGACTTCCACAGACACATTTCCAATAAATATGAGCTAACAACAAGACAAATCACAAAAACACAAAAAGTAATCAAGCCATCATGAAAGAGACAGCAGAAATAACAAACCACAAATGTTAGAGACAGAGACCTGCAAAGGCTGTAGGTATAAGAATGATCAGATCCAAAATAAAAGTATGCTTAATATTTTTAAGTAAATAAAGTGGATATTGAAAGTGTAATGAAGGAATAAAAAAGTACTAAAATAATCAGGCAAATTTGAAAAGAAATAAGTAGAATGTAAAGATATTAAACCTATCATTGAAATTAGAAATTGCTGTGTTTGGATGTGTCCCCTTCAAAATTCATGTTGAAACTTAATCGCACTATGATGGTTTTGAGAGGGAAAGCCTTTTGGTAGATGATTAAGTCATGAGGACCTTGCCCCCTGAATGGATTTAGCATCCTTACAAAATGGCTCAAGGTTGAAAAGAGTCCTCTCTTGCCCTTCTGTCCCTTCTGCCACGTGAGGACACAGTATGCCTTCCCAGCAGAAGGTATAGAAGCAAGGTGCCATCTCAGAAGCAGAGAGCAGTCCTCGCCAGATACCAATCTGGCTGCCACCTTGATCTTGGACTTTCCAGCTCCCAGAATTGTGAAAAATTAATTGTATTTTCTTTATAAATTATCCAGTCTCAGGTACTCTGTCATAGAAGCATAAATGGACTAAGATAGAAATTCAATAGTGGGGATAAATAACAAGTTTAAAACATTTGAAGAGAAAAATAGTGGACAAGAAATATAACACAGACAACAATATAAAACATAGAAGAGAGATTAAAATATTAAAATTTCTAGAGTGATCATTATAACAGAAATAGAGTAACTCAAACTATTAGAGAAAAAAACAATTGGAATTAAATTAGTCAATCCAAAACAATGAATAGCAAAAACCAGAATAGGCCACAAAACAGAAAATATAAAATATATTAGTGGGAATGAATCAGAATAGAACAGCAATTGCTAATTACAATAAATGAAAATGGACTATACTCTTTAGTTAAAAGTCAAAGATTGCCAGATTGAATAAAAAATCTGCTATATACTGTTTGAAAATATGTATCTAGAACTTAAACAGCCATAAAGGTTGAAAGAAGGATGAAAAGTTACACCAGGAAAATGTTAACAAGATAGCTGGTATATTCATATCAGGCAAAATATACCTTAACGTAGACACTATTCGTTAAAAAAAGAGATCATCATTACATGCTGATAAAAGCTTAACTCAGTGAGAAGAGATAACAATTCTAAACTTATTTGCTTCTAGTTACCTAAACTATGAATTTATAAAGTAAAATTGACAGAACTATAAAAAAAGCCCCAAAACAAACAAACAAAAAATACAAACTTAACAGATCCACTGCCAAAGTAGGAAATTTAGTTTACATTTCTCAGTATTTGGTAGATTAAGCAGACAAAATGTTATAAGTATATAAATTTGTGTAATACAGTCAGTAAGATTAATCTAATAAACATATATAAAACCCTGCATATGTTATCTGGAGAGTACAGATTTTTTTCAAGAACACCTAAAACATTAAAAATTGAACACGTTGGAAGCCAGGGGCAGGTAAACTTTTTCTGTGAAGGGCAGATAGTAAATATTTTGGGCTTTGTGGAGCATATGGTCTCTGTTGCTAGTACTCAGCTCTGCCAACATGGTAACAAAGAAGCCGCAGACAATATGTAAATGAATGAGTGTAGGTAGCTATGTTCTAATAAAACTTTATTTATGAACACTGAAATTTGAATTTTGTATAATTTTTATGTATAATATTTAAAATGTAAAAATCATGCTTAGCTTCCAGGCTGTACAAAACTAGGTGGCAGGCCAGATTTAGCTCACAGGTTATAGTTTGCTGACACCTGTTTCAGGCTGAAAGTGACTCTCAATCATTTCAAGTTGATATCATACGGACCACATTCTCTGACCAGCCTGTAATTAAGTTAGAAATCAACAATAAAAAGAACTAAAAGAGCAAATATGTTTAGAAATTTCAAAAACATACTTTTAAGTAAATCATAGGTCAAAAAAATGATAATTGAAATTGGCCCTTTCTCACCAGTCTCCTTTGCCTGCTTGATTTCCTCCATCCAATCTGGCTGAGACAGCCCTCTCTTCTTACTCCATACAATTTTCCTATGTTACCTCAGCCATTCCCTGGACTTACTATCTATATGCTAACGATGCCCTACTTTATTTTTTTGGCCATTACTTTTACCAGATCTGAAGCTCATTTCCTCATGTTGCCAAAGAACCATCTAATTGTCAACTTATATTCAACAATAAAACTGAATGCAGTAGCTTCCCCCTTAAAACCTGCTTCTTCTCCTCTGTTTTGTATCTTAATTAACAGTACCACACAGCCAGAATCCTACGAGGCAATTTACATGCTTTCCTCAATCTCACATCCTCCTCTCCTCCTATCTAGAAGCAAGCTTTGTCAATTCAACTCTAAAATCTTATGGCAAGTCTCTTCTTTCTCATTATGGCCATTCTCTCCCAAGCCATATCAGGTCCTCCTTAGACTACTCTGATAGCTTCCTAGATGCTCCCGCCATCTACTCTTACTATTTTCTACAGTTTTACAGGGGTCAAACAGTTGTAAAAAGAAAACACAACAAAACATAAAGACAATTATGTAGCACAGACTGTATGTGGCCCTCAGAGTCTGAACCATTACAATCTGGCCCTAAAGAGGAAAAGTTTGCTGGCAACTCTTTTAATACATTATCCATACTTACCTTGCATAAAGTCTCTTAAAAAAAAAACTGGCTTTCCATTATTTAAAAAAAAAACAACATAGAATTCTTTAATATGGTCAAAAAGGCCATAAACATGCATAATCTGGATGATCCACTTCTCCAGCATTATCTCCCACACCCTCCCTTCCCCTGTGCTCCAGTCATTCATTTCTAGGGTTTTCAAGGTGCCATGTTCTTTCCTATCTCAGGCGCTTTGCACAAGGTATTAATATTTCCTCTGTTTGATGATCTCTCTTTTCTACAGATACCAATTTAAATATTACTTGCTCCAGAAGGGCTTTCATAATCTCCTACACTAGATTAAGTTTACTTATATATGCCCCTATCACCCTACAGTTTTAACAATGGCAACCCTTATACTACTCTATGTCTAGATTGCTAGACTGTAAAGTCTGTGGAGATGAGATGACATATTGTCTTATCTTAATTTCTAGCAGTAAGCATGACACATGGTATCTTTTTTTTATATAAACGATTGTTGAATGAGCTTCCTGTTCCACCACTGAAAAACTTCATTCTTTCAAGGTCCATCTTTATCTTTCTAGTTTCAATGGAAGATGTTTACCTTCTGTTAATTCCTGTCATCTGAATATTATTCTCTCACTTAGGGATTTTACTATGTGTATCCTCCTTCACTGTTTTCTTTTCATCCTCTTCTTCCATTGACTTTTTCTTCATTCAAGCCTCTTATCTTAAAACAACATTCCCCTGAGCCAACCTTTGGTTCCCTCTAGTTACTGGGGTGAGAAATGTTCTGGAAATTATTCTATATTTAAGTCAATTTCTTCATTGCTGTTCAATCCTTTTAACCCCATGTAATCTTCTTCTGTCCCTACCATTCAACCAAACAAAAACAAAAAAACCCAAAAAACCCTTTGGGAAGCTGAGGTGGGCGGATCACGAGGTCAGGTGATTGAGACCATCCTGGCAAACATGATGAAACCCCATCTCTACTAAAAACACAAAAAATTAGCCAGGCATGGTGGCAGGCACCTGTAGTCCCAGCTACTTGGGAGGCTGAGGCAGGAGAATGGCGTGAACCCGGGAGGAGGAGCTTGCAGTGAGCAGAGATGGCACCACTGCACTCCAGCCTGGGCAACAGAGCGAGACTCCATCTCAAAGAAAAAAAAAACAAACCAAAAAAACCCATTAATATAATTTATTAAATATTTATATTTCACTCAAACTTAAGAGTTTTTAAAATGTCACACTCTCCTACATCTATGCTGTTCCATCTTCCTGGACTCTATCTAATCCCTGAGACACCCTCTTGGCTAACTTCCAAATGCCAGCTCAGACACCATTTGTTTTCGAACCTGTCACTTTCCCTCTCTCTCTCTGTTTTACTTGATCTCCTGGGGCTGAAATTTTTAAGCATTATTCATTCAGGTTAACAATTATTGATAGGATAGTTATTGTGGTGGTTTGTAATGTCAGCTTGGTTAGGCAGAACTACATTTTCCAGAATTATCTTCCCTCAATGTTCTGGTTAGGGTAAGCCACAAGTCTTGAGCAAAATTTGGAGGATAAATGTGAAGCAGCAGCTGTTTTATAGCTCATACATGTGTTAGCTCACAAGCTGCAGCTGGACAACTTCCCATCCCTTCCCTGGATCACTCATTTCTCTAACCAGGTTTCTCTAAACCACATGTTTGTGTTGGATATGGGGTTACACAGGACAACCACTATCAAGGCCAGAGATGATAAAAACGGACATGGGTTTGTCTGTGCTTGTTACTTCCACTTGTTCTTAACTGCCTCCCATTTTACACCCGTCTTCCCTTAACTGACTGCCGTGTGGACTCTAAGCTCCAGCATCAGAAAGAACACTAACAGCTTTACAGATTGTTTAGCTCCCACAACAGCGTAGTCAAATTCCTTATATATAAACATATATTCTGCTTCTCTGACTGAACCTTGACCTGGATGATGTATATGAGGGAAACAAGAGGCTGGTGAGACTACCTAAAATGGTGCTTGCCACACTCTCAGAGCACCCTGTGCTCAAGTTTGTATTATCACATATTCTTGCTGTCTTCCTAGTAGATATTTAACTCCGAGGTAAGGACTTTTATCTCTGTATGATCACTGCATTACGTTGCTTAGCACAAACTAGGTGTTTTATAATTTTTTGTTTAATCAATTTGAAATAACTGCTGATCCAATCAAATTATCTTTAAGTAACAAAGATATCAATCTGATTTCAATATTAGATTAGTACATTAGCTACCAATATTGACTCAAATGATTATTACATAAAATCTTAGGAAGTCAATGAAAATAGCAATTACCCATGATAAATATTTTCAAATATTTCCTATTGCGTAATTTGTCCATTTGAATACAAATAAATCCTTGTACAAGTATGGGAGAATCAAATGCAGATAAACCTATGAAGGGAAGAATTTTCTAATTTATCTACAGGATTTTTCTTCAATTTAAAAAAAGATTGTAAAATACACATAAAATTTACCATTTTTAAGTGTACCATTTAAGAACAGTATTAAATACATCCTTAATGTGCCACCATCACCACTATCCAGCTCCATAACTCATCCTGTAAAACTGCATAACGTCCTCAAGGTTCATTCATGCTGTAGCCAGTGTCAGAATTTTCTTCCTTGAAGTGGAATAATATTCCATTGCATGGATATACTACATTTTGCTTATCCATTCATCTACTGATGGCCGATTGGGCTGCTTCTATGTTTTAGCTATTGTGAACAATGGCTGCTATCACCATGGAACACAAGTATCTCTTCAAGACCCTGCTTTTAATTTTTTTGAGTATATATGTCGACTGGGATTGCTGGATCATGGTATTTCCATTTTAATTTTATGAGGAATCACCACACTTTTCCATAATGGCTGTACCATTTCATATTTCTACGAACAGTGCACAAGTGTTCCAACTTCTCCACTTCCTTGCCAACACTTGTTATTTTCTATGTTCCTGATAGGTGTCTGCTGGATTTTTTTTTTTTTTTTTCTAGATGGAGTCGAGGTCTGTTGCCCAGGCTGGAGTGCAGTGGCGTGATCTCAGCTCACTGCAACCTTTGCCTCCTGCGTTCAAGCAATTCTCCTGCCTCAGCCTCCTGAGTAGCTGGGATTACAGGCGCCTGCCACCATGCCCGGCTAACCTTTTGTATTTTTAGTAGAGACAGGGTTTCACTGTGTTGGCCTGGCTGGTTTCAAACTCCTGACCTCAAGTGATCCGCCTGTCTCGGCCTTCCAAAGTGCAGGCATTACAGGTGTGAGCCACTGTGCCTGGCCTGCTGCATGGATTCTTAAGAGTGATTTTATGACACTCTGAGTCCATAATATTTTCTATAGGCATACTACTAAAATAATAAAGTCAATGATATGAATTGATATATAATACTCCATTTAGTTATTTTAAGAGTACTAGAAAGCTTTACATATCTCATAACCTATCAGCCAGAAACAGTTCACCACTGAATGGTCTCATAAACAAGACAGTAGTTCAATGACATCTTTAATTTTTACCCATATGACAAAAGCTGAGTATTTCAGAGAATTATACAACTTGAAAAACCCTGTTTCATTCAATTGTCACTTTATTGCAAGATGGTAGAATTAATTACAAATTTAAACTATAACCTGTTAATCTTTAGTCAGGCAGCAAGTTTTTATAAAGGCAAACTGCTTATTCAGAAGTGATCACGGAACAACTCAAAGGCAGAGCAAGAAGGATGAGAAACATCTGACTGGCCGATAGAGATTTCGTTCTCTCACTATATGAAACAAACTTTTCATTTTTAGGAAGGGTAAACTATAACTTCAGTAGACACCAACACAGAAAGACTTTGTCAAATAGACTAGTTTCCATTTAGTCAGTCAACTGTTTCTAGCTGTCTCAATTGGGATAGATACATTTACATAACTGGCTGTGCTTGAGCCTTCTTTGCCAGCAGCTTTAGGTCCGCAATGCACTTGGCAATTGTCTCCTTTTCCTGTGATAAGGAAAGAGAAATCTGGTTAGACCTTTCCAAAACATAGAAAAGTATAGAGTATAAACACCATTATTCTAAAAGACACCTCCTACCAGACCAGAACCTCAAGATGATTACTGGCTTAACACTATACAGCTACTAGACAGGTTTAGAAGTAAAATTAATTAACACAGAGGAGATATAATTTATTTTAAGCAAATCCAGGGGGTTAGTTAAAATTCCCTGGCTCACAGCCTTTATGGGTGAAACCTGTATAGAATTTGAGGCCAGATATTCCTGTAACCATCTGCCACTGATGTTGGCTTGTACAACCAACAGTTGCTTGAAAAAGACCAATTCAACAAATATTAGTAATATATAAATGTTAAGAATGAAAATAATTTTTAATCTCTTTTCTAGACTTCTTTTGTATTTTCTAAGTTTCTTAAGTAAGCATATATATTACTTTTATGTAAAAGTTTATCAAAAAAAAAAAAAAAACTTTGATAGACACTGTTTTTCTAATCCTGTATAGGTTATGCTGAAAACAACCAGAAATACTTAAATGTTATAAACTCGAGAAAGAAAAAAAAAATCAAGTCATATTAAAGCAAAAATATAAATGAAAAAAAATTAATTCAGTTTAAGCAAATAGAAAACATTTCCGTTCAAAACAGACAAGTTATGCAGGTGAAAAGAAGAAATGGAATGTCATGGAATTAGAAAATGGAAGGGGCTTAGAAATAGCCTTGTTCAGTCTTTTATTTATTTTTTGAGGCAGGGTCTCGCTCTCTCACCCAGGCTGGAGTGCAATACTGCAATCACAGCTCACTACAGCCTATGCTTCCTGGGCTCAAGAGATCCTGTCACCTCAGCCTCCTGAGTAGCTGAACTACAGGCGTTTGTCACCGCACCCAGCTACTTTTTAAATTTTTTGTAGAGACAGGATCTCGCTATGTTGCCCAGGTTGGTCTTGAACTCCTGGCCTCAAGTGATCCTCCTGCCTCGCCCTTCCAAAGTGTTGGGATTACAGGTGTGAGCCACCGTGCCCAGCCCAGTCTATTTTATAGAGAAATTAAATATATCAGTTAATGTTACCCAAATTTAAGGAAAGAGAAAAGCCATCCTGACAGGTATGCAGCATCTTCCTGCTTATCACTATCCAGAAAAACAAACCGGGGTTACACTGCTACTTCTAGGCTAAAGACTCCTTGCCAGCTATTCCTACCTTAACAAAACATCAGCAGATACTTGTTAAGAGATACCAGTACAACATCAGAACCTACAAAAATGTTGTGTACCTGCTGTGTGGAGATGCTTTGCACCACGTGCTTCTCCACCCAATTTATCATGTGTTCTTGTTCCTTTCGACGCATCATGTTCTGCACAGATATATGATAGTCCAGGCGATTCTTTACTTCCTTATATACTCTATACAGTCGTTCCCGGTAAGTAACTTCCAAAGCCATAGCAATGTTATTCTGGGGCAAAATTAAGAAATGATAAATATTGTTTGTATACTTGAAGGAATACTTCTACTCTGAAGATTCTGCCAGTGAGAATGCCCACTTCTTTTGTATTTTACGTGAAATTCTTTTATTTAATAGGTAATATGTACCTAGAAATTATAACAGCATATGGCAAAAACATATTTAAAAGTGATGCTGTATGAAATAAGTCTCCTTCAGCCTCCCCCATAGGCCATTAACTTCCTGTATTTCTTGTATTCCCTCCCAGAAATATTTAATAAAAATATAGGTATACCCATCAAAATATAGGCATATACACATCACTTTTATTAATTATGACACACAAACCTACCTCAATTTTAAGTTACACTGGATTCCACTATACTGGTATTCTATAATTCATTTTTTGGTACTACAAATAATGGTGCATACATTGTAGATTTGTCTTTGTGTTTATGTCATAATACTTGCTGGATCAAATAATAGTTAACATTTGTAGAGTACTGACTACACTCTAAACACTCTTGTGTTTAGATTCAATTAAACCTTGTAACCAAACCATGGCATAGTTATTATAATTGTATCCATTTTGCAGTGAGGAAACTGAGGCAGAAATTAGGAAACTTGCCCAAGGTTACAGAGCTAATAAACTGTGAAGCCAAGATCAGCATACAGGCAGTAAGGCTACATAAGGCCAAGCTCTTACATATCTCTACTTGGCTAACCCATAGGCATCACAAACCAATGCATACCAAACTGAAGGCTATTGGCAACAAGGCAATCAGAATGATCCTTCAATGACTTTCTCTCATTCAGAGTCCAAGTCAAAGTTCTTATAGGAGCCTAAGGTCTTTATATATCACAGTCCCAGGCCTCCCTCTATCTCCTTTTATTCTCCCCCGACCAATTCTACTTCAGCTGTATGGGCCTTCTTACTTTTCCTTGACTGTATCAAGCAAACTTCCAGGTTTAGGGCATTTGCAACTGTTCTTCCCTCAGCCTGGAACTTATTTCCCCAAAAATCCACATACTTTGCACTATTAGTTCTTTCAGGTGTCTGCTCAAATATCATATTAGAGACATTTCTTGAATGCCCTATAAAAACAGTGACTCCCTCCTCCTGCAATTTTGTAGAAAGGGGGTCTATGTTGCCCAGGCTGGTCTCAAATTCCTGGGCTCAAGTGATCCTCCCGCCTTGGCCTCCCAAAGTGCTGAGATTATAGGCATGAGCCAATGCGCCTGGCCTGCAATCTTTTTAATACTAGTTTATTTTTCTATCTGGCATTTATTACCTGTTGACATTTGCATCTGTTCAATTATTTATTTTCTGTGCTTCTCCCAAAGGCTGGCTAGAAAATAAGACTCCATGAAGGCAGAAGCTTTTTGTTCTCCACTATATTTTCAGCACTCTGCCTTGATCAGAATATCTACACAGGAAGAACTCAATAAATATCTATCAAGTAAATGTAAATAAATAAAAACCTAAATTACTATCATTTGACTCTTAGGAAAAAGCTACATTTTCCAATATGGTTTTTTAAAAAAGCCAAAATATATGTATGCATGCATTCACGTGTGTGTATATACTATGCAAGAAGCAGGAAGCATTCTCCCTTTGTAACCTAAATATACATGGAATTAACATTTTCTGAGATTTTCAAATATCCATGTGCTTAAGAGTCTTTAGGGATCTTGTTTAAAATAATACAGATTCTGGATAGCCCCTAAGAAAGGTTCTGATTCCATAAGTCTTGGAAAGGGACAAAAAAATTAACACCAAAGATAACTCTAATCCATGTGGTACCAAGACCACATTGGCCAAGATCCTAAACATTTCAGATGCTTAGTATCTTGGCCAATATTGAGAAATATTGGCCAAGATCCTAACTATTTCAGATGCTTACTCTACCTTAGCATCTCATTTTTCATTTCATTTTAATATAAAACTTCAACATAACAGCACCTCACTTTTAAATATTAGCCATAAAGTACAAGGCTCAAAATAAAAACAGTAATAACAAAATACTTGAACATATTCCTAAAGATTGTTTTGGAAGCTGCATATTTTAGAATCTAATCATGTTCTGACCATGATAAAAAGCTCTACTGCTATCTGAATTTGTTGTTTGTGTGTGTGTGTGTGTGTGTGTGTGTGTTTGAGAGAGTCTTGCTCTGTTGCCTAGGCTGAAGTGCAGTGGTGGGATCACAGCTAACTCCAGCCTTGACCTCCTGGGTGCAAGCAGTCCTGCTGCCTCACCCTCCTCAAGTCCTAGGATTACAGGTGTGAGCCACTGTGCCCTGCCTGCTTTGTGGATTTAGAATGTACAGTATCAGATTTCCTTACAGCAAAGATGTTAAGATGTTCTTGCAGCAAGTGTGTATGAAATACACAGGATGTATTTTACCTAGTCTTCCTTACACAGTGCATGCCATTTTTAAATCAGCTTTAACTTAATGACTATTTCATTTTGTGTGGATCCAAAATTTTTTTTAATAGCTTCTATAGATTCTAATTTTATAATAATTTGAACTATTTTTCCACTTGACAGTTCTTAAATGTTTGAATAGCCGTGAATGCCAACTCCTACACAAATCTTCTCTTTTCTAAATAAAATACGTTCAATCTATTTAACCATTCTTCATAAAAAATTCTGAATTAAAAAAATGCACACAACAAGTAACTTCATTCTTCCTAGAAACTTCTGAAACCTACCCTTTGCACATCAAAAAGGTAATGGCGCTTCTGAACCAGTGCCTGTTGTGACTTCTCCGTATCAATTGCATTCTGGATGTGTTGGATGGAAGCCTGCTTCGCCTCTTCTAGTTGGGCAAGTTTTTGCTACAATTGTGATAGCAACAACAAAGATCAGTGAAAGCACAAAGGGTAAAAAAAGGAGATTCATTTCATGCTTCTTCAAAGTTGTATATCTCATTTGTAAAAACACCCACAAAGAAACATAGAAAGAAACGCACAAATCCTTAAAAAGAATTGCCCATAATAACTATAGAATATCTTTTGAATGATTAAACTATAGAAAAGCTAAAGTGTTTAGTAGATATAAAAAAATTATCTCAAATTAGTAACTAACGTTAACACTTATTTGAAGCATTAGATTCATTTCTATATGTTGCTCCCCTAACACTCATATCAAAAATATCACTAGATGACCTTCATGTTTCTGCTAGTCTAAAATAGGAAATAAAGTTTATGGTTCTTACCTCATTGAGTTTATCAGCAAAGTCTGCAACAAAGGGACCATATTTTTTAATTCCATAGACCATTACACCTAGTACTGATAGGGCAGTGAAGGTCTCTGCGCTAATCACATATATTTCTTTGGATAAAGCGTACAAGATAAGCCCAGTTCCGAGTACATAGGGTCCTAAAAGAAGAAAGAGTTATTTTATGAAGGGATATGCTATGCCTAAAAGAGGGAAGATAGAAAGGTACTTCTATATTTGATTAGCTGAAGGCAAAGTAATGACTTAATTAGATTCAAAGACAAAACACTGGATTGGGAAGCAGTATGGTAGAGTTGAAAGAACAAAGATATGGACTCAGGGAAATCTGTATACTGACTCTACAATTTTAAAGAAACTGAGCAATCTAAATAATCTCTGAATTTAGTTCCTTATTTGTAAAATGGGGACAGTACCTTCTTCAGTCTGATAAATTTGAGAAATAATGTTAAGCACAATACCCCGCACAGTAAATTAAACTATTCTACAAAGATGTCAGATAACTTTCTGAAGTAATTTGTCCAGCAAAATATACTATTTATCGAATGGGACACTAGACCGGATAAAATTTACACAAGAAACAAGCAAAAAACAACTACAAAGTGATATGTATATAAAAGGATGAATAAATATTAGGATTCTCAATTCCTGTAGCACCTAATTACAATGCTTCAAATATGGCTTTTTCTTTAACCAGGCCATGTGTTCTGAAAGGATGCAAACCATGATTTACATTTATTTAGTCTTTCCTCCGCGCCTCACAGGATGTAAGGGAGGCCCAGAGCAGGCTTTTAGGAAAGCATTTTACAGTATTTCTGAGAATCATAGGATGGCAGGATGTATCATAAGAACAACAGGGTTACAAACTCAAATACATTTTACCTGGTTTCCCATACAAAGTTCCAACAGTTTTTTTTAACTGCCTTTAATATACAAATTTTAAATATGAATTTGCAAGAAACATCTATCATATGTAACATTGTTATCACCTATGGACGTCTGAGGAGACTAATGTTTCTAGCAATTTCAGTTAGGAAAATGCTACTTTAGGTGACTCCAGGGCTAAAAAAAAAACAATCTTCGGTTTCCAATGTTCCAGTCATAGCAATACTTGGGTATGGGCCAAGAAAGGCAGTACATGTAGTAGAGAGAATCATAAACTTAATCAGGGGACTCTTGCCTTACATGGCTTCATTTTTATTCGTACCCTTTTCATTACCTAACAGTATATTATACAGTTACTCATTTCTTTATTGTCATCCTACAACAGAATGTATGTTCCAGGACAGCAGGCACTTAACACTGTTCAACACTGTATGACTGCAACAGTGCCTGGCATAAAGCAGGCATCAAAAAATTTGATCTACTAACAAACAGAGATAATGCTGTAAAATTAAGTTAAAATCCCAAATAAATTTATACCAAAGACAAGTTGGAGCAATCAAATCAATTGTTACAATTTCCTTTTAAAAATAGCTGACTTGCGGCTGCAGGCGGGTGGCTCAAGCCTGTAATCCCAGCACTTTGGGAGGCCAAGATGGGTGGATCCCACAAGCCCAGGAGTTGGAGACCAGCCTGGGCTACATGGTGAAAGCCCGTCTCTACAAAAAAATAGAAAAATGAGCCGGGTGCACGCCAAGTCCCAGCTACTCGGGAGGCTGAGGTGGGAGGATGACCTGAGCCTGGGGAGGTGGAGGCTGCAGTGAGCTGTGATCTATCACTCCATCCTGGGTGATAGAGTAATACCCTGTCTCAAAAAACAACAACAACAACAACAACAACAACAACAAAAACCAAAGAAGAAAACCCACCTAACTTGATTTTAGTGGTGCCATCAAAACATATTACCAGAGACTAGGCAAAAATGCTCACCTGTTACACCAGTTTTAGGATAAAGAAACTGGAAGAATTCCTCAGGGATCAGTCCATAACGAACTTTTCCTCCGTATTCAGGAAGAGGTGGTACAGGGACAAGGTGTGGCTGCCCTGTATGAAAGGTCCTTGTTGCCTGCAATACCCTACAGGTAGTAATTGTACAAATGTAAAGCCTGTTTCTTTAAGGAGAATACAGTGTATGAATAATGAGCAGAAACAATAAATAGGGTTGATAATTGAGGCAGTTTTCTAACTCTCATAATGGAAAGAGAATGGACTGGGAATGGGAAGGTTAGGGTCCAGTAATCAGCTGTGACAACAGCAAAGAATTAATCACAGACATTTAACCTTCTACCCAATACTGGAATCCCTTCTATCAGCCTTGCAGATCATCTGTCTAGCACTTTGTATGTCTATCATTAGCACTGAAATATGTAAGAATGTGGACGTGGCGGTCAGATAGGCATCTTGAGTTCAAATCCTAGACCTGCTCCTTGACTTTGAGTAAAGAACTTAAGCTTTTGTAATCTCAGATTTCTCTCAGTAAAATGGAAATAGAAGATAATACCTTATATGGTTGTTGAGAGGATTAATTGAGTTAATATATGTGACGTGCTTAGAATGATGCCTGGCACATGGAAAAGTTCTACGTAAGTGGTTAGCTATTATATGCCTGATATGTTGTAAGCTCCTGGACCTTTTTGAATACTCTCTTTGATGAGAGTGCTAAACACTATATGTAACAGACTTTTTCAGTACTGGGTAGCTCTAATTATGTTCATCTTTGAATTGAGATGATACATACATTCTTGGAACCTCAATCCATTCTTAGTTCTAATTTTGCTTTTCTATGTAAGATAACACACATGTACCTGGGTCAAACATCTGTTCCCTCACAATCCTGATTGCCCGTAAGGACTTCTCTGGTTTTATCTTTTTTTTTTTTTTTTAATGAGGTATACAGAACTGAATATAATACTTTAAGTATAGTCTGGCCAATTTATTCATCCTACAAATACTTATTGAGAACTTACTATTGCCAGTACTGAGCTTGAACAATTGAACTATTATCAACAGTGGATTTGGAAACTATTCTTGTATTAAAGCAGCTTAAGACTACACTTTTAACAGTTACAGCATACTGATGTCTCCTTAAGCTTCTGATGAAATAAAATCTAGTCCCTTTATATCTGCTGTCATTTAGTCTCCTTCAAGTTTTCAGTGTATTTCTGTCCCACTTCCTACCCTCCATTCCTCCAATCTCTCAACTTCTATCTCCTTGTAATATAAGAATTTACATTATTTCATTTATTTTGGTACAATGCTTATCTTTTGAATATTATTTCTGCCTCCAAATATATTAGCTACCCCACCAGGTTTTGAAATCTGAGAATCATGCTTGAGATTCCTTCATTTACATCAAGGTTTCTCAATTCAGCACTACCGACGTTTGAACTGGATATTTCTTTGTTGTAAGAGGTTGTTCTGTGCATTGTAGAATGTCTGGCAGTATCTTTGTGGCCTTTATACAATAGGTACCAGTAGCCCCTCCCTCCCCGACCCATCCTATGGTAACACTGAAAAATATCTCCAGACATTGCTAAATGTCACCTGCAGGCAAACCACCCCAGGCTAAGAAGCACTGATTTAAATCATAGCACTAAATGGTATGCTTAGGCTGACAAGTCTCCCTAACTAGCTACCTTAGTTCAAGTCCTTATCACCTCTTGCTTAGTTTAACAATACAAAACCTGGTCTCTCTGCTTATTTTATTTATTTTTTTGAGACAGAATCTTGCCCTATCACCCAGGCGGGAGCACAGTGGCATGATCTCAGCTCACTGCAACCTCCACCTCCCAGGCTCAAGTGATTCTTGTGCCTCAGTCTCCCGAGTAGCTGAGTAGCTGGGATTACAGGCGTGTGCCACCACACCCAGCTATTTTTTTTTTTTATTTTTAGGAGAGACGGGGTTTTGCCATGTTGGCCAGGCTGGTCTCAAACTACTGTGATCTGCCGTCTCGGCCTCCCAAAGTGCTGAAATTACAGGCGTGAGACACTATACCTGGCCTCTGCTTCTTATTAAATACCCCAACTTAAACCTAGCCCACTCACATTACTGCCAATGTTTCTAAAATGAAAATCTGACTTGAAAACTCAACAGGCTCTCTCCTGCCTACAGAAAACTACTTAATATAACATACATAATCTAGTACCTGTCATTTTTTTTTTTTTTTGAGACAAAGTCTCACTGTGTCACCCAGGCTGGAGTGCAGTGGTGCCATCACTGCTCACTCGCAGCCTCCACCTCCTGGGCTCAAGCCATCCTCCCACCTCAGCCTTCCCAATAGCTGGGAGTACAGGTGTACACCACAATGCCCAGCTAATTTAAAAAATTTTTAAAAATTTTTGTTGTTTTGTTTTTGTCTATGTTGCCCAGGCTAGTCTTGAACTCCTGGGCTCCAGTGATCCTCCTGCCTTGGCCTCGGGATTATAGGCATGAACCACCACTGTGCCTGGTCCTGCCAAATTTTATAACCTTATCTTCCTTCATTCTCTTACTCTCCTGGAATTACTTAACAGCTCTCAAAAACAAACAAAGAAACACCACAAAAAAATTGCCTTATGCTGCTCCTTCTGCCTTGTATGCCCTTCATACCATGACTTTATAGCAATGACTATCAAGACCAATCAGGAGCAATGACTACCAAGACCAATTAGCCTCCAGATTTGTAAAGCCCTCCCCCCATTTTGGGCTAACATTCATTCTTTTAATCAATTAAAAAAAACATTTACTGACTTTCTACTAATGCTAGGCACCGGTAACATGGCAATGAACAAAGCTCCAGCCTTCAACATTCTAGTGGGGGTATGGGAAGGGTGAGTGTGTATCTCCATACAAAATTTCAGGCAGCTCTAAGTGCTATGGAGAAAAACTGAGCAAGGTAAGCGGATAGGGAGCAACAAAATGGGGAAGAGTTTTTTGGTAGGGAGTCAGATGACATTTGACCCAATCATCTGGGGAAAAGAGAGAAGAGCAAGTAGAAAGATATTGAGGCAAGAATGCGCTTGGTAGTTTTCAGAGGAACACCAAGGTTGGAGAATGAGCTAAAAAGAGACCACAAGGAGATGGTGTCAAGAGATAGGATGGAATCAATTCATGTTGGACCTTCTGGGTTATGCTAAGTTTGGATTTTATTCAAGTGGGATGGGGAGCTCTGGAAGGCCTTGGTGGGGGATTGACATAATCCTCCTGGCTATTATGAGAATGGGCTGTAATGGGACAAGAATAGAGATGCAAGACTAATTAAGAGACTACTAAAATACCTAGGTGAAAGTTTATAGTGGTTCCTACTTTAGCGGTAGTGGAAGCAGCAGTCAGAGTCCAAATTTCTAGAGGAAGAGCCTTGCTGAGGTACTGGACATGGAGTGTGAAAGAAAACCAAGGATATTCCTTGTATCTTGTAAGTATAAGTTATTTACTACCTGGTATTACAATTATTTGTTTACCAGTCTGTATGGGGTCCTTTTTCTTCTAAGTTGGAAGCAGTCAATTATAGCCTTACTTTTTGCATACATGAGACTTAATTATAGATAAGACCACTTTTTCAAGTCCATTTTTTTTCAATTTGAGTTACCGTATTTTGCAAGCTTTAGAACTAAGTTTGGAAGTAAAAAGAGAAATCTCTAGGAAAATGGACATGTCTTATGGAACAATTTTAACGGTAACAGCTGCTAAATTTACTAAGCACACGCTATGTACCAAGAACTGTTTTTGAGTTTCACAGCAATTGTCTCTTAATTCTCAAAAGCCACAATGCACTATTATCGCCATTTTATAGATGAGGAAATTGAGGTCACACAGCCAGTAAGTGGAGGGGCCAGGGACCCTGTACTGGCTGTGGAGCCCTCACTCTAAACCAATACTCTTAAGGTGCCTCCCATTCCTAGACTGTGAGCTCCATGAGGGCAGGTAATTAGCCATACTCATTCTTGTATCCTTGGTTATGTTTTTAGGCAACATAAATATTTACTGAATCAATGAATGATTTCTCTGATTGTTATCATATGGCAGCAAAAACTAGGTATCTGGGAAACCGACTGTAAACAACATGCTTTACTGTTTTATTGAACAAAATTTATTCTTGGGTATGTCATCTACTCGGATTCAGGCTGTGGAAGCTACATGTCATAAGGTCCCAAGGGAAGGTCACAAAGGAGTAGGGCGGGTATAGAAGACAGCAAAACCAATTTCTAGTTTAGTTAGAATACGTTACTTATCCTGCTAAAATCTTGGTCATTAGGTGACATGAGAGCGTTCCTGGCAGTTACAGGAACAAGTGTCTTGTCTGAAAGAGGGTTTAAGTGTCCCAAAATTATCGGAAAGAAATTTCTGACCTAAAGCTAAGGGGGTGGGGGCAGGAATCGGGAAATAAAAGGTAGTGAAAACAAAGACGAAAGGGAGCATTATCCTCACACTTACCCTGGACCTAGGAAGGCTGCATTCTTCAGAGAGGGGGCTGCAGATAGACAAGGCGAAGGTCAGCAAAGTCAAATGAAATCTGGTTTGCCCTTTCCTTACCCCCGCCAGGCTCTATCACTAAGCCTATGTACCCCTCTTTCCCGTCCCTCAAGACCCCACGCTCCCTTCCGAACTGCACTGACCACTCGCCTCTCAGGCCCGTGTCGCTGCGCCCTTCTCCCCTCCCTGTCACCCCTAGATTCGCTTCTTTCCAATCACTCTGATAGTCCAGAGCAGGGTCTATACCCCTTACCCGCTGTGGCGGCGGCGGAAAGTACCACCCGGGACAGCATGGTCAACGAAAGTCCAGGTAGCAATCTTAGCGTCCCTGTGACCCCGATAGGAGAATCTGTCAGGGCAGGACCAAGATGGCCGCTCACAAGTCTCGCGAGATGAAAATTTTGTACTCTTCCTTCAACTTTCCTTGGGAGATTTTTAAAAAAAATTATCGCGAGAAGAGTCAAGTAACGCTGAGAGCCTATCGCATGAGGGCGACAGCCGGAAAGCAGGATGGAGCCATAGAAGCAATTCTCGCGAGAAGTAGAGTTGCGGTTCCCTCGGGAGAGGGGCGGAGGCTCAGAGGTGCACCACGTGGGGTTTGCTGCCGGAGCGGAGTCTCCGGCCGGCGTCCAGTTTGAGTCTAGGTTGGAGTTGGAACCGTGGAGATGCGGAAGGAAACCCCACCCCCCCTAGTGCCCCCGGCGGCCCGGGAGTGGAATCTTCCCCCAAATGCGCCCGCCTGCATGGAACGGCAGTTGGAGGCTGCGCGGTACCGGTCCGGTGAGCCGAGATCCCGGGCCTGGGAGCTCCCTTACCCCGGCCCAGGGCGCCCCTCCCCGGAGACTGACCCTCCCAGCCCATCCCCGCCCTGCATGTTATCCTGACCCTGGGTCGCGTCACCGAGCTGTCCCCAGCCCTGCCCCGCGTTCCTGAGCTCAGATCCAGACCCGGCCGGAACGCTGTTCTGTGCGGTCTCCATGGAGGCGAACCCTTCTACCCTTCACGCGCTGACAGCTTGTACCCCCCGTAGATGGGGCGCTTCTCCTCGGGGCCTCCAGCCTGAGTGGGCGCTGCTGGGCCGGCTCCCTCTGGCTTTTTAAGGACCCCTGTGCCGCCCCCAACGAAGGCTTCTGCTCCGCCGGAGTCCAAACGGAGGCTGGAGTGGCTGACCTCACTTGGGTTGGGGAGAGAGGTATTCTAGTGGCCTCCGATTCAGGTGAGTCACTATCCCATTATCCACCCCCACCCCCGGGTGGAACGGTAGAATGGAGACTTGGGGTACCGTAGGGTTGAGCTCAATATCTAACGTCCTATACTCAGTGCTTGGAGGAGCCTGAGAGTGTTGGCCCCGAATGCAAACTCTTGTGTAGGTGGGAAATACCTTTTCTAAAATTCTAAATTGTCTGGTGAGATTTCCTAGAAAAATCCGTAACAAAATTAAGCAACGGATTGGAACCATTTTTCTTCTGTGTAACCTGCCCCTTAACCCCCACAGCCCAGACCAAGCATAATCTTGATTTTAAGATGACATTGAAGCCAATCTGTGCTACATGTCTCTTCCCATTTCTTACCGCTTTCTTGTCTTCATTCTGCTTTCTTTTTGTTGACTGTTAGGCTTAGCGATGCAGGCTTTGGCTTTTTTTTTTTTTAAAATCAGAATTTGGAAGTTGGCCGGCATTGCATGGAAGTTTAAAGTCCCAGTTTTTGATAGATTTAACCTCTCTGACAGTTGAGCTTGAACACTACATAATCAAGACAACTTTTGGCGGATTCTCTATACTTAACCAGTCACTGTGCAAGACGTTCAATTATTCAACATATTTTTAAAGACTCTGCAAGACATTTATTCAACTAGTTCAGCAAATACTTACTAGTGTCCAAATATTGGGGAAGTGTTAACATCACTGGATAGTGTGCTGCTTAAACAGTTGTGGAAACTTCATCCTTGTCCCCTTGCAGCTCATTTTCCATATTCTCTCACTAAAAGCAGATAATGAATTTTACAGACTGTTCCATCTTTGTCTTTTTCTGGAAGCTTTCTGCACCTACTTGTCTGGGCTGTCATTAGGAAAACAGTAACGCAGAATAAAGTCAAAGACTCAGAAATTAGCTGAACTCTCCAATGATGTGGACTTTGCTTTTACAGGAATAACTAACTTACTTTGTTAATTTAGTGACAATGGCTCTTTGAATCCTAGAAGTGAATTACTGCCTTGGTATAATCCAAGCTCATGTTTTCCTTACCCTACCCCCAACAGGTGCTGTTGAATTGTGGGAACTAGATGAGAATGAGACACTTATTGTCAGCAAGTTCTGCAAGTATGAGCATGATGACATTGTGTCTACAGTCAGTGTCTTGAGCTCTGGCACACAAGCTGTCAGTGGTAGCAAAGACATCTGGTGGGTCCCTGTTCTCATTGCTCCTGTCTCTAAGCCTCCTGTGGGTGCCTTTCCTATCCTGTTAACCTCATTAGGTAACATTTTGGGCTTATTCTAAGAATCCAGTGACTTATTTTAGCATGTCTATAAGGTTTCCTTAGGGATTTTGCAGTCCATCGTAAGTAGACCATAGCAGCAGTCCAAGAGGCAAAGACTTGGGGAATGTTGATTACAGGAAGTTCTTGTTTGAACACGTTTTTATGTTGATAGTGTAGGTCAAGATTAAATGTCTGTTTGCTTTTGCTTCTTAGCATCAAGGTTTGGGACCTTGCTCAGCAGGTGGTACTGAGTTCATACCGAGGTGAGTATTCTTTCATTTTTAGCCCTGGTGTTAGCTGTTGTGTTTTTGGACTTTTTGAACTTTGCTTTGATGTTAGGAGCAGCAATTCCATGTTCTGATAGTTTTCTTGTAAAACAATAGTCAGGCTCCGGTATCTACTCCTTGTCCTTTTCTCAATTTCCTTGTTTCTTTCTTTCTTTTTTTTTAATTCGACTAGTCAAGTGCAGTAGTGAAAAGGGAGGAAAGAATAGAACAAGGAGTTTAATCTGTAACTGACTGAACAATCAACTGAGATAACTCACTACCTTCAGACCAGCCAGTTTCCCTGTTTCTATTGATGGCCTCACCACCTTGGCAACACAGGGCTCAAACTCGGTCCTTTTCCACCTCTTCTGTTTTCCCACCATCGGTTGGCCACTAAGTTCTTTTTAGTCTTTTCCACTGGTCAGTCACCTTCCTGTCCATTTCTATGCCCGTATTCACTTTCAGGCTTTACCTTACACAGGCAGTGGCACTCATCTCTCCACTAGCAATCTAGCTCTTTTGGTCTTTTATTAGTTTCTTGTGGCCTGTGGATTAAAATCCCATTTTCTTGTCATGGCATTGAAGCCCTTTTACTCCATTTCCTCTCTTCAAGCTTACTAGATCCTTGACATTCTTGAGGGATAAATCTTGAGACTTTTAAATCTTGAACTTTTGAGTATTTACCTTCATAAAATGTCTGTTTTCTGGTGAGAACCATTACTTTTTTAATGCCCCTCTTTCTGCTCACTTTCATTAACAGCACTAGTAGTTAACTTTATCTTGGGAGCCATTCTTTGTGAAGATAATGTCTAGAGCCTTAATGTGTACATGGTTCCAAGGTTTAGATGCTGGGGGATCACTGTGGTTCTCTCAATGGCTAAGTGCCTTTCCCTGCCATTTCTAACTTCAAAGTACATGACTAAGTTATAGGCCAGAGAAATCACTGACTCATATCCAAGGTCCAGTATCCTGGACCCTCAGGGTCACTTGGAAATAGTTTTACAATAATGTTGAATGCCCAGCTGTGCGCAGTGGCTTAACGCCTGTAATCCCAGCACTTTGGGAGGCTGAGGCGGGTGGATCATATGAAGTCTAGGAGTCAGAGACTAGTCTGGCCAACATGCCGAAACCTTGACTCTACCAAAAAGTACAAAAATTAGCCAGGCGTAGTGGTGCACATCTGTAATCCCAGCTACTTGGGAGGCTGAGGCCCGAGAAGTGCTTGAACCCTGGAGGCGGAGGTTGCAGTGAGTCGAGATCACGCCACTGCACTCCAGCCTGGGCAACAGAGTGAAACTGTCTCAGGGAAAAAAAAAAAGTCAATGTTCTATGTCTATTATATTTGCTTTTTATTTCTTAGACATATGATGTGCTTTCCTGGTTAATGCTAACTCTTTTTCAGCATTTCTGCCATGCAGCCTTTTTGTTAGTTCTTTGTGTTTGTGTCTTATTCCCCCTGCTGAATTCCAAATCCTTTATTATTTTTCTATTTTTTGTAGAGACAGAGTCTTGCTATGTTGCCCAGGCTGGTCTCAAATTCCTGGGCTCAAGTGGTCTCCTGCCTTGGCCTCCCAAAGTGCTGAGAGATACAGGCATGAGCCACTGCACCCTGCCCCAAAACCTTTGAGGGTAGAGGAACCATGTATTCATCTTTTGTACACCACCATGGTGCTTGTCCCAGAGCTTTGCTTTTTTCAAGTGAGCAATAAATTCCTTTTCTTACTTCTTATCCTGTTGGCTTTCTATGAATTCTAGGGCTAGGAAAGAACTATGGAAACTGGTTTAATTCCATCCTTCTGCCTCAGGGAAGGGCCACATTCAGACTACCTGGGAAAGTCTGGTAAAATGACTGTAGAAAAGGTTTCCACAGCTTCTAATTAACATGTAGCAGTGACTTTAAAGTTTTTTACATGTAGACCTCCTAAAACAGTTTTGAAAATCTGTGCCCCCTCATACATTTTTAAACTGATACCTAAAAATGCTTATTTAAGTAGTTGCAGAGAAGGTAATTTCTGGCATATAATTTATTGTGTGCTTATTTCAAGCATATATTTGTCAAAATTTTAGATTCGCAGGTTAACGCTACTTAGTTTGCATGAATGTCTACCAAACAGCCTAACTGGCAAAAGCCAGTCTGCATTGTAAAGCCAGTGGACCAAGATAGACTAAATTTTCTGTCAGAAAAAGTCTGACTTTGTTTTTAAATTCAGATAAAGTTGTTGAATATGTCCTTATCACAATGATCTATCATATTTTTTAGTTCTCATTATTAGACAGAAACAGAGTTAAGTCACAGAGCCATACTTGTGTTTGTGGTGTGACTGAAACAAGATCAGCCCCCTTCATTGAATTTTACCTAGATGCTCTTTCTTTTTGCTCTTTGGTTCTTATGGAAAAGCCCCTTTTGTCCCTTAGTTTAGAACCCTTATATTTTTATACCCCTGAGCATTGTAGCGTGGAAAGATCTGGGATGAATGACAGGTATGTGTTCTTTCTATGAAGTGGGAGAAGAGTGATTGAAAACAGAGGCAGTTCAATTTTAAGAAAGAGAACATTAGAGAAATTGGCTCTCTTAATACTATTAGCGCCCAGAACTCCCTCAAAAGTTTTTGTATACTACTTGGAGGTGTGTGTACTCCAGTATGAAGACTGCTATTCTAGAATTATTTAGCCCTCACGTCTAGGATGCCTAAACTGGAAATTCCTTTGTTATTCTTACTAAGCCCCTAATTTCTCATTCATTATCTTCACTAATACGTTTTTTTTTTACAAGGCTTTTTAGGTTTTATAAGTCTATAAACTTCTCCTCTTAGCTTTTGTCTAATCCATAATCTCCCACAAAATTTGTTAAATTGCATCATGAGACCAGCCCTCCCTCCCTCCTGCCCCTTGATTATTCCTGGGCTGGCCCTCTAGTAATGCTTCAGCTTGTTTTCTATCATATTTCTCTTTCTCTCTCCTTTATAGCTCATGCTGCTCAGGTCACTTGTGTTGCTGCCTCTCCTCACAAGGACTCTGTGTTTCTTTCATGCAGCGAGGTAAGAGATAGCTCCTTCTTCCCTAAACACACTCCAGCCATCCATAGGCCAAAGTCTCTAGTGGGGAGACTTTCTGGCCTGCAACTGCTCCTTTGGATTATGAAATCCTTTTTCTGTTCCACCTTCCTCTAGGACAATAGAATTTTACTCTGGGATACCCGCTGTCCCAAGCCAGCATCACAGATTGGTGAGTCTGAGATTCATTGGTGGGAGAATAGTACTTGGAACCCTGATAGAAGAGACTGTCTTTGGCCAGTGTCAAAGCATAGTTGCTAGATGCCCAGTGTAGTTACTGTGACATGAGTGACATAATCTCCTTCTTTTCCAGTGAGGCTCTGCTAACCCCATTCTGTGCAATGAATACCAAGAGGAAGGGCCAGTTCCTGGGTGGGTGATTTACTTTATTAGATGGTAGGACAAAGGGGCCAGAATTGTTATCGTCATGATTCGTGCCTGAAACTTGCCTGTGACTCGTGTCCAGAAAGGGCAGGAGGCTGCTGGGATAAATGGTTATGAGGCTCAAGGATGAGGACACTGCTGCCTTAGCAGGGTTTGGGAAATCAAATAAAGGTGCTCCCAGGATTTAGAGTGATATCATTTGAGAAACTGCTTCTTCTGTACTCTGAGTTTTGGTCCAGACCCTCGTCTCTCCTTTGCAGGCTGCAGTGCGCCTGGCTACCTTCCTACCTCGCTGGCTTGGCATCCTCAGCAAAGTGAAGTCTTTGTCTTTGGTAAGGCAGCGTGTCAGACTTCATATTGACTCTGGGAAAGGGGAGGAGGAAAAAGAAAGAGCTGACTCCACAACACACAAGGCCCTTGTTGCTCAGTCTTAGCCCTCATGGACACTAGATGAATTATGAATTGAGGGTGGGGAGGTGGGGTGATGCCAACGTAGTTTTAGTGTAGTTTTGGAGAACATGATTATTTTCCCAGTGGATTTGATTTTTGATTGATTGATCCAGCTTCTGTATTCTGGGCATGGCTATAAGTCAGTGATCCACAAAGCAAGTGGATTGCTATATAGCGAATTCTGTCCTACTGTGGGTAGGTGTAGCGCTATCGTGGTCATGAGGCTGTGTATATGGTGACATAGTTTGTGGTTAAAATAATAACTGCTTCGTTCATTAACTTAATTTTCACAATGATCCAGTGACTTATTATTCCTACTTTGCAAAAGAGAAAACTGATGCTCAGAATGGTTAACTTTTACAAGCTCGAGGAACTAGGATTCAAGTCTTTGGCACAAAAGTCCATGCTCTTAATCACTATGACATGTTCCTTCTCTTCTACAGGTGATGAGAATGGGACAGTCTCCCTTGTGGACACCAAGAGTACAAGCTGTGTCCTGAGCTCAGCTGTACACTCCCAGTGTGTCACTGGGCTGGTGTTCTCCCCACACAGGTACTGTTCTTTGTCATCAGGGGCCTGATGGGTATAAATGGGAACCGTGAGGGTGTGTGTGTATGTTTTCAAAGCATTAGCTGATGAAGTAGTTCCTTAAAGCAGACAGTGTTCTAGCTGAGGTTTCGGAACATCGAAGATCTCTTAAGTGTGAAGTAGAATCCTTTGGGAGTCAAAGGATTTTTCAGATTAGATGGTTTCTGTCTGAAATGGCTAAAATGTGATTTCATTCCTGCCCAACACCCAAAATGGTTAATGTTGTGGGCTTCTAGGACTGTGAGATTGGAAAAGCCTGTGTTTCTGGGTTATTGCTGAAGCTATAGAGAGGGACCAGATGGGGTGGTTAGTTGCCAGGATGGTTGTCAACCCTAACTTTGCTTCATTTCCCTCATCTTTACTTGAAACTTTTAGTGTGGACTTGTAGTAGCCAGATTAGCCAAAAGTGGGAATCAGGCTGCCTCTCCTGGGTCACTTTACAGTGGCGGCAGGGCCGGCCCAGTTAAGGTTTTGTCTTGGGATCCAGGCTGGACCTTTCACAACCCTCTCCTCCATCTGATAGTGTTCCCTTCCTGGCCTCTCTCAGTGAAGACTGCTCACTTGCTGTGCTGGACTCAAGCCTTTCTGAGTTGTAAGTGTGAAGTGGAATCCTTTGGGAATCAGGGAAGGGGAGCAGTGGGTGGGCGAGTCATTTTCCTCTTCAGAAAACTGTGTTGTGCTTTTGGAGAACAGATTCTCCATCTGTATCCGAAGGGACTTGGTAATGGAAGCAGGCTGGCTGTTGACCCTGTCCATTCCTGGGGCACATTCACAACCCCAAGGACAAGCCGTGTCCTTGGTAGAGGGGGGTGGTAGGTGAAATTTTTAAGTCTAGCCCTCCAGCGCTCTCCCACAAGGGGGCGGCAGTCTACCCTCTCACATAAAGAACTGCGTATGAAATGCAGCCTGCTACAGGGTAAAAGGCAGCACCTGGAAGACCTGAATTGTACTTCCCTCCTTGCCGTGATTTGCTGCCTGTTACTGCCCCTCATCACTGTCTTGTTCTATCCAGCATTTCTTCATCTATGAAAATAGAAGACTGGATTGGATGACTGATGACATCCACTGTGGATAGCTACACTGCTATCCTGGCGATGAGGCCATACAGTTGGTGAAATGTGTGTAACACACCCAAAAAATGTGCCCCAGATGTGTTGGGTTCTCTTTTTTTCTCCAGGTCTGCTTTTCTTGTCTCTACTCTGCCCCGACTTTTTTTCTTTCTTCTAGGTTTAGAAGCCAAGCCCACAGAGACTTTGTGAGAGATGCGACTTGGTCCCCGCTCAATCACTCCCTGCTTACCACAGTGGGCTGGGACCATCAGGTCGTCCACCACGTTGTGCCCACAGAACCTCTCCCAGCCCCTGGACCTGCAAGTGTTACTGAGTAGATTGGATTTAAGACAAAAAGCAAGTCCCCCATGAGTGTCCACTTCTTTGCCCTGCCCTCTCAGCTTGTGAGACAACACAGGAGCCTTCTATAGTATGTTGATATGCTAGATCTGTGCCGTTAATAGGCATCGTCTCTCAGCCTGAGGGAGGCTGGATTCTGGGTTCCTGTAGTCACAGGGAGGAAAAGCTTTCTTAAAAATGGACATGTATGTGCGTGTGAGTGTGTGTGTAGATTTATAGTTTTTGGTAGTGGCAGGAATAAAAAAAATCCATCCTACATCTTCCCTAAGCACTGCCTCTCTCTCACCCCCCAAAACAAGTTGACGAAAGGGTTTTATGTAGCTGTCTATGAGGAATTGGCCGTGTCTGGGTGGGTTATGGGATGTGGGCATCCCTGGGTTCTTGGAAGCAGCTCTTATGCTACTCATAGAGATGGGATTGACTTTATTTTTTTATAGTGCTTAATTCACCATTATGAGAAATGCTTCCAGTCACAAAAATGCAGCCCAGCTCACTCTGAGGAAGAAGCAGGACTTGGTACGGTTTTACACAACTCCTTACCATTAAACTGAATCAGAAATCCATTTTCTGGCTGAATAAAAAGTTTGGCTTGCCTGTGTAATGCCCACTCCCTTCCCCCTGGCTCCCTAGTGATGGGACATATATGAGAGAGAAGTGTTTTTCTATCATAGACACCATAGGGGAAAGTTTGGGGATGAAGGAGAGCTTAAAGGTGTTTCAATTAAGTTAGAAAACTGACACAGGCTGTTGAGAATTCTTTGCCACTTTTCCCACCCCAAAACAGCATGGGGCCTGACATCTTCTGCCCTGGTCCCCTTTCTCTTGATGTGGAAAGTCTGAATGCAGTATTTATAGACTTCTAAGGTTTTAAAATCCAGTATCAAGAAGAAAATCAGAAATACTGGTTGGTGAAATAAAGAGTTTAGGCATTGTTGGCCTGTCTTTTTTGAAGCATGTGTGTTATGTGTAGTTAGATATATTTCACTTATGTGAGTCATCATGGTGTTGGTCTTGTAGCCCATTATTTTTCCTGTGCTTCCCCAGCTTCCCAAAGTAGCTAGTTAGAACTTAAGGTAAATATTTATTCTTGGGTTGGTGGAGTGGATATTGCCAGTTAGGAGTCATGGATCAATTACTGATTATATTGAAAGTAAATATAATCAATTATGTACTTTTGAGCTTTGCAGGTTCAATTTAGGTAAAAATCACATTATGAAACTGGGAAAGTCTGAAGGAATATGGGCAAAATATTTCTCAGTAAAGCTTCCATGCTTCACCCTTGACATGATTACCCTTGAGTAAAACATGGGAATTTGTAGTTGTGTGATCCTCTGGCGTTGATGTGGAGTAGGAATAAAGTCTTGCATCATTTTTATAATGTGGGAGGAAATAGAATGGGTAGGTACAATCACTTAAGTTCTGCCTCTCGAAGATAAAACTTTAATTTTGTGGACACTTAGAGAAAGTAAGGGGTGGGGGAGCTTGAGGTGAGTAGGAATTTGCATAGCCCTTTTCTTCCTGGACTTAAGAATGATGGAGAAAAAACTCAGTGAAAGAGATAAGGAAGCAAATGTGTGGAAATGTGTGATAAGGAAGGAAATGTGTCAAGGTGGTTACAATATGGAAGGGAAGCATAGGTTTTTTTTTTCTTTTGTTGAGATGGAGTTTCACTCTTGCTGCCCAGGCTAGTGTGCAGTGGCATGATCTTGGCTCACTGCAACCTTCGCCTCCTGGGTTCAAGCAATTCTCCTGTCTCAGCCTCTTGAGTAGCTGGGATTACAGGCTAATTTTTGTGTGTTTAGTAGAGACAGGGTTTCACCCTGTTAGCCAGGCTGGTCTCGAACTCCTGACCTCAGGTGATCTGCCCGCCTTGGCCTCCCAGAGTGCTGAGATTACAGGCATGAGCCACCGTGCCCGACCAGAAAGCATGGTTTTTGAAGGACCATATTTTATTGTAAAAAAATGTTTTGGTTCAGATAGATGTGTGCTGATGGGAGTAATTCACATCTATCAGTGACCACCACCAAGATATTTATAAACCTTATCAAATACAGTAGGAAGAGCAACCAGCACAATTTTGGATAAATGTATATGTTGCAGTGAACAAAGAAGATAGTTTAAAATAAAAGATGACCACAGAATAATTAGAAATGGTACTGTCACATATGGAGTGATTTGCTACGTCCTTCACTTGAGGATAGTTCTAGTAGAGTGAGTGCAGAGCTGATGACAAGTTGAAATGAGATCAATCTATTTGTTTAAAAATATACAAATATTTTGCATTTAATTTCATCGGTTAAAATGTCTAAACATTAGAGTAAACCCATTTCCCTATCTACATCCTTACTCTGAAGTCCACTAATCAAACCTACTCTTCCACAGCTGTTCTCTGGTCCACCAAGGGCTATGAGGCTCACCCCTTGGATGGTGCTCAGAACCACAAGGAATACTGAAGAAGCCTTGCCTATGATTTCAGGTGGCATCAGACATTGGGCTAATTTTCAAGGTGTCTCTCCTTCCCAACAGGACAGTCGGAGTCTGGTTCTTTAATAAATAGCTATATGGATCTTACTTACTGGTTCACAATCATATTACAGCAGCAAAAACACCCAAGCTCTAACTGCTCTGGGCCTCCAGCCATGTTTCCTCCAGATAGCATGTTAGAAAGGACAGGAGATTTTAAAAATCAGATTGGACTTCAGAGGGCTCCAAATTTTCTTGCCACATCTAGACCTGAAAGTAAAGAGCTCTGATTATTAAGAGGCAGATTCTCGTTGCATTTGGACAGCGTGAGTAATGGTCACACTGAACACATTAGAATCAGTTGTGAAATTGATTTTGTTTCAAAAAAGGATAAGCAAGCTGTAGTCTCAATTTTGAGTTAATTGAAATTTCTCAAGAACTTCATCAGCAGCTCACATGATACAGTTTTGGAAGAGTAAACAAGGTAAGCAGACAACCCTGGGACCCCAAACACATTTTCTTTTTTAGTTCTCCATCAAAAATAGGCATTTCTGGAGTTTTGGTCTCACTGAGTGATCACAGGACTGCTGCAATCCAGGGAACTGAGGGAGCTGTGAGCATCTGAGAAGAAAGGTTAGCTCTTGTTTTAAGTTGTAGAGACAACTTAAAACAAGTTGTGACACAATTAGTGATCCCATAATCTTTTATCATCTGGTACAACATTTAATATAGTAGCATTCTACTTACTGTGGAAACTCCTTGTTTCACAAATGATGTTCTGCAGCTTCAATATGTAATGGATGGACCATCAAAGTTCAAAATATAATAAGGAATTTAATTCCCAAACAACATCCTTTAACATTCTGGTGAAAGCCCAGCCAGTGTCACTGGTTGAAAGTGCCTTCAGTGGATATAGCTATATTTCACCTGTCCCTGTGATCATGAGGTACCAGATTCCGGTCAAGCATTTCACTTTGGGAGGCACCATGTTGTAAACATTAGGAATTTCAGGTGCAAACTAATTTTCCATTCTGGTAGTAACTCTTACCTGGAGTGTCAGCTAAGTCATGAAAATTGTTTAGATTAGAAAATGCACTTTTTATATATAGCCTAAATTAGCTTCATGTTCTGTAGTTTCTGCAGCTTGTCTCAGAAATCCTCTGAGTAGAACTGATGTATGAGACCCTTTAAGACCATTATCCAACTGCAGTTTGCTTGGCAGAGTTAGCATTAATGCACCCTTTGATCTAGGCACCTGGAGGCAGGTAAGACAGGCTCTGCGTGCACCACCGTCCCTGGACCTGTTGTGGCGGACTCCTTGAAGCAAGATCAACTTGGGCTTTGTTTGAGTTTTTAAAGTCTTTTTTTTTTAATGTAAAATTTGTCATTTTAACTTTTTAAGTATACAGTTCAGTGGCATTAAGTTTATTTGCATTTTTGTGCAGCTTTCACCACTTCCATCTCCAAAACTTTTTCATCATCCCAAACTGAAACTGTACTTATTAAACAGTAACTCCCCTTCCTCAAGACCCTGGCAATCACCATTCATCTTCATTTCTATAAATTTGACTATTCTAGACATACGTGTAAGTGGGAGCATACAATATTTGGTTTTTTTAGAGGGGGGTTCTGGCTTAATTTTATAAGGTGTTAACTTGTTCCTCAAAATGTGTTCTATAAACTGGCAGCATTTGCATATCTTGGAACTTGCTTGAAATACAGAATGTCCAGATCTACTGAGTCAGAATTTACATTTTCAAAAGCTTCCTACGTGACTCATGCATATTAAAGTTTGGGAAGCACTGACTTAGATTACCTTTTGAGAATTCCAGATGGGTCAGAAACCAGACAGAAATACTCAGTAGTGAGAAGCTATGGTGTATCAGAAGCTGTTAGGCATTTCATGGTTTGGTAGTGAGCAAGACAGATAGTTTTCCTGTATTCAGCGACTTAGTCTAGAGAGAGACAGGATGGAATTAAGTGTTTAGGTGCTAGCCAAAAGTAAAGATTCGTAGAAAACAAGGGTTCATATCCCAGTCATCAAAGTGATAAATTTTCCCTGCTTAACATTTAGATTAAAAAGTAATAATTAGGCCAGGTGTGGTGGCTCACACCTGTAATCCCAGCACTTTTGGAGGCTGAGGTGGACAGATCACTTGAGCTCAGGAATTCGAGACCAGCCTGGGCAACATGGTGAAACCCCATCTCTACAAAAAATACCAAAGTCGGGCACGGTTGGTTGTGTGTGCCTGTAGTTCCAGCTACACGGGAGGCAGAGGCAGGAGAATCACTTGAGCCTGGGAGGCAGAGGTTGCAGTGAGCCAAGATTGGGTCTTTGTACTCTAGCCTGGGCGACAGGAGTGAAACAGTCTCAAAAGAAAAAATTAATTGACAAACATTGTGTATATTCAAGGTATACAACGTGATTATTTGATAGACGTGTAATGAGTTATCACAACAAGCAAATGGTACACAATATAGTTTCGGAGGGTTTATGTATAAGGGGACTAATTAGAAAGGTTTGGAAATGGTGTAGGAGAACCAAAGGGCTAGTGCCCAAGGGCAAGGGAAGGGAGTGGTTACCTGAAACTGGAAGAAAAGATAGTTTTGTAGAGCATCTGCTTTGAGAGCAGCAGTGACTTTTATCAAGAGATAGAGTTACCTTGATGCCACATCACGGGGTGATCCAGGAGAATGAATACGCCGATTTCTGTCCTCCCTTCCTCTACTCTTCCATCAGGCTGTACCCAACAGAGCCCATTTGATGTAGTCCAAACAGACAGACTTTCAGGGGCAGCAAGTGAGGTGGAGAAAGATGGGAAATACTAATAGAAGGGCAGTTGGAAAATATGTTTAGTCTGCCTTTTTGCCCCTTATCATCCTCTCTTGTCCTTAATATAGGTGAAATTTCATGTCCTTAACACAAGAGATGCCTAGAGTCCCATCAACTATTTTATCATTATGGGGTGATAACCATTTGTTCGTGCTTCCATCTTAAACCTAAAGGATTAGGTATCATTAGTGTCCTCATATAAAGCAGCAGTAGAAAAGTGAGAAGAGAAAAACAAGGAATGAAATATAGCTGTTAGAGTTCCTACTCGTAAATGGTCATACAGCCTAAGTATCATGGCCATCTTTTCCCACCATCCATTCGACGTTGGGTTCCCCTCACCCTCTGAGAACCCCTCGTCCAGGTTCCCCTCGCCCTCTGAGAACATTGGTGAGATGACCAAACCTGAGTGCGGGGTCTGAGTTCTTAGTGATTTGCTCTTTATTGGGTTTCTGCAGCTTTCCGTCATGGGAATTACTGGGCAAGGGAGTAGTGAAGATGTCCCAGTGAGTCCCCAGAGTCGCAAACACAGTCCTCCTTTCTCTGGTTGTGTAGCAGCAACTCAATTCCCCCCTGGTAATTGGGATCAATCACCCCAACTGGTGCAATGGCTTCTTTCTTTACATTTTTTTTTCCAGTGGCCTAAGGAGCCCCAGATGGCCAAGAGGTAGCCTTAGCTTCTAATTCATTGAGACCATAACTGTACTGGGTGAAACATTCCTCATTTAATGCTAGAATCTTCAAGCCTACTTAGCCAGGACTACTGAATAAGCAGCAAAAACTCTTCAAGTGAATTATTAGATATAATAGTAAAACAGGCAACTTCTGTTCCTACCCCTTGGTTCTTAATTGCAGCTATGCATTTTGGCCTTGGGAGAGATGACACCATATATTCTCCCTGATTTAAGGCATAGTGGCATTAATACAGTGGACCAATATAATGTTTTGTGGGCTACTAAGAAATTTAAGTTCCCTTTGGACTATATTATAACAAAAAGTGGAAGAGTTGACACAGTCCTGGGGCAAGATGGTATTAATAAAAGTATACTCTTGTCCCTACCATACAAGTGCAGTTTCCCCAAATTTCTTAATGATTGGAATGGAAGATAAAGCAGGTCAGTAGCTGTATGTCAAGTGCAAGGGGCTATGTCATTTTGCTCCATTAAAGAACAGCACATCTGGAATTGTAGTTGTGATTGGCAGCACAACCTGATTATCAACTGTAATTCTTCAGAATTTGTCTGGTTTTCGCACCAGCCAATTAGGTGAATTAAGGGATGATGTGGTAAGAATCATCACTCTGCATTTCTCAAGTTTTTGATGGTAGCATTATTTCTGCAATTCCTCTAGGGACGTAGTAGTGTTGTTTTGTTTTGTTTTGTTTTGTTTTTTACTATTTTTTTAAACTATAAAGTTTAAAACACACACACACAACACACACACGCATACATATATGCAACTCCAGAGGTTTCTGCCTGACCCTTCCTACCATAACAGTCCTCCTACCAGAGGCCAAGGAAATAACGTAAGGACTCTGCTTGTTAGTGATATCTATTCCCAGTATACATTCTGGGACTTGGGAAGAATCACATAATAAGTCCGTGGTTATGCTGCTTAGATGGACTCAGGCCAAGACTTCATTTACCCCTTGAAATTTATAAGCCCCCAGTGACATGTTAGGCACATTGGTGTTTCCAGTCTCTGAGAATCAGTGTAAATTTAGAGACAGTATCTAATGCCCCTGCATAGTCTAGGCATTTCTTTTTCCCAGTGTGAAGTCATGCAGCCCACACTATCTCTGGGGAAAGCTTGGGTGAAAATTCAGAATGCATACCTATAGCTACATTGCAGGATCCCTTCTCAGAAGGACCCAGCTTCCTCATAGTTAAGTGGCTCCAGGATTGTGAACTAGTTTAGATCTGGGAACTGGGTAAAAAGCTATGAATATGAATCCCTTCTATAGTAATCTGGGTTCGGTTTCTGTCTTGTAGACCTAGAAATTTTCCACCTATGTATGTCTAGCTGCACCTTAGTAGGCTGCTCATTTATTTCATTTCTTGGAACCTTACCATCAATTAGTCATCACTACAAATTCTTATAGGTCAAAACACCATGATTATCATTTCTTTATATTTAGTTTAATTAACTTATTTATTTGAGACAGAATCTTGCCGTCACCCAGGCTGGAATGCAGTGGCACAATCACAGCTCACTGCAGCCTTGAACTGCTGGGCTCAAGTGATTCTCCCACCTCAGCCTCCCAAATAGTTGGGACCACAGACATGCCAACATACCCAGCTAATTTTTTAAAAAACTCTTTGTAGAGACGAAGGTCTCTCTATGTTGTTCAGGCTGATCTTGAACTCCTGGGCTCAAGTGGTCCTTCCACCTCGTCCTCCCAAAGTGCTGGGATTACAGGTGTGAGCCCTGCGTCTGGCCCATGACTATCATTTCTTTCTTATGGGGTTTATTGTGGTCACTGCCTAGCTTGTATCTGATTGATCAGGGAACTGATTCCCTTGCATCTATTCCTACCATTATCTCCAGCATACAGAGGACAGCCACCATAGAGCTGCACCTTTTTGAATTGGGAATCAGTCATCATGAGCAAAGGCACAGCACTGGGAAGGTGGGAAAAGATAAACTCAAGATGGTTTGGCACCCTGCCCCCTTCCTGCCATCCAGTGGGTCTCTGCTCCATTCCTTCTTTTACTTGTCTATAAGCATCTTCCTAGAATATCCTTTTGATTGTTTCCCTTTCCTGCCCAGATACCTTCCATGGTAAAGAAGTTTCTAAACCATGTTCTTCCCAAACAGTACATCCTGCATGTTTTCTTAATCATACTTATACAAAATATAAGTAAATAGGAAAAAGTAACTATAGTAACAGTTGCTATTGGAATTCCTCTTTGGATTTATTAGAGAAAGTACCCTAATATCTGCCTTGGGTATAGATAGTGAAAGCCCAAGCATTTTGGGTCTGGTTAGAACTAAACTGTAGCAAACAAGGGAGGAGTTTTTCAGGGACTCTGGAATGGGAGAGAACACTGGGATAACTGAGAGGAGCCAGGAGTTGGTGAAGTCTTTGCATTAGGGGATGTGACACTTCACAGGCACCCCTCTCCCCTATGTTTTTACTAAAAACTACCAAGAACTTGATGTGTAAGGATTTCTTATAGAGGCCAGTAAAAAGGTTAAGTCATGCAACAGGAAGCTTTGCAGAAAAACAGTCTATACCCAAGGATGCAGGAGCACAGAAGTAGAGAACATAAGGAGGAATTCTTGAGAATTTGCTGGATTATCGGGGACACTTCGGGCTGACACAGGGAGTGGGGCTGGGATTATAGGCAGAGTGTAATCAGACCACTGAGGGGCAGAGAGTCTCTAACATCTAAGTTACATACTTATATTTTAAATTTTTGTGATTTTAGTTTTTGCTTGCTCCATTAGAGTAGAAAATAAGTATTTGTTGAATAAGTTAGAAAAATGAATGAATGAATGAATTGCTTTCAGGACTATGCCACAGAATGTTAGAGTAGGAAAGGACCTTAAGGATCTATTAGTTAAACCTGTTGAGCAATTAGTTCAATGTTGTTAGGTATTGATCTCACTCCAAAGATAATAACCATTAGCAGCAATAACAACAGTCACTGCTATGAGTGCCTACCATGAATCAGACAGTTTACATTTATAATCTCTATTTTTTTAAACCTTTCAAGAAAAGTGTCATTATTGCTACTTTTCAAATATGTTGTCCAAAGTTTCTCAATTAGTAACCCAAATCTGCCTGTTTCTAAGCCGGGGTGTGCCCACCTTTTTGGCTATGCTTTTTCTCAGGTCATTCCAAAGACAGACCATTTAACCACTGGATCTGGGGCAACAAAGGTGGATCAATCGTGAATCCTTCACTAAAAAGCTTGCTTTGTAATAGATGAAACAGTTTAATTTTTAAATCTAGTGTTATAAGGGTTTAAGTAGTAGCACACTGTCAAACTTCTGTTGGAATGAAAAGAATAAGAACTGACGACCACAAAAAAGCAATTCTGCTTAAACCAGTGTCTCTCACCCTTGGCACTATTAAATTATCAGTACAGGCGGTCCGTGACTTCTGATGGTTCAACCTACGATTTTTCAACTCTACAACAGTGCAAAAACAAAAACAAAAAACAAAACAACAACAACAAAAAAAGTGTTGTCAGTTTGTTCATCGACTTATGATGGAGTTACATCCTGATAAAATAGTGGTTAGTTGAAAACATTAATATTTTTTATTTTACTTTAAGTTCTGGGATATATGTACAGAACATGCAGGTATGATGCATAGATATACATGTGCCATGGTGGTTTGCTGCACCTGTCAACCTGTCATCTAGGTTTTAAGCCCCACATGCATTAGGTATTTGTCCTAATGCTCTCCCTCCCCTTGCCCCCAACCCGCCGACAGGCCCCAGTTTGTGATGTTCCCCTCCCTGTGTCCATGGGTTCTCATAAACATTAATATTTTCAACTTACAATGGGTTTATCGAGATGTAATCCCATCATAAGTCAAGGACCCTCTGCACTGAATATACTTCATTGTGGAGGGCTGTCTTGTGCATCAAAGGAGGGTTAGCAGCATCCCTGGCTTCTACCCATTAGGTGCTGTGGCATACCTTCTTCCACTGTTGTGACAACCAAAGTGTCTCCAGACATTGCTAGATCGGGCAAAATTGTGCCCAGTTGAGAATCACTGGCTTAAAAGGAAAAAGGCCATTGCATGGATGTGCAATAACACCTTTAGCCATTTCCTAATGATGTCATTTAATCAGTTAGGATTTTTGTTTTGTTTTTAGTATTTTGCTGTTACAAATAAAGCTGCAATGAACATTGTTTCTTTGCGTACTTGGGCATGATACATTTCTAAAAGTGAAATTGCTAGGTTACAAGATTTTATATTTAGGATTGCGATATTGGCTATATGACCTGTAAAGACATTAAACAAATAGCACTACCTTTACTATTTTATTACAAATATTCTTTTTTGAATTTCCTCAATTTTTAAACTTAAATAAGATCCATGAAAGTATGGGATTATATGATAATATTCATTTTCCTACTATACATTAAAATAAACACATTAAATATTTTTAAAAATCCCTCATGCACAACCAAAAATCATCTTTTACACCAAATATTGGAACACTCCCTTCACTTTAAAGATGTGGTAACTGACTAGAAAAGAGTCTTCCCTTCAAGTTTACAGTGATCTGTAGTCAATATTCTTTGGATTTTTTTTTAATTATTCAACCAACTGATTTTGTTTAAGTCATACTTCTCTAATTCATTCACATGGGTATCATGAAATATTTCGCCAAATGCTCTGTTAAAACGAAAGCACTTCACGTCTTTGATCTTGCCTTCATCTTGATAATTGTTGTAAAATGTGAGAGGTGTCACACTGCTGCAGGGATTTCTTCAGTTACTCAGTAAAGGACATTTGCAAATGGTCATTTCTAACTCCATGAGAACAGGCTAAGCACTAGGGAGGGATATTGTGTAAGTATCTGGGTGGTTGGGTAAAAATAAAAAGCAATGGTTGTAATTTTTTTTTGACAGCAAGAACTGAAGGAAAAGGATTGAGAACACACAGAGCGACACGACACACTGATTTTCAACATAATCCCCATTCAGCATTTTACTATTCATCATCTCTGAACATATAGGGGCATAGTTGCCAGCTCTTTGGCACGGTCATCCCTGCATTATGCAGAGGTCATTCCTGGGCATCCATTGTTATATCTTGGCATTCTGAGCATCATCAGTCATTTTTGCAAGGAACAGAGGGGTCAGGTCTGAGATCTAGCCATGCTCAATGCAGCAGAATAGGAATCCAGAGGATGACTCAAGTGCAGATGAATTAAGTTCAAATTGGCAGGCCAATTTGGCTTCTGTGTTAGGTACAGCATTAGCAGCTAGTGCCCCTATTAGGAGTTTCGGTGGAAGGTCACAGCCTAGTGGGCAATCTCAGTGATGTGAAATCTTGAGGGGCAGGGGATACTGTGGGAGGAGGCTCAGAAGTGGAGGAAAGTAGGCATTCCACATCAAAGAGGTCTTAAAAGACAGGAGGCCTTTAGGCTGTAGGATATGAGGAACCTAGCAAGACAGAGTCAGAAGACCCAGGCCCTAGGACCCAACTGTGGTGCCAGCAGTTTGTAGAACAGGAAGAGAAGTCAAAGCAGGGACCAGACCCAGTTACAAGAATGAGGGCACAAGGGCTAGGAATGGGGGAACAAGAGCATGGTTGTTGTAGCCAGAAAACGTACCAGGGGTAGTCTAACCAATGGTACAAGTTGTTGCCAAGCATGATCCAGTGTTGGTCTCAGGAGGCCTAATTATCTCCTAATTCAGGTTAATATTAGTCCAAGGAATGGATGGTGGCATTGAGCATGCAAGTGGGACCCAAGTTGCCTCAGTGATGGTACAGAGTGGGAATTGAATCTGAAATCATTTTGGCAACAAAACTCATGTTTTCCTCACTGCACTCATCATGCTACTTCTCCAAGAAAGAGACACATACCCTAGCTCTAGGGATACGATCAATCTGTTCACTAAATCATAAGCTCCTTGAAAGCAGAAAATGTTTCAAGTGCCGAGCAGGGCATGGCACATGCTCAGTGATAATTTGTTGAATACATAAAGAAAGGCAAAGATGGATGAAGAAAAGGAGACATAGTCTGGGTTGGGTGGGGTATTCCATCAGGCTTTCCCAGAGTTTCAGTGAAATACTCCAAACATTCTATACAATTTGTTGCTTTTATTCCATCATATCCAAGCAAACTGCTGATTTAAAACAATGACTCCTGGTTTCTTCATACTGGAAATGAAGGATAGATGTTATATGAATTTGACCACTAGTCATTATTTCCCTGTGTCGTGGATTATATTGACATCTGGTTAATACCTCGTGAGTAGTTCATGTGGATTAGATGAGCAGCATCAGTCTCTGTGAAGGTGGGCATAAGGTCCAAGACCCTCTGTAGCAGAGAAAGAAAACTGATGAATCATAAAAGCATCTGGCTTGCAGTCTGGTAATAAAAACGGTATATATATATATATATATATATATATATATATATATATATATATTTTATCTTTCATACTCCTGTTGTTGCATTTTTAAAAAACTGGCTCTTAGATGTCCAGAATTGTATCCATCATATTCTTGAGGTTCATGACACATCCTCACAATTGGCTCATATACTGACTCAAATATTGTTGACTCATAAAAATTCAGGTTTTGCCTTCTCCTGAGAAACTGAAGGATCCAGCAACACTGGGTCTGTTTCCCTGCAGGGAAACCATTAGCAGCTGCTCAGAGTGCTGTCCCTCTTTATACTGATCTCTGTTGTCTCCTGACCAAGAGGCTTCATGTCAGTTGATGTACATCATTGGGCATGAACTGTTACTTTTCTAATAAAATAGAGATAGCTGTTTTATTGCATCTACACCATCCATTTACATTACCTGCCTGGCAAGCGTCATCTGAGTTTGAGAACTCTGCTCTGCTGGGCAACCCTTTTGACATCCCTAATAATAGCTACCATTCACTGAGCCCTTATTATATGCGAGCACGAAACTAACAATTTTTGACCCATTATCTCTTTGATCTCTATAAAGCTCTATGAGGTAAGTCTGAGCTGTCATCTCCATTTTACAAGCATGGAAACTGACCTCACAGAGGCAGGTAATTTGTGCAAGATTACAAAACTTCTAAGTGGTGACACTGAGATTCAAACTTTGAATTCAAACCTTGGATTCAAAGCCTAAATCCAAAGCTATGGTTTAAACTTTTTTTAAAAATTACGCTGCTTCCCAGCCAATAATCTTTTAATAATAGAATTGCTGCTACCATATGGGGTTTCTCCCCCATATTCAGTCCCTGTGGTACTGAATACCAGGAAGACCCTCTTCCTGGTATTCAGTGCCAACCTGGTGCTGTTGCTTTGTTGGAGAGGGAGGCCAGGTCGTTCTGGGGTCACTGTGACTCTCATAAATTACTGATCCTGGCACTGGGGTGTGTGTGTGTGTGTGTGTGTGTGTGTGTGTGTGTGTGTGTGTGTGTGTGTATGTGTAGCTGGGCTGTCCCAGCGCTATCCACAGGGAAGCTCCTATAAAGGGCTGCATCTCTGGACTCACAGCTATCAGACCATTGAGATGTGGAAGCTGTTGCTGTGGGTTGGTGAGTGTGGCAGGTCCCAGCAGTGTCACTCAGTCCAGGAAGTGCCAGGCTTTATGAGTTCGTCATCTCTCTGGTGCCTGAGAGAGCAGCCTGAGACTCAGGGAAGCCTAGATTAGGTAGAGATGGGATGGGCCATAGTTAATGGTCAGAGGTCAGAGGGACCCAGGGAGAAGTGGTCAGAGCAGTGGTTCTCAAACCTGGTGGCCCATTAGAAATTTTAAATGCCTGAGTTCCACCTTGGACCAGTTCTGTTAGAATCTCTGCATGACCAGCCAGGATATCAGTACTTCTTAATTTGCAGCCAGGGTTCAGAACCACTGGCCTCGAGCTTTTTCTGGGACTTCTAACACTTGTCATTGTCCCTGGGCAAAGCATGAGCATATACACATGTTTATCAAAAAGAAAAGGAACTTATATCTAGCTCCACTGGTCCAACTTTAGAAACTAGGAAACGAGTAAATGGTGTGTGTGTCCCCATTTGTGTGTCTGCATCTGCATAAGGTGGTGTGTTGGTGGGCACCCTTGCTAATCAGAGGGTGTGCTGTGCCATACCACTCTGGTGAGGGTATGAATCTCTGTGTGACTCCTTCCTTTGTTTCTCACAGGGCTGGTTCTTGTGCTGAAACACCACGATGGTAAGGAAACTGTGTTTTCCCTTCCAGAGCCAGGGAGAGTCTCTGGCTGAGAAGTCCTCCACATTGAGTGTCCCCTGCAGCCCACCTTGCCCTGGCTTCTCTGACAGGGATTATTGATCCAACACAGTTTCTCAGAGGATTTTTGGTCACCTGCTGTTTGTGTCGCTGACTGTGTGCCTTGGTCCAGACTTGAGAATCTGTTCTGACCAGGATTTCACAAGGCATTGTTTTCTTCCTGAGACCTCAGCAGTGGGGGAGGAATAGAACCTCAGTGTAGTTCTGAGGTGTACTTCAGGGCCAGGGAGAGAGGATGTGAAAATGTGGCCTGGTCTCTTGGGCTGCGTTCACATTGCTTTCTGGAAGCTGAGCTCCATCCCCTCCCTTGGTTTTTGCCAACTAATGTGTGCTCTCCCTTACCAGGTGCTGCCCATAAACTCGTGTGTTATTTCACCAACTGGGCACACAGTCGGCCAGGCCCTGCCTCGATCTTGCCCCATGACCTGGACCCCTTTCTCTGCACCCACCTGATATTTGCCTTTGCCTCAATGAACAACAATCAGATTGTTGCTAAGGATCTCCAGGATGAGAAAATTCTCTACCCAGAGTTCAACAAACTAAAGGAGAGGTGTGTTCATATTGGATGTGGGGGTTGTATTTTCAGATTTCACAGGTATAAGATAACAGTCTATTTCTCCTGTTACTCTTCAACTTTCTTCTATTTCTTCCAGTCCTACCTTCCTCTCAAATAGGGGTCCAGAGCACCCCCAACTTGAGAACTCCTTGTCACAGACACCTTGAGCTCTTTCCTGCCTCCTTACTTTTGTAGTTGCTGTTGTCTCTGCCTGGAATGTGCTTCTCTCTCTTCTCTGCCTGGCAAAACCCAACTCAGCCTTTGAACCTAGTTGTGAGGATTTTAGTTATTAATGCTGTTAAAGTGGGCTTACACATCCCAAATGCTCAACAAATGCTCATGTTTTTATTACCGTTTGTTACCGGTGAGCTACTCCAGGGAAGGGGCAGTGTCTGCTGTGTTGTTGTATCCCCAGTGGCTAGGTCAGTGTCTCACACAGGGTTGGTGCTCAGTAAGTGTTTGCTTACATTTTCCTCTCTCCGGAACTCCTGGGATCTCTCTGTGCCCAAAGGAAGGCTTGTTACTGCATTAATGGTTATAGATGGGCAGAGTAAAAGTTCTATGCCACTAGATTATAAACTCCCTGAAAGTGGGGAGCTTATCTGTGTTGTTCTTTGTTCTAAAGTGCCTAAAGCAGTAAATGGCACATAGACATTGCTCAATAAATATTTGTTGAATAGGAAAAAGAGAAACATTTTAGACTGCTCTTTTTTTGGAAGCATCATAGGGACATGCGCGAGTTTGGCAGACTTTGTGCAGCCTTGGAGTTGTTGGGCTGTGATGGCCCTTGGGTTGATTGTTCTCTCTGTCTTTCCTCCTCTCTCCTGTGCTCATCATCTCTCTCCTTCTATCACCTTCCCCCTTTTCCTTTCCTTACCTCCCATCTCTCCTGTTTCCTGTTTTCTTCCAATGAGCAAAATAAAAGAATGTGGCAGCAGCTGCCCACCGGAGTGAAGAACCCAGCTCATCAACCCTCTCTCTCACATCATAGGAACAGAGAGCTGAAAACACTACTGTCCATCGGCGGGTGGAACTTTGGCACCTCAAGGTGAGACTTTGCTGTTATTCTCTTCTCCCTGGGAGGGTGGAGCAGGCTGGTTAGACGTGAAGACAGAGGGGGAAGGCAGCTTGGCCATGCGGACAGCAAAGCTAGCGCAAATACTTCCCCAACTCATGAATCTTAGACCCCTGCACTCAAGGGATATCCTGGCCTCTTCTCCATGGTGGGTCAGGGGAGACAAGGAAGTTCTAGCAGGTGGTGAGAAAGAGGCTGGGGGAAAATTAGGGACAAAATGAGGCACTCATAATTGTTTCCTCAACCTTTCATAAGAGGCAAGGGTTTTGTCTCCAAGGGGAGGAATCAGGTGCAGGATGAGAATAACTCCCAAACCTCACAGGTTTCTTCACTTTATTAGTGGATCCAGGGATATCAACCTCAAAGGGTTGGAACAGAGGAAAGGAAATAACAAAATGCTAAGCTTAGTGCTGGGACATAGTACATGTTCAGTATGTAGCAGCTGCTCTTGTTAGCACTTCAATCTCCATGAGACAACGTGGAGATTACAAACTGCCTTCATATTTTCTGAAGAAACATTTCCCCTATTTCATGGCTGAGGCCTGGGTTAGAGGCCGTACTTGCCTTGTTGCCTTAAAGGCATGAGATACACGAGAGGGAGGCCTGGTGGGCTGGGAGTGTGTGAGGATGCACTTTACAAGATGGAGGAAAGATTCAGGGCAGGGGGGTGAGAACTAGCTCTGCCCAGCCCAGGATTCACCTCTTCCCATCTCTGAACACTCCCTGTGCTCCAGATGCTGGGCTAGGGCTGTACACGCATTATCCCGTGAACACTTGCAGGAAGCTTTACAAAGTGGTTGTATTCAAAATTGGTAGAGCAGAAAGCACAAGTCACAGTTATTAAGGAACTTGCCAGATTTGTCACAGGTATTCCTCAGAGATTGCCCAGCAAGGAGGTGGGAAACTGACCATGGAACCCAGATCTATTTATGAGTCTGGTTAATTTTTTAATCATGGCTCATCTCAGGATTACCCCAGAGTTGCTTAAAGTTCAGGTCCAATAAGTTAGAATTTTTCCAAAGTGTCATCACTACGGAAGAGAAAACAAGTAAAATAGAAAAATATCAAACAAAAAACGAACAAAAGAACACAGGATCAGGATCCCGTTATCAGAACACAGGCCTCTTGTGCCAAGTTATACAGCCCAGGCCCAGATTAACTCATAGATGTTTCTGGACATGCTGGCCCTTGACTCATGTTCTCTCCCCTAATCCAGTCAGGTAGAAAATGTCAGTGCTAGGACAGGTTGTGGGAATTGAGTAGTTACCTATGAGGAGACAGCACAGAGAGGGGCAGTGCCTTGCCAGTGGGCATACCATGTTTTGGGGGCAGAGCTGGACTGAGCCATTTCTCCACACCCCAGGCTGCATGCTTGGTTCTGTGCCTGCTGTTCCCTGTGCCGTCTGGCCTTGGGGCAGTACATGGTTTTCAACTTCTTTTAGCTGCCTGAATTCCCTACTCCTGGGTATTGAGCTCCTGGTGCTGGGAGAGGCATATAAGAAGGTGGGAGAGTTTTGGAAATCTGCCTTCCTTTCCTCCAGCCACATCTGCCAGGCCCACCACAGGGAACCAAGCTTGCAAGGGGCCTTGTAGGAGGTTGTGATTCTGTGGATAGAGTTCTTTGCCTTACCCCTGGTCTCCCTACAGATTCACCACTATGTTGTCCACATTTGCCAACCGTGAAAAGTTTATTGCTTCAGTTATATCCCTTCTGAGGACACATGACTTTGATGGTCTTGACCTTTTCTTCTTATATCCTGGACTAAGAGGCAGCCCCATGCATGACCGGTGGACTTTTCTCTTCTTAATTGAAGTAAGTCTGGTCTAGAAGCGCCAGAATCCAGAAATGATTCTACTTTTATATATCTAGGCTTATGGCAGGAGAAGAGCATAAGTCCAGGGCCAGGGGCAGAAGAGGGTGACAGAATGTTCTTTTACTGTGAACCCCTGGAGGGTAATACCTGTAACTCCCTGAGGTTGCTCTTTTCGCTGCACCTGGGGCTTGCTCCAGTCCTCCAGCCTAAGGGATGCCTTCTCTCTGCAGCTCCCTGCACTCCCTTAGGCAGTGTCTGTCTGAATTCTGTGCTTCTGAGCCTGCTTGCCACCCCTCAATTGATTAAATCATTAACCACATCAGCCCTCATCTGCCTGTCTCATGAGCCTGTGGCATGGCCCATGTCCAACTCACCTTCGTGTCCCAGAGCCTGGCTCAGGAGCTCAGTAAATGCTTCCTAGATGACACTCCCCCCAGGCCCCGCCTCTCTGTTTGTCCAGTTCTCTGTGTCTTTCTGTCTTTCCTCTTAGGAGCTCCTGTTTGCCTTCCGGAAGGAGGCACTGCTCACCATGCGCCCGAGGCTGCTGCTGTCTGCTGCTGTTTCTGGGGTCCCACACATCGTCCAAACATCCTATGATGTGCGCTTTCTAGGAAGGTGAGTGGATATTGCTTTGGTGGGGCAGGACATTGGTGGGAAGCAGGTGTCTTGAGCTCAGAACCCCAGAGCTTCCCAAGCACTGTTTTTGAGCTCACCGTGTGCCTGCCCTGACGTCAGTGCAAGTTTGGGGCTGGACTGAGGAGCATGGGTGGGGAGAAGGGCTAGTTCCATTATACCCTGAGGGTTTCTTTAGACCTCAGAGGGAGGTGATGTAATATCTGCCCACAACAATGTTAGCACGGGTAGAGTCTTCTGCACAGCCTATTGCTGGGTCTCACGAGGAGAGATTCCCAGGGGCCTGTCCTCTTTCTACCCAGAGTATATCTGTAGACATACACTATGCAGCGGATGCTGGCATCAGAGACAGATGAATTAATAATCACTGTCACAAAAACAAAAACAGGAATGCCCAGTCACATCCAGTATTCAGAGCAGTTCTTCATGCAAAAGTTAAAAAGCTAGACAAAGAGCAGCACATAAATCTTTTTGGACATGTCATCTCTAGGTATATTTTCTAGAATTTTGAGAATCAAGTATTTACAGAAGAGGAAACTGAGGCAGATGCAGACCAAAACAGAAATGGGATGTTCCTGTGTATGAGTGTGCTAGAGAATTGTTTCAATGTGGGAGGAGGGTGAGAGACACAGGGGACATGGAGTGTGTTAGTGTTGATCTTTTAGCCAGACAGGATTGAGAGAGTCCTGCCTTCACCCAACTGGGCAACATTAGGCAAATTAGTTAACCTATCTGAGTTTCAATTTCTTCAACTTTAAAATGGAGATAGTTACACTACTTAGGGAATTAGCCAGATTAAAATTAAATTAGATAATCAGTGTAAACCCTTATCCCTGTGACCTGGTAATGATGAACGCTTTCTAGAGGAGGTGGGTTTCAATGGCTCCTGGAATTGTAGAAAGACAAGCTATGGAACAGACTGCTTTTACTCATGACCATTTGTGCAGATGCCTGTTAGCATTTATATCAGGCCTGAGTGTATTTTCTCTCATCTAACTCCTGCCTACCTCCACAGGTACTCTCAGGATGCATAGCTCCTCATATACAGCTGTTCCTAACCAGCTGTTTGTTCCAGTGGCAGGTGGATAGCACAGCCTGGGCAGGCCCCACAGGCAGAAGGAGCAGGGAAGCTCTGGTGACCAATGTCTAGCTAGTTAGCTAGACAGTGCTGTGATGCTCTGACTTGAAAATCTGGCTAGCCCAGTCTTTATATCTCTTCCTCCTGCCCCTTACAGACTCCTGGATTTCATCAATGTCTTGTCTTATGACTTACATGGAAGTTGGGAAAGGTTCACAGGACATAATAGCCCCCTCTTCTCTCTGCCTGAAGACCCCAAATCTTCGGTAAGGAAAGGAAAGATCTCAGGTGGTCCAGACATCTGCCCCCCTGAGCTCAGGCCATTGGCTCTTAGTAACAAGGAGGAGTCTGGATTCTTCTTACCTGCAGGCATATGCTATGAATTATTGGAGAAAGCTTGGGGCACCCTCAGAGAAGCTCATCATGGGGATCCCCACCTATGGACGTACCTTTCGCCTCCTCAAAGCCTCTAAGAATGGGTTGCAGGCCAGAGCGATCGGACCAGCATCTCCAGGGAAGTACACCAAGCAAGAAGGCTTCTTGGCTTATTTTGAGGTGATGGGAATATCAGTCTCTGTCTAGCAGTTAGGACTCTCCCACCCCCAGCTGGAGCAAAGGCCAGGACAAGGGGCAATGGCAAGGGTGAGAGCTGTAGACAGGGCAAAGAGGTGGTCTATTAGTACAAGAGAAACCCACTCTCTGGGATATTTTCTTTTTCTTTGAGGTAAGTTATTTGAGTCCTTTGTAAGGGACGAAGGACTTGGTGGAATCTGGATGGAAGGGTTTCATTGCACCCCAAAAATGATCTTATATGCTATACAGGTAAACCCTGACTTTCTGTATGGCCTAAATAAAAATCATTAATATTTGCAATATATATAATTTCAAACATATGCAAAATTAAAAGAATAGTATAGCCTCTGTACCTCCCCCACATACTACTCACTCAGCTTCAATCATTAATAATTCATGGCCAATTTTGTCTCATCTCTGCTGGCTCCCTCCCTCCCTACTACTAGATGATTTTGAAGCAATTCCAAGACATTATCTACTACAGGTTCTTTCTCTCCACTCCAGCTCTACCCTCTTCATCTTCGTCTCAACCAAGCTTGCTATTGGGTGGCGGAAAGAGACATGTTTCCAAGGGAATGTAACCACCAGAGGTGGCAATACGAGCCACATAACTGTGTGGCTGTAGTGACCTGGAAAGGTCTTATGGAGCAGGTAGAGTTTGAGCAGAGTTTGAAGCACAGGAAAATCCTGATGGACAGGAATGACTAGACGGGAAGGACTTCCCAGGTAGAGGACAGCAGGTACAGAGGGACAGGGTGAGTACTTTAGGCAGTAGTGGAGGTGCTGCAAGTCTCTCCAATCTCTGCTCTGCGCTGGATGGATGAGGGTGTTTTTCTAACCCAATGAAGCATTTTTATGAGTGCTGGCATAGTTGAAACAATGTTCTTGAAGGGCAAAGAAGCTTTGATAGACAGACCCTTTGAAGCACCAAAGGAGAAAAGGAATGGCTTAGACATTAACTTCTGCAGCACAGCTTGCGTACCTCTACTTTTTTGCAGCATATAGTTTTTAGCACAATGCTGGGCACTCAGTGGACACTCAAATGCTTAATTATTTATAGCAACCTAGTTCTCCCTGCCTTCAAGAACTTTAAATCTACTAGAAGTTCAGGTGCTAGTTTGAGAACCACCTATATGGGGCAGTCTGTGCTGGGATCTAATGAACAGGAGAGACTTGTTTATGAAAACACTTTGAATGAGATACAGATTTGGTCAAGGATCATGTATGTTACTCTTACTATTTTGGTACTGGCATTATACCCCTGGCTTGGTTTCTTAAGGATGTCATCCACTCTTTGGTTCCCTTTTTTCCATCATGGACAGTAGAGAGAGGAAAGGGTAACAGTAGGAATTTATTCAAAATAGAGAGGAACTCATTTGTGAGTGGCCTCTCCATTCTCTCTTTGGTTTACCTTCTTCTCATTCGCTGGTTAGGGATTCTTGGATTCTTTATCCTTGGGCAAGGAACAACTGTCTCTTGGTGCTTATCTCCATGGCACTTCCCAGAACTAACCTGGTGGTCCTCTTGGCAGATTTGTTCCTTTGTCTGGGGAGCGAAGAAGCACTGGATTGATTACCAGTATGTCCCGTATGCCAACAAGGGGAAAGAGTGGGTTGGCTATGACAATGCCATCAGCTTCAGTTACAAGGTGAGACCCTGGCTCTTTCATGCTCCAGCACATGGTTTCCTACCGGTTTCTATGGGGTCCTTATTTGTACAATGCATGTATGTGTATTGGGTGGAGAGTGAAAGGTGAGGATGATTAGACCAGGGGTTTCAGGCATGCCTACATTTTAGTTCTAACTGGGGCTTTATAATCCCATCTGTTCCAAGTCTCTATTCTGAAGAGAAAGAATCTAGGTTCTGAGGGAATAAATAGTTCCCTCAGTTCTTACAGCTTTTCGATGATCTTTTTGGTCTCTTCCTTTCCATTTGGACCAGCTAATTTCATAACAGATAAATACCAACACAAAGTAGATCATGGTAAGTGCTCTGTAAATATTACTGACATGTAGCAGAAATGAGGAAGTCTGGGAGGGCTTCCTGAGGGAGGTGAGCAGGAGTAGGAGAAGATTATGACATTGGGGAAAGGCTCAGTGGTGTAGAAAGCTTATAGCAGGTTCAAAGAAGAATTTGGGTGAAGCAGAGGCTTTTTATAAAGGGACTTGAATGCTGGTAAAGGTGTTCAGTCTTCATCCTGTGGGCATTTTAAGGCAAAAACAGGTTTCTACAGGTGGATGACCTTTAATTTTCAAACTTTTAGAGCCAAACTATGACCACCACCCTCCCTTCATGTAAGTGGTATTTTATGAAGTTGAATCTGGCAGGTTTTTATAGTGAACTAAAAGAGAACTGACATGCTCCAGTAGTTCCTAAACCTGCCTCTGTTTTGGAATCACCTGAGAGACTGGATACATGTAGAAATCATGGTTCCACTCCTCAATATTCAGTAGGTCTTAGAAAAACTTTGGAAACTATTTTAGAATGCCTCCATATATGATCCTTCCAAATGCTAAGTTGGCATTTTGGGAGCTCTGGGCGTGGACACAGAGGTGTCCAAGCATGAGATAATGAGGGTCTGGACTAGGGTAGTTGGAAGGAGCAGCAGTTTAAAGGTGAGAAATTGTCGGAATGTGGCAACTGCTTGGATATTGAGACTTAAATAGAGAGAATTCACAGTTCTCCTGTTAACGGTGATGCAGAAATGGCAGGTGTCGGCTGTTTTTTGGGGGAAGTTTGTGTGGGAAGCACCAGAGAGGAAGGCACTCATGAAGATTCACTGCGTAGCTCCTCTGTGCATTAACACTGGGTGAGGCCTGCTGGGGCGGAGAGAGATAAAAAAGCATGGCTTCTCCCCTCTGGGATCTTGCTCTGTGGTTTGGGAATGGGAAGACACAAACAGGAAAGATTAATGACTCAATGGATTTACCCAATTGGATGGAGTTAAGTCTATGACCCATAGGACATCAGAGAGGGGATTGATCCCTTGTGTTGGGTGAGGCCCTGGGATGAGCAGCAGAGGGTGGTCTTGCTTTGAGGTGCAGTTACTGTAACTTGCAGAACTAGGTGAGGAGACATGAAGCCAGGTTGGGGATGGTTAAGGGATTTTGACATAGAATATCAGAGCTAAAAGAGACCTTGGGGATTATTGTTGGGAGATAATTATACCCTGGATTTCTCAGAGTTCCTGCACAGTTTGAGGATTCTGGGCAAAGGAAGCAGACAAGCTTTACTAAAAATAGAGAGCTGCTTTCCTCTTTCCCCCAGAGCCATTTGTTTACCTTCAATGATTGTGAAAGTCCCCTTCCCAGGGAGGACTTGTTTACATTCCAGGTTCTCTCCTCTCTCTGGAAGGGAGGAGGGCCACATATGTCAACCATTCTATATAAGCTCTGAGTCTCATAATTTCAGAGTTCTTCTCTGTAGCGCAGACCCCACTGCATATGCAGGTGAATTGAACATCTGACCTTCATCACATTGTCCTTGGGACATGGAAACTGACTCAAGGTGCTATTCTGGCTATTTTGTTTTGTTTTTTTTCTGTGAGTAATAAATATTCTGTCCTCTGATCCAGAGGTCTGGGGTGTTGGGGTATGTGAGTATGTGTGTGTGTGTGCATGTGTGTGTGTGTGTGTATACACACAAAACTGGCAGACTAATTTCTTAGCTTGTAAGTAGCATAAAAGTCTCAGAAACTTCACAGTTTCAGACTTAATGATTGGATTCCTCCTTCCTCTTATTTTACATTTGGGGAAAGTCAACTCCTGAAAGGAGCCAATTGACTTGGCTAAGGCACACAGCTATTTGGACCTGATAGATTCTGTCTTTTCCATCAGACTTGACAGAGAGCACTGGCAAGGTAATAATAAAACCTGGACTTGAATCTAAGCTCTGCCATTTAGTTGTAGTGGAGGTTTTAAAAAGTGTGGATGAAAGCCTTTATTTTCTCATCTGTGAGAAGCATATAATATTTTGTGCTCTACTGTATTTTATAGCATCACGGTGAGATAAGGAAATGAATTTTAAACAGTAGAGCAATATCTACAGTTTAATAGGATAATAATGGTGATTAATGAGGTGGGGAACCCAGAGGGTTAGTAGCTAACTTTTATTGAAGATTCACTATGTGCCAGGTATTGATCCAAATATCTTATGCATGGGAACTCTTTAGGAAAACTTATGTAGCATTCCTATGTAACATAAAACATAAGATTTACCATTTTAACCATTTTAAAGTCTGAAATTCAGTTGCATTAAATACATTCATGTTGTTGTGCAATTATCACCACCATCCATCTCCAGAACTTTTTCATCTTCTCGAATGGAAACCCTGTGCCCATTAAACAGTAACTTCCCCTTCCTCCTTCCCACGTCCCCTGGCAACCACCATTCTATTTTCTGTTTCTGTGAATTTGACTACTCTAGGTACCACACATAAATGGAGTCATACAGTGTTTCTTATTTTGTGCCTGGCTTATTTCACTTAGCATAGTGTCTTCACGCTTCATCCATATCGTATGTAATATGTGCATGTAAGAATCTTTTGGGTCTAAACATGTTGGACATGTTATTATCCTCTTTTTTTTTTTTCACAAATGAGGCAGTTAAGACACATAAGGGTTACATAACTTCTTCAGGATCCCATAGCTAATAAACAGTAAAAGCTAGATTCAAATGCTGGCTACACTCCTAACCACCCAGCTACATTGCTTCCTGAGGGACTATCTTCAGTTTTTTGCCATTGTACCCAGTCTAGAGACTGACAAGTACAGCAGGTTGACTGACTGTTACTTTTACAGGCATGGTTTATAAGGCGAGAGCATTTTGGGGGGGCCATGGTGTGGACATTGGACATGGATGACGTCAGGGGCACGTTCTGTGGCACTGGCCCTTTCCCCCTTGTCTACGTATTGAATGATATCCTGGTGCGGGCTGGTAAGTAGCTGTGACCTAGAAGCTGGGGTTGGAAGTTGCATAACCAAGCACTGGGTAAGGCCCTTCTGCTAGATCTAAATGCCTTGGTGAGGCAACATGACATTGAGGGGAGAGAAAAAGCTTTGCCAGGCCAATATGTTTTCCAGTCTTTGTTGGGATACTTGGCCCTTATTTGACCTCTTTGAGCTTCCTTTGTTCTATTTAAAATGGGAATAATCTGTATACTCATGACATTATTATAAGAACTAAGTGAGCTATGGAATGAAAATTCTCATAGTTAGCACTCAATATATGTTATTTATTTCTCTCTTTCTCTTACTCTCATGGGCAAGGGCTGAGGGAATTAGGTTTCTTTTGATATCTCTTTTTGATAGTAGAGGCTACCCTGGCAATTAGGAAATGGAAGCTAGCATGCAAGAGGTGAAGCATCCTTACGGATGGTTTATAATCTTCATTTTATGGGTAATGCGACTGGAGCTCAGTCAGGTCAAGTCTTTAGGTGGGCCCCAGTCCCATTGTTCACAGCATGCTGTCCCTAGCCTCCTTGCCTCTGGCTTTGTTCCTGGTGCCTCCTACAACATAGAGACATAAGAAGCTTCTCCTTGAGCATTCATCAAGTAATTATTTAGAATTAGGCCTCGAGGCAAGGTTTTGCTGATGATGCAATCAGAGATGTCAAAGTGAGGGCTTAAGCACAAGGAATGGGTGGGCTCCTTTCTGAGGTCATTCATGGAAAATGTAGCAAATCCACTGAGTGCCTGTGGGTGTCTGGGACCTGTGAACATGGCGGGGTCTGGAGCAAGGCTTCTATGTGGTGGGATTTCATCTATGTCCTCAAGTAGGTATAGTATGAAATCTTACACTTCTGAATTTTTGGAGCAGGTACTTCAGCCCTGGATTGGTTCTAGTTCTGCCAGTAATTAATAGGATGAGAATGAAGTGGTAGGAATCTCATTCTTTTCTGTTGATTTTCTCTAGAGTTCAGTTCAACTTCTTTACCACAATTTTGGCTGTCATCTGCTGTGAATTCTTCAAGCACTGACCCTGAAAGGCTGGCTGTGACCACGGCATGGACCACTGATAGTAAGATTTTGCCCCCAGGAGGAGAGGCTGGGGTCACTGAGATCCACGGAAAGTGTGAAAATATGACTATAACCCCTAGAGGTACAACTGTGACCCCTACAAAGGAAACTGTATCCCTTGGAAAGCACACTGTAGCTCTAGGAGAGAAGACTGAGATCACTGGGGCAATGACCATGACTTCTGTGGGTCATCAGTCCATGACCCCTGGAGAGAAGGCCCTGACCCCTGTGGGTCATCAATCTGTGACCACTGGACAGAAGACCCTGACCTCTGTGGGTTATCAGTCTGTGACCCCTGGGGAAAAGACCCTGACCCCTGTGGGTCATCAGTCTGTGACCCCTGTGAGTCATCAGTCTGTGAGCCCTGGAGGAACGACTATGACCCCTGTCCATTTTCAGACTGAGACCCTTAGACAGAATACAGTGGCCCCTAGAAGGAAGGCTGTGGCCCGTGAAAAGGTGACTGTCCCCTCCAGAAACATATCAGTCACCCCTGAAGGGCAGACTATGCCTTTAAGAGGGGAGAATTTGACTTCTGAGGTGGGCACTCACCCCAGGATGGGTAACTTGGGTCTTCAGATGGAAGCTGAAAACAGGATGATGCTGTCCTCCAGCCCCGTCATCCAGCTCCCGGAACAAACTCCTCTAGCTTTTGACAACCGCTTTGTTCCCATCTATGGAAACCATTCCTCTGTCAACTCAGTAACCCCTCAAACAAGTCCTCTTTCTCTAAAAAAAGAAATCCCAGAAAACTCTGCTGTGGATGAAGAAGCCTAAGCCCCTCTGGTGTCAGAAACCAGGGAAAACCCTTGTCTTTTCTTCTAAGTGACATGTTGGAAGCCTTCTCATCCCGGGGCAAAGCAGGCATCAAAACCAGAATAGGCCAATCTCTTTTCCATTAAATAAACTGTAAACACAAGAACCCACCGAGTTCTCTGAGATTCTTTTCTTGAATTGAACTCTGCAACTCAGTTGTCAGCTTCTTCCTTTCAAGGTCATTTTCCCCACTGCTATTTTTGGAAAGAGGGAGTTTGTGTCTAGTCTACAATGATGCTATCCTGTGTGGATTATGTGCTTCCTTCTTTGCTGTGAGCAACTGCTCACTTCACTGTTGGTTGGAGCCAGAATCTCTTCTAGAACAGTTTCCACCATCCTCAAGGGGAGCTGAGATGGGGAGGGGGAAGTTGAGTCTTCCAATTACATTCTCTCCTTGGTAAAATCCTTGTTTTCCCTGAAAAAACAACCCCATCTATTCTCTCCTCAAGAAGTGTTTGAGGAAAAGGTATAAAAAAGGTACTTTAAAAATTATTTTCTTATAGTATTACCTTCACACTTCTGCTAGGTCTCCTCTAGAAACACCAGTTCTCACACATTAAAACTTTAATCCACTCAGGGAACATTTTCCTAGGCATGACTGTCCCTCATAAGTTGCTATAGACACCAGATCAATTTCTAGCCCTCCAATTCTAGGAGCTAGTGCTACACAGAGTGGGTGCCATACCTATTATTATGTTACTTTTTCTTTTGGAAGTGTAGCCTCCAAGTCTTTAAGCCAGAGTCTGAAATTAAAATGTCCATAGGACCAGGCACCTGCCATAAAGATTGAAGCACGTGAAAGCACATGGCCATTTGCTTAACAGAACCTAGGTCACATATGAAACCCTTTTGCCTTGACAAAAAAATTAGCTGGGCATGATGGCTCACGCCTGTAGTCTCAGCTACTTGGGAGGCTAAAGTGGGAGGATCACCTGAGCCCTGGAGATTGAGGCTGCATTGAGCCACGATGGTGCCACTGCACTCCAGCCTGGGTGACAAAGCAAGACCCTGTCTCAAAATAAATAAATAAAAAAATATTTTTGATGAATCTGAGTTGTTTTTCTGTCCCATCTTCTGCATGCACTTTATTCAAGGGCAACTTGCCTTCCAGTTTCTAATTTATCTATTTTTTTTTCTTATTTATAAGCTTCCTTGAACTTATCTCTTAGGTATACAATGATTGGGTCTTCTGTCTTTATCATCGAATCCAAAGCATAGATCAATGGGTTGTCAAGATTCTTGCCTCTATTTATGACAGCTGTTAGTTGCAGATAATGGAATCCACTAAAGCTAATTTAAGAAAAAAGACATTAGATGGTATTAGAGTTTCTGGGAGGGTCAGGAAACCAGGATGGGATACTACACATCTGGAAACAACATGTCCAGGAGATATGGATGACTCACTTTTTAAGACATACTGTTAAAGGTCTCAGCTTTTACCCTACTTGCAACCTAACAACCTAGCCTTTTGCCGTGTGTGTATGCACACTACAAAAAAACAAGACCTGTGGGTCAGAGACAAGGGAATGTATTAATAATAGCAAAAGCCAGATCAAAATCTTTTGCCAGTTCCACAAGCTACAAGGGAGATGGAATGAGGACCAAACTGTGCCTGCACATTCAGTGGGTGCATTTCAAGAGAGAAACCCAAAATTAGGAAACTATGATGTTATATATAAGGCTGCTGATGACCAGCCCATTTTTCCCCTCTTCTTCTTCGTCCAGAGATAGAGATTTATCTGCAGTTTTCAAGGCTATTTCCTATTTGAATATCCTTGAAAAGATAGTCCAAGATGTGCAGAAAGGCCAGATCCATGGAGAATACCTTGGGACTATTCTAGCGGTAATCCCACTGCTGTCACTGCCTGCAGCTCAGCATCCGTGATGTTGGAGACTAGATACTAGAATCTCTACCTCAGCTTTTCCAGAAGAGCTGGTCTCCCCTATACATTAATTACCTTTATTCTGTAATTCACCTAAATTTCCTATAGGCACATTTGCTTAGCAGAACCTAAGTCACAAATGAAATCTTTACTTCAGGGAATCTGGGAATTCTAGGTTTAGCTTGCTAGCCTATATCACAGGAAAGCACACTGGAGGGGGTTAGAATGAGTACTGAGTTAGGCAATGTTACAGCTGTAAGGATCACTCTGGGGGTATGCAACATACATACATACATACATATTAATTATTCTTCTCATACTTGAGTATCCTAACAACAATTGCAAAAAGCGCTCTTACCTAATATAATGCAAAAATTCATCCTCTCAATGAAAATGTGGTAGTGATGGGGGCAACTAAAAATGGAATACGAACAGTAACAAATGAATTCTACTTAACAACAACAATGTAACTGCACTGAAGAGGCTAGGAAAGAAAAGTACTAACCTTGATAATTTTAACTTTGGAAAATAGGATTTTGAATTTATATGGAAAGGCTAAAGACAAAAAGAACTATACACAAATACTGTACTCTAGTTAGTAAATTTATTTCTTACCGGTGTACACATTAGCAATTCTTTAAAAAAAAAAAAAAACCTTTATTTTAGGTTCATGGGCAGGTATGAAGGTTTGTTACACAAGGTAAACTTGTGTCACAAGTGTTTGTTGTACAGATTATTTCATCAGCCAGGTATTAAGCCCAGTACCTAACAGTTACCTTTTTCCCCTCCTCCCACTTCTCCCACCCTCCACCCTCAAGAAAACCTCAGTTTCTGTTGTTTCCTTCTTTGTGTTTATGAGTGCTCATCATTTAGCTCCCACTTATAAGTGAGAACATGTGGTATTTCTTTATCTGTTCCTGCATTAGTTAGCTAAGGATAATCGCCTCCAGCTCCATCCATGCTCCCACAAAATACATGATCTTGGTTTTTTTTGTTTTTTTTTTTTTTGTTTTTTTTTTTTGAGACAGAGTCTAGCTCTGTCGCCCAGGCTGGAGTGCAGTGGCGCGATCTCGGCTCACTGCAAGCTCCGCCTCCCGGGTTCACGCCATTCTCCTGCCTCAGCCTCCCAAGTAGCTGGGACTACAGGCACGTGCCACCAAGCCCGGCTAATTTTTTGTATTTTTTAGTAGAGACGGGGTTTCACCATGTTAGCCAGGACGGTCTCGATCTCCTGACCTCTTGATCCACCCACCTCGGCCTCCCAAAGTGCTGGGATTACTGGTGTGAGCCACCCCGCCCAGCCGATCTTGTTTTTTTTATGGCTGCATAATATTCCATGGTGTGTATATACCACTTTTCTTTATCCAGTTTGTCACTGATGCGCATTTAGGTTGATTCCATGTCTTTGCTATTGTGAATAGTGTTGCAATGAACATTCACCTGCATGTGTGCTGTATCCTTTTTTTTTTTTTGTCTGAGGCAGGGTGTCACTCTGTCACCCAGGCTGGAGTGCAGTGGCACGATCATGGCTAACTGCAGCCTTGACCTCCCCAGGCTCAGGTGATCGTCCCATCTCAGCTTCCTTGGTAGGTGGGACCACAGGCATGCACCACCACACCTGACTAATTTTTGTATTTTTGGTAGAGACAGGGATTGGCCATGTTGCCCAGGCTGATCTCAAAGTGCTGGGATTATGGCTGAGAGCCGCTGTACCTGGCCACATGTGTCTTTATGGCAGAGTGATTTCTATTCCTCTGGGTATATACCCAGTAATGGGATTGCTGGGTTAAATGGTAGTTCTGCTTTTAGCTCTTTGAGGAATAGCCATACTGTTTTCCACATTGGTTGAACTAATTTACACTCCCATCAACAGTGTATAAGTGTGTTCCCTTTTCTCTGCAACCTCGCCAGCATCTGTTATTTGTTGACAGATACTGACTGTCAACAAATAGCCATTCTGACTGGTGTGAGATGGTATCTCATTCTGGTTTTGATTTGCATTTCTCTGATAACCAGTGATGTTGAGTTTTTTTTTCATATGCTTATCGGCCACATGTATGTGTTCTTTTGAAAAGTGTCTGTTCATGTCCTTTGCCCGCTTTTTGATGGGGTCGTTTTTCTCTTGTAAATTTGTTTAAGTTCCTTATAGATGCTGGCTCTTAGATCTTTGTCAGATGCATAGTTTGTAAATATTTTCTCCCATTCTGTAAGTTGTCTGTTTACTCTGTTGATAGTTTCCTTTGCTGTGCAGAAGCTCTTAAGTTTAATTAGATCCCACTTGTCAACTTTTCCTTTTGTTGTGATTGTTTTTGGCAACTTTGTCATGAAATCTTTGCCCGTTCCTATGTCCAGGATGATATTGCCTAGGTGTCTTCCAGAGTTTTTATAGTTTTTGGTTTTACATTTAAGTCTTTAATCCATTTTGAGTTGATTTTTGTATATGGTGTAAGGAAGGGGTCCAGTTTCAATCTTCTGCATATGGCTAGCCAGTTCTCCCAGCACCTTTTATTGAATAGGGGAGTCATTTCTCCTTTGTTTTTATCAGCTTTGTTGAAGATCAACTGGTCATAGGTGTGCATTCTTATTTCTGGGCTCTCTACTCTGTTCCATTGGTCTATGTACCTGTTTCTGTACCAGTACAATGCTGTTTGGTTACTGTAGTCCTGTAGTATAGTTTAAAGTTGGGTGATGTCTCTAGCTTTGTTCTTTCTGCTGAGGTTTGCCTTGGCTATTCGGGCTCTGTTTTGGTTCCATATGAATTTTAAAATAGTTTTTTCTAGTTCTACGAAGAATGTTGTTCGTAGTTTGATAGGAATAGCATTGAATCTGTAAATTGCTTTGGGCAGTATGGCCATTTTAATGATATTGATTCTTCCTATCCACGAGCATGGGATATTATTCCATTTGTTTGTGTCTTCTCTGATATCTTTGAGCAGTGTTTTGTAATTCTCATTGTAGAGATCTTTCACCTTCCTGGTTAGCTGTATCCCTAAGTATTCTAACCTTTTTGTGGCAATTGTAATTCCCAAATTAGAAAGGGATTGCCTTTCTAATTTGGCTCTTGGCTTGGCTGTTGGTGTATAGGAATGCTAGTTATTTTTGTACATTGATTTTGTATTCTGAAATTTTGCTGAAGTTGTTTATCAGCTGAAGGAGCTTTTAGGCTGAGACTATGGGTTTTTTTAGCTATAGTATCATGTGGTCTGCAAACAGAGATAGTTTGACTTTCTCTCTTCCTATTTACATGTCATTTTTTTTCTTTCTCTTACCTGATTACTCTGGCTAGGAACAATTCTTAAACTACCTCATGTATCTTCCAAAAGTAAGCAAGTAAATAAATGTCCTGTAGATAATGAGAGCTGTGTTTCTCACTGTCAGAGAAATAAGTTATAAATAGGGAAAGAGAAGAGGCTAGAATGAACCCTTTGGTATTGGAATTGAAGGTATTTCAGTATTTAATTAAGGTTTTATTTAAATATATATTTAAAATATATATTACAATAATATATTTTAAAATATATTTAAAACCATGATTATATATCCATACAGAAATTGATATAAAATATGTATAACATATATTTCCCAGCTTTAACTGCTGAGAGGCCCTTGAAACAATTACAATATTATAATAATATATTTATAAATATGTATTTAAAAATATATTTAAAACCATGATTACATATCCATACAGAAATTGATATAAAATATGTAAACATAAATGTATTTCCTAGCTTTAACTGCTGAGAGGCCCTTGAAGCAATTATATTCCAGTAGCAATAAGTATATATAGTGCCCAGATATCGGTTTTTAAATTCCATTCTTCAATAAAAAGGAACCAGGAGTCCCTGAAGAAATGGCTGATTCTTGGGCTGAGGCAGGGAAAGTAGAAGAAAAGACTGTAACATCTTATGGTTACAGAGAGTAGTAAAGAAGTGCTAAAAAAGATGATTGAGCCATGTCAAAAGGATACAAGATCCACCTTGAAGGAGTTCCCAATGGCCAATCAAATCTGGGACAATTTGAGCAACAAAATAAATGATAAATATAATAATAAAATGAATTATAGTTCACAGAATAAAGTAAATATCAGGAGTCTATACTGTTGTCAATAAATATTGAATAAATATATAATTAGGGAAGAAAGGGCAGTTCTTCCTTACAATAGAATGCCAGTTAATAAATGTAAAAGTGGTAGAAACAGAAAATCATGATTTGGCAAACACTACATAGTAATAATTGTTAGAGACAAGAAATATCATGGGATGTTAAAATTATTGTATAAAAATATGATAAGAAACAGGATATTTGCACAGTCTGAAAATATTCTGCTACAAGATATTAATTATAAAGGGAAAATAGTAACTTCATAATGAATGAAGCAAGGCAGACACAATTTAAACCAAATGATCAAAGTTGACATTACTTTCTCATCAACAATGAGACATGTCAACATTATGTAACACCCAATGTACTGAGAAAGACACAATATCAGTTCTGTGATATTCTTTTCAAAAATACGTAACTTGAATTCAAACATAGAAAAACATCAGACATACCTAAATTGAGAAACATTCTAGAAAGATAACTGGCCAGTCCTCTTCAAATGTGTGCAGGCCACTAAAGACAGGAATTGTTCCAAGTTGGAGGAGACTAAGGAGATACAACATCTAAATGCAATATAGGGTCATGGATTGCATTCTGGAACAAAGAAGATGTTTCCTTCAAGATAGGGTTAGTATTGAACAAATCTTACCATGTCCATTGCTACACTGGCCTGAGACACCTCTCACCTGGGTTACTAAGATAGCCTTCTTGGCTTCTCTGCTTTAAACCTTGTCCCCTGTGCTCTATTCCCAACCCAGCAGCCAAACTTTAGTCTCATAATGTTCCTTTGCAATGGCCCCTGCTTTCACTCAGGGTGAAAGACAGTGTTAAAAACGGCCTAGGAGACTCTCCCGGATCAGGCCTCTCTCCTCACACCATGCTGCAGTTCTGCCCATCTCCTTGTTTTCTTGAACACCCAGACACGGTTCTGCCTCAGGACCTTTGCATGAACTGTTCTCCTGGCCCAGAACACTCTTTTCCCAGACGTTCCATAGCTCATTACCTCCATTCTGTCTTTTATTTAATAATTCCTTTTTCAACAAGGCTTAAGCTGATCACCCCGTTGAATACTGCAAACTGCACTCTCCCTGCCCCCACACTCTTGATGTTCCTTACCCCGACTTACTTTTTCTTCATTCCATAGCAGCAAACCTTAGCTTTTTGGGGAACCATCACACTGTTTTCCACAGCAGATGTACTATTTTACATTCCCATCACAATGTATGACAGTTACAATTTCTCTACATCCTTGCCAACGCTCATTTTCTATTTTTTATTATAGTCACCTTAGTAGGTGTGACATTGTACCATTTTGTGGTTTCAATTTGCATTTCCCTGATCATTAATGATGTTGAGCATCTTTTCTTGCACTTATTGGGCATATTTAACCCTCTTTTGAGTTTACTTTTTTTGTTTATTATATTTTAATTTCCATGGTTTTATTTTATAGACTGTTCTTGCTTCATAATTGCCCTCACTAGTTTCATAACCTCCTTTTCTTTTTTGTGGGTGCTATTTCTACCTTATATACTGGAACGTTAATATATGCTATTTCAAAATCATTTTTTCAAATCATTGTCCTTTTATGTGTATTTCCATTCATGTTTTCCCATTTGTCGGATCTGCTGACTGAAAGACATTTTCTAATTCTTGTTCAAAGGATCATCGTCATCTGACCATGCTTCCTCAGTGGCCCTACAGTGTACATCACCCCAGGGCAAGTCCTGTGTTTCCTGCTCAGTTCAGTGTCCTCCTTTTGTGCAGGTGGATCAACTTGAACCAGTATCTGGTCCCTGTGTGATGTGGATCTCGTCTAGTCTCAGACTCTCATTTGTTTCTGCTTTTGGCCACAGGCAAGGTTTCTGCAGCCTTAACCCATCACATTGACTGGGAGTGATTGTTTTCTCCTGTTTCACACTTCTTCCTGTTCAGGTGCAGAGCTGGGTGCTGCAGCAGCTGCAGGCTGCTAGAGTCTGCTGAGAGAGCATGCCAGAACGAGGAAGGGAAAACCCCTTTTCTCCTACAGTGTTTCTCTAGCATCCTGTACTGACAAAGCCTAAAATCATGCCAGCTGGCAAAGGAAAGCTATTTAAAAGGTCCAGTACCATATTTGCAGAGCAAGCAATAGAGAATGAATGAATCTGGAACTGAGAGATAATATACTGATAATGCTCAGTAGATTATAAATATCTTCGCCAACTCTTTAACCCTTTCAGTGATGCCTTTAGATAAACAGAAATTCATAATTTTAATGTGTTCCAAGTTATAAGTTATTTCCTTTATGGTTAATGAGTTATTTTTGTGTCCTGTTTAAGAAATCTTTCTAGCTAAGGTTATGACAATTTTTAAATGTTATTTTCTAATAGCATTACTGTTTTATCTTTCACTAGAATTGATTTTTTTGCATGTGATGTGAAGTAGTCATTTTCCATGTGGTTATTTAATTACCCAGTACCATTCATTGAAAATACTATCCTTTTTTTTTCCACTGCTTTTCAGTGCCACCTTGGTTATAGATAAAATATCCATAATGAATCTATTTCTGGACTCTCTATTCTGTTCTGGTTGTCTGTGTCTCAGTTGTCCCACATGTAACTATATCTAACCAAATAGATCCTTCACCATTTAGTTTCTATGTCTACCCCATCTAAGTAACCACATCTTACATCCTGAGTTTATCATTACCTTAATTTCTTGAGATATAAGTTCAGTTGTGGTAGGTGAATTTCCAGAGTATGTATCTTTATTGTAGTTGTTTTAACTTTACAAAAAGGGTCTCAGATACTTTATGGGGGACTTTTAAAAAACCTAACATTATATGAACTATTTATGGTTTCTCCAGAAAATGTTGAGGGTTTAGTTGAGGCACACATGAGCTAAGCTGTCTCTGTGTAATGTCTGCCAGTGTTTGTCCTAATCTTCATCTCAGGCTAGCTGAACACCTTCCCCTGCCTTAGAATTTCTCATTTCCTTCCCATCTCACTCTCCACACTCTTTTACTCCTGCGTCCTAGGATCACCTTGCAATTAAACTACCTACTCACAATTCAGGCTCTGTTTTCAGGCAAACTCAAACCAGGGCAGTGGATAACTAGCTGCCTCTGGCACCACCCCTCATAGCTAATAATAGCAGAAATAATATGACACTTACCAGGCACTAGACATCAGACTAGGCAATTTACATATTGTACTTTATTTAATGTATATAATACCTTACGATGTAGTCACTACTTGTTATCCCCATTTTGCCAATGATGAAACAAGCACAGAAGTTGTTAAGTTCAGTCATATGCCGCGTAAGACATTTTGGTCAACAATGAACTGCATATATGATGGTGGTCCCATAAGATTATAATATTGTGCATTTACCATACCTTTTCTATGTTTAGATACACAAATACTTACCATTGTGTTATAAACGCCCACAGTGTTCAGTAAAGTAACAGGTTGTATAGGTTTGCAGTCCAGAAGCAATACCGTATACCCTAGGTGTGTAGCAGGCCATACCATCTAGGTTTGTGTATGTACACTCTATGATGTTTGCACAATAACAGAATTGCCTAACAACACATTTCTCAGAGCACATCTCCATATTTAAGGGATGCACAACCATGGCTTGTCTGAGGTCACGTAAGTAAGCGGCAGAGCCAGGATGCAAATCAGAGCTGTCTGGTGTCTGAGTGCATGCTCTCAACCACTTTTCTATACTTCCTCTCACTGCCCAAGGTACATCACGAAGATTTCATAAAAGACAAGTGGAATAGAACTATATGAACAGAATGCAAATGTAAAGTAAGATGCTAATATTTATTAGGCTGAAAGATCACAGAGGGCATAAACAGATGTCTATCCATTATTTAGCCCCACTGCACCTACTCTGTGGTGGTCAGTAGAGCTGGATGATTGATAATTATGCCCACAAGCAAAGTTCATCATGGCCAAGGAATAGAACTTGAACATGCACATTTCCCTTCTTCGGTGAGGCATATGCCCTTTCCCCATATCTACTCTCTAAAGACCTGACAAATGCCAGTTAACCCAAGAGCTGGGAGAACCTGGGACAAGTTGGGTCCCTCATATTACGGCTTAGTTTCCTTAACATTAAGTGTGGCAGAAGCATGATGTTGTAGGAAAAGCATGGACTTTGGAGTTAGGCCCACTTGGATTCAAATCCTAGCTCAGCAATTGCTGGCTGTGTGACATTAGTTATATTATTTAATCTCTCTGAATATCAATCTTTTTATAGAAAAAGTTGGGATGATTTTAGCCTATTCATCAGGACTTAGAAAAATTTGCAAGTGGCAAAAACTCAAAGAAGCTTAAGCAACAAGGGAATGTATTAGTTCTCTTTATGCAGGTGGGTCTAGATCACTGTCTTGTGCTCATGCGCTTTCTCTCTTCCCCCACGCCAACCCCCGCAACACACATATACACAAACATACACATGCATACACAAACACCTCTGCTAGCTTTTATTTCATTTTATTCTGCAGATAATCTTCATCTGGTCAAAACAATCACTACTGAAGTCCCCAAGCTTGTATTTTTCCAGTGGAAATACTTGTTTCACCTAACAATTATATTTCAATCTGAAGAATGACTCTAGGCCACACGCAGTGGCTCACGCCTGTAATCCCAACACTCTGGGAGGCCAAAGCAGTTGGATCACCTGAGGTCAGGAGTTCGGGACCAGCCTGACAAACATGGCGAAACCCTGTCTATACTAAAAATACAAAAAATTAGCCAGGTGTGGTGGCGGGCACCTGTAATCCCAGCTACTCAAGAGGCTGAGGCAGGAGAATTGCTTGAACCTGGAGGCAGAGGTTGCAGTGAGCTGAGATCACACCATTGCACTCCAGCCTGAGCAACAAGAGCAAAACTTCGTCACACACACACAAAAAAAGAATGACTCTAATGACCTCATGGGAGTCATGCATGACTCCCGGTTTCATCATTGTTTCTAGGGGAATGAAGTGCTACAATTTTTCTGGACTGAAAAAAAGTACCCATTGCTGAGGTTAGAGTTGGGAGAGGGTAACACCAACACTGTTCACCTCGTTAGAAGTACACTGGATAGGGGAAAGGTGAATTTCTAAGGAAGGACTTTGGAACCAACAAAATCCAATATAACCTGTGGTATTATGGTGAAAACAGGCTAAAATATGACATATAAAGCACCTGGTATTTTATGCTTGCTTCCGACTACACTGAAGGAACCATTGTTCCTGCTACAACAATTAGCAAAAGCCAACTAAATTACAAAAATTATGGTGTTAAACGCATCACAGCATTATGGAGGCAATCAGGACAAGGTAAATCCAGATAAATCAGATAAATCAGGACTAATAAAATCCAGAGAGATGAGAACCTTTCTGAGGTGAGATGAAAAGAGCCAGCCACCTTTTTTCTCTGCAGACATTTGCCGATTTTGTACACATGCTGAGATATGCCCAAGAAGAAAGCCAATTGCTAAGGAAGGGTGAAATCAGCAACATATTTAAAGGTCACATTGAACTAGAATGACATGTGGAAAACTTCCGGGACCCCAAATACGTGACCAGTTTTCAAAAGGGCATTTGCTAGTTTCCGGAATCATACAGGAGGCTGTTAAACCATACCAAAAGCTTCTAAAAGGCAGAGTGAATTCTCTTACAGTGTTCTCATGGTACTTTTAGAAAACAAAGACTTATCACGGAAAAGTGTTCACCTCAAACGTGTGTCTTCCCTTCAAGACATTTGCCAGATTTGAAGCTGCACGGAGCAGGAAGCCATAGAGTTGAGCTGGGAACTTCTGATGACGAGAGATGAACCCCCTTAAGTCTTTCAAAACTTAAGAAGAGATAGATAACCACCAACTGTCAAACAAAATCCCAGAGAAGTCATTCCAGAGCAACAGGGACAAATTAGAGGCAGATAACTATTTCAAAAGCTGCAACTCAACCCTGACCCAGCTTAATCCCTAAATAGATTGGAATTAGCTGGCTTTGCACTCTGTCTGCGTAACAAAAGAAAAGAAGGATATTTTTAAATGAAACAAAAACTCACCCAGAGTCCTTATAGTTTACTTATACACAATTTCCAGTACACTCAAAAATGACAAGCTCAGAGAAATGACAGTAGAAAGCTGGGACTGCCCCGTCGACACCCACATATTAACCAAGATGAAAACATGCAGCTATGGATGTGTTACAGGGTGAGCAAGAAGGGTAGTGTCTAGGTTCTAAGAGTGTGCAAAAGTATGGGTTTATAGGTACCTCTCATTTGCCGCTGCTAAATCTGTGCAGGAATAAAATGTTTATTATTTAGTTCGATGCTCATGAGTATCATGAGAGGGCTGTGGGGCTTCCTCTTTGGTAAAAATGTTTGGGCCGGGCGCGGTGGCTCACGCCTGTAATCTCAGCACTTTGTGAGGCCAAGGAGGGCAGATCACTTGAGGTCAGGAGTTCAAGACCAGCCTGGCTAACATGGCGAAACTCCATCTCTACTAAAAGTATAAAAGCTGGGTGTGGTGGCACGCACCTGTAATCCCAGCTACTCGGGAGGCTGAGGCAGGAGAATCCATTGAACCTGGGAGGCGGAGGTTGCAGTGAGCCAAGATTGTGCCATTGCACTCCAGCCTGGGCAACAAGAGCGAAACTCCATCTCAAAAAAAAAAAAAAAATTGCTTGATGAGAGGCTGGCAGAGCCCATGGAAACATAGTCCTTGGTGTAGAATTTCACGTTTTCTCAGCTTCCCAACAACCCTGCAGCTGGAGTGGGAACACTCTGGTGTAATTTGTTTCTGCAGTTCAAACACGGACTTCCAGGAACACTGGTTACAGTCAGGTCCTGTGGAAGAGCCAAGGGCAGGGCAGAGCAGCAGAAACTAAATAATTCAGGAAAGAAGTGAAGAGAATATGTTAGTTGAGTTGTGAATGCCCTGGAATTAATGTAGTCTAATACTGAACCCATAGCAAGGGCTTAGGCTTCTCCTCATTTTGAGAAAGAAAACGTCAACATTCTGTGCCTGTTTTCCCTAGGACCCCGTGTGAAGCTCCATGTTGATCCTCCCAGTATCATCATCTACCTTTTATTTTTTCTTTCATTGAAAAGGGTCTTTTTCTTCTGTTATGCAGACAGAGTGAAAGCCAGCTAATTCCAACCTATTTGGGGATTGAACTGGGTCAGGGTTGAGTTGCAGCTTTTGAAATAGTCATCTGCCTCTGATTTGTCCCTGTTGCTCTGGAATGACTTCTCTGGGATTTTGTTTGACAGTTGGTGGTTATCTGTCTCTTCTTAAGTTTTGAAAGACTTAAGGGGGTTCATCTCTCGTCATCAGAAGTTCCCAGCTCAACTCTATGGCCTCCTGCCCCATGCAGCTTCAAATTGGCAAATGTCTTGAAGGGAAGACACATGTTTGAGATGGACACTTTCCCGTGATAAGTCTTTGTTTTCTAAGCACCAAGAAAACACTGTAAGAGATTTCACTATAAGAGAATTCGCTCTGCATTTTAGAAGGTTTTGTTAGGTTACAACATCAGTAGTTTAATATTGAACACATAGCAAGGGCTTCACTAGACTTCTACTAATTTTGAGAAAAACATCTACATTCTGTGCCTGTTTTCCCCAGGACCCAGTGTGAAGCTCCATGTTGATCTTTCCAATATCATCAGTTGCCTAGGACGTTGTGCCTACCTCTTTCCATTCTCATTTAAAATGTGTCTGGTCTCATCATTCCATTCCCAGCTAACAGGAAAAGCTAAACTACAGGCATGATAATATTAAAAGTATTGGCAAAAACCACAATTACTTTTGCACCAACCTAATAGGAGCTCTGTAATAAACTCGAACTGGCAAAATATGTGTATTTTAACAGGACTGTTTGAAGTCCCCGTCTATACAGTTGGCTCATTCCATACTTATTTATTGGGTGCCTCTACATAGAAGCCACTGTGCTGAGTACAGTGTGTGATATTTCATGAACCAGGCTCCCACAAGACTTTAAAAATGATGAGGGGAATGACGTATCCTGGAGAACTCAGAGGCTGCTCTGCACTTTACATACATTCTTTCATCTTAGGCTGAGGAAACACTCAGAGAGCTTATCTACTAATATCATGCTGCAAAGAAGACTGTGCAAACATAGGAAGAGAACACTTAGAAAGTTTTCTGGAGTGTTAAAGGGATGAACACTATCGTGTTAAAGGATTGAGAGGTCAGAGGCATGGATGTGAGACGGGGGAAATTTTAGAATAGCTGGAAAGGTGATGTTTTGGCTGCTTTGACGTGAGTGGGGAAAAGGGGCAGTCTCAGACAAGACAAATGAACAGTTACCTGTTGTCTTCACCTAGGAAAGAGCTGTGGAGATGTTAGGAGCCGTTTTCACATCTGACTTGGATTGTGAAACGCCAGTCACACTTTTCAACCTTTCAAAACCCTGTTTTTGTAAGCTAGGAATATTGCCACCAGGTGGCAGCAGTTATCAGGGTTAAGTTTTTATATGCGGGCAGGAAAAATCTAGGAAAGATGAGAAAAGCAATTAATATACTTTTCCATAGAAAAAATTTTTTTATTATACTTTAAGTTCTAGGGTACATGTGCACAACGTGCAGGTTTGATACATAGGTATACATGTGCCATGTTGGTTTGCTGCACCTGTCAACTCATCATTTACATTAGATGTTTCTCCTAATGCTATCCCTCTCCCAGCCTCCTACCCTCCAACAGGCCCCGGTGTGTGATGTTCCCCGCCCTGTGTCCAAGTGATCTCATTGTTCAGTTCCCACCCATGAGTGAGAACATGCGGTGTTTGGTTTTCTGTCCTTGTGATAGTTTGCTGAGAATGATGGTTTCCAGCTTCATCCATGTCCCTGCAAAGGACATGAACTCATCAATTTTTATGGCTGCATAGTAATCCATGGTGTATATGTGGACATTTTCTTAATCCAGTCTATCATTGATGGACATTTGCATTGGTTCCAAGTCTTTGCTATTGTGAGTAGTGCTGCCATAAACATATGTGTGCATGTGTCTTTATAGTAGCATGATTTATAATCCTTTGGGTATATACCCAGTAATGGGATGGCTGGGTCAAATGGTATTTCTAGTTCTAGATCCTTAAGGGACCGCCACACTGTCTTCCACAATGGTTGAACTAATTTACACTCCCACCAACAGTGTAAAAGTGTTCCTATTTCTCCACATCCTCTCCAGCATCTGTTGTTTCCTGACTTTTTAATGGTTGCCATTCTAACTGGCGTGAGATGATGTCTTATTGTGGTTTTGATTTGCATTTCTCTGATGACGGGTGATGATGAGCATTTTTTCATGTGTCTGTTGGCTGCATAGATGTCTTCTTATGAGAAGTGTCTGTTCATATCTGTTGCCCACTTTTTGATGGGGTTGTTTGTTTTTTTCTTGTAAATTTGTTTGAGTTCTTTGTAGATTCTGGATATTAGCCCTTTATCAGATGGGTAGATGGCAAAAATGTTCTCCCATTCTGTAGGTTGCCTGTTCACTCTGATGGTAGTTTCTTTTTCTGTGCAGAAGCTCTTTAGTTTAATTAGATCCCACTTGTCTGTTTTGGCTTTTGTTGCCATTGCTTTTGGTGTTTTGGTCATGAAGTTCTTGCCCATGCCTATGTCCTGAATGGCATTGCCTAGGTTTTCTTCTAGGGTTTTTATGGTTTTAGGTCTAACATTTAAGTCTTTAATCCATCTTGAATTAGTTTTTGTATAAGGTGTAAGGAAGGGATCCAGTTTCAGCTTTCTACATATGGTTAGCCAGTTTTCCCAGCACCATTTATTAAATAGGGAATCCTTTCCCCATTTCTTGTTTTTGTCAGGTTTGTCAAAGATCAGATGGTTGTACATGTGTGGTATTATGTCTGAGGGCTCTGTTCTGTTCCATTGGTCTATATCTCTGTTTTGGTACCAGTACCATGCTGTTTTGGTTACTGTAGCCTTGTAGTATAGTTTGAAGTCAGGTAGCATGATGTCTCCAGCTTTGTTCCTTTTGCTTAGCAAATTGTCTTGGCAATGCGGGCTCTTTTTTGGTTCCATATGAACTTTAAAGTGTTTTTTTTCCAATTCTGTAAAGAAATCATTGGTAGTTTGATGGGGATGGCATTGAAACTATACATTACCTTTGGCAGTATGGCCATTTTCACAATATTGATTCTTCCTATGCATGAGCATGGAATGTTCTTCCATTTGTTTGTGTCCTCTTTTATTTTGTTGAGCAGTGATTTGTAGTTCTTCTTGGAGAGGTCCTTCACATCCCTTGTAAGTTGGATTCCTAGGTATTTTACTCTCTTTGTAGCAGTTGTGAATGGGAGTTCACTGATGATTTGGCTCTCTGTTTGCCTGTTATTGGTGTATAGGAATGCTTGTGATTTTTGCACATTGATTTTGTATCCTGAGACTTTTCTGAAGTTGCTTATCAGCTTAAGGAGATTTTGGGCTGAGACAATGGGGTTTTCTAAATATACGCTCATGTCATCTGCAAACAGGGACAATTTGACTTCCTCATTTCCTAATTGAATACCCTTTACTTCTTTCTCTTGCCTGATTGCCCTGGTCAGAAGTTCCAACACTGTGTTGAGTAGGAGTGGTGAGAGAGGGCATCCCTGTCTTGTGCCAGTTTTCAAAGGGAATGCTTCCAGTTTTTGCCCATTCAGTATGATATTGGCTGTGGGTTTGGCATAAATAGCTCTTATTATTTTGAGATATGTTCCATCAATACCTAGTTTATTGAGAGTTTTTAGCATGAAGGGCTGTTGAATTTTGTCAAAGGCCTTTTCTGCATCTATTGAGATAATCACATGGTTTTTGTCATTAGTTCTGTTTATTTGATGGATTATGTTTATTGATTTGTGTATGTTGAACCAGTCTTGCATCCCAGGGATGAAGCCGACCTGATCATGGTGGATAAGCTTTTCGATGTGCTGCTGGATTCGGTTTGCCAGTATTTTATTGAGGATTTCCACATCGATGGTCATCAGGGATATTGGTGTAAAATTATCTTTTTTGTTGTGTCTCTGCCAGGCTTTGGTATCAGGATGATGTTGGCCTCATAAAATGAGTTAGGGAGGACTCCCTCTTTTTCTATTGATTGGAATAGTTTCAGAAGGAATGGTATCAGCTCCTCTTTGTACTTTTGTTAGAATTCAGCTGTGAATCTGTCTTGTCCTGGACTTTTTTTGGTCAGTAGGCTATTAATTATTGCCTCAATTTCAGAGCCTGTTATTGGTCTATTCAGAGATTCAACTTCTTCCTGACTTAGTCTTGGGAGGGTGTATGTGTCCAGGAATTTATCCATTTCTTCTAGATTTTCTAGTTTATTTGCGTAGAGGTGTTTATAGTATTCTCTGATGGTAGTTTGTATTTCTGTGGGATCAGTGGTGATAACCCCTTTATCATTTTTTATTGCATCTATTTGATTCTTTTTTCTTTTCTTCTTTATTAGTCTTGCTAGCAGTCTATCATTTTTGTTGATCTTTTCCAAAAACCAGCTCCTGGATTCATTGATTTTTTGAAGGGTTTTTTGTGTCTCTATCTCTTTCAGTTCTGCTCTGATCTTAGTTATTTCTTACGTTCTGCTAGCTTTTGAATGTGTTTGCTCTTGCTTCTCTAGTTCTGTTAATTGTGATTTTAGGGTGTCAATTTTAGATCTTTCCTGCTTTCTCTCATGGACATTTTGTGCTATAAGTTTCCCTATACACACTGCTGTAAATGTGTCCCAGAGATTCTGGTACATTGCGTCTTTGTTCTCATTGGTTTCAAAGAACATCTTTATTTCTGCCTTCATTTCGTTATTTACCCAGTAGTCATTCAGGAGCAAGTTGTTCAGTTTCCATGCAGTTGAGCAGTTTTGAGTGAGTTTCTTAATCTTGAGTTCTAAATTGATTGCACTGTGGTCTGAGAGACAGTTTTTTGTGATTTCTGTTCTTTTACATTTGCTGAGGAGTGCTTTACTTCCAATTATGTGGTCAATTTTAGAATAAGTGCAATGTGGTGCTGAGAATAAAGTATATTCTGTTGATTTGGGGTGGAGAGTTCTGTAGATGTTTATTAGGTCTGCTTGTTGCAGAGCTGGGTTCAAGTCCTGGAAATCCCTGTTAACCTTCTGTCTCGTTGATCTATCTAATATTGACAGTGGGGTGTTAAAGTCTCCTATTATTATTGTGTGGGAGTCTAAGTCTCCTTGTAGGTCTCGAAGGACTTGCTTTATGAATCTGGGTGCTCCTGTATTGGGTGCATATATATTAGGATAGTTAGTTCTTCTTGTTGAATTGATCCCTTTACCATTATGTAATGGCCTTCTTTGTCTCTTTTGATCTTTGTTGGTTTAAAGTCTGTTTTATCAGAGATTAGGATTGCAACCCCTGCTTTTTTTTGCTTTCCCTTTGCTTGGTAGATCTTCCTCCATCCCTTTATTTTGAGCCTATGTGCGTCTTTGCACGAGATGGGTCTCCTGAATACAGCACATTGATGGATCTTGTCTCTTTATCCAATTTGCCAGTCTGTGTCTTTTAATTGGGGCATTTAGCCCATTTATATTTTAATGTTAATATTGTTATATATGAATTTGATCCTGTCATTATGATGATAGCTGGTTATTTTGCCAGTTAATTGATGCAGTTTCTTTATAGCATCGATGGTCTTTACAATTTGGCATGTTTTTGCAGTGGCTGGTAATGGTTGCTTCTTTCCACATTTAGTGCTTCCTTCAGGAGCTCTTGTAAGGCAGGCCTGGTGGTGACAAAATCTCTCAGCATTTGCTTGTCTATAAAGGATTTTATTTCTCCTTCACTTATGAAGCTCAGTTTGACTGGATATGAAATTCTGCATTGAAAATTCTTTTCTTTAAGAATGTTGAATATTGGCCCTCACTCTCTTCTGGCTCGTAGGGTTTCTGCCGACAGATCCGCTGTTAGTCTGATGGGCTTCCCTTTGTGGGTAACCCGATGTTTCTCTCTGGCTGCCCTTAACATTTTTTCCTTCATTTCAACCTTGGTGAATCTGACAGTTATTTGTCTTGGGGTTGTTCTTCTCGAGGAGTATCTTTGGGGTGTTCTCTGTATTTCCTGAATTTGAATATTGGCCTGCCTTGCTAGGTTGGGGAAGTTCTCCTGGATAATATCCTACAGAGTGTTTTCTAACTTGGTTCCATTCTCCCCATCACTTTCAGGTACAGCAATCAAACATAGTCTTTTCATACAGTCCAATATTTCTTGGAGGTTTTGTTCATTTCTTTTCTCTCTTTTTTCTCTAACCTTGTCTTCTTGCTTTATTTCATTAATTTGATCTTCAATCACTGATACCCTTTCTTCTGCTTGATCGAATCGGCTACTGAAGCTTGTGCATGAATCCTGAAGTTCTTATGCCATGGTTTGCAGCTCCTTCAGGTCATTTAAGGTCTTCTCTACACTGTTTATTCTAGTTAGCCATTTGTCTGACCTTTTTTCAAGGTTTTTAGTTTCCTTGCGATGGGTTCAAACATGTTCCTTTAGCTTGGAGGTTTGTTTTTACTGACCTTCTGAAGCCTACTTCTGTCAACTCGTCAAAGTCATTCTCCATCCAGCCTTGTTCTTTTGCTGGCGAGGAGCTGTGATCCTTTGGAGGAGAAGAGGGACTCTGATTTTTAGAATTTTCAGCTTTACTACTCTGGTTTCTCCCCATCTTTGTGATTTTATCTACCTTTGGTCCTTGATGTTGGTGACCTAGAGATGGGGTTTTGGTGTAGATGTCCTTTTTGTTGATGTTGATGCTACTCTTTTCTGTTTGTTAGTTTTCCTTCTAACAGTCAGGTTCCTCAGCTGCAGGTCTGTTGGAGTTTTCTGGAGGTCCACTCCAGACCCTGTTTTCCTGGGTATCACCAGCAGAGGCTGCAGAACAGCAAATATTGCTGCCTGATCCTTCCTCTGGAAGCTTCATCCCAGAGGGGCACCCGCCTATATGAGGTGTCTGTCAGCCCCTACTGGGAGGTGTCTCCCAGTTAGGCTACATGGGGGTCAGGGACCCACTTGAGGAGGCAGTCTGTCCGTTCTCAGAGTTCAAATGCCGTGTTGGGTGAACCACTGCTCTCTTCAGAGCTGTCAGACAGGGACGTTTAAGTCTACAGAAGTTGTCTGCTGCCTTTTCTTCAGCTAAGCCCTGCCCACAGAGGTGGAGTCTAGAGGCAGTAGGCCTTACCGAGCTGCGCTGGGATCTGCCCAGTTTGAGCTTCCCGGTGCTTTGTTTACCTACTTGAGCCTCATCAATGGCAGACACCCCTACTCCAGCCAGGCTGCTGCCTCATAGTTCGATCTCAGACTGCTGTGCTAGCAGTAAGCAAGGCTCCGTGGGCATGGGACCTGCCGAGCCAGGCACAGGAGAGAATCTCCTTGTCTGCCAGTTGCTAAAACCTCGGGTAAAGCACAGTATTTGGGTGAGAGTGTCCCATTTTTCCAGGTACAGTCTGTCATGGCTTCACTTGGCTAGGAAAGGGAAATCCCCCAACCCCTTGTGCTTTCCGGGTAAAGCGATGCCCCGCCCTGCTTCACCTGACCCTCCATGGGCTGCACCCACTGTCCAGCCAGTCCCAATGAGATGAACCAGGTACCTCAGTTGGAAATGCAGAAATCACCCGTCTTCTGTGTTGATCATTCTGGGAGCTGCAGACCGGAGCTCTTCCTATTTGGTCATCTTGGAACGGATCGCTTCCACAGAAAATTAAATCAAATCTTCTTGTCATCATTAAAGTTGATGATTTCATGTACATTAACTCAAAGAGAACTTAAGCACACCAGGCCTAGAGGAGGAGTTTATGTTTAGATAGGAGTTCAGACAAACTGGACTTGAAACCACAGTTCTACCTTTCATTAACTGGGTGGTCTTGGGAAAGTTAAATTAGCCCCACAAGTATATTGCAATGATTACATGAAATATGTGTCTGCTACAAAGTTGGTGTTCAACATGTGGGAGTTATGGTCATTATGAGTGTACAGTGGCTCTTAAGTTTCCCTTTAAAAACATATTTCTACATAAAAACATTAAATCATACATATAAAGTTGAACCTTCTTTGGGGTTGTGCGTAGCTTCAAGGTAGATTCATGACAAAGTTTCATGCCAGCTACAATTTTACTTAGGGAATTATTTTGGTAACTGACCTCTTTCACTCAGTACTTCTGAAAGACTACAATGTAAAAAGCTCTGTATAAATGGTAGGCAGAAGGGCATTCAGTGTTTTGCTTGCTGGATTAAAAAAACTTTAATGGCTTATTGTTGCTTACAGAATTAAATCAATATTGCTTAGTGTGGCATAGAGGATTCACATTACAAGATTCTGATCATGAAAGTCATGCCCATATAGATACCTTGTACTGTATATAGCAACTATCCATGTACTACTCTTGCAGTAGTTCAGTATTCTATCCATGGTGCTCTGGTTGTAGTCAGTTATGAAGCATGCCATAAATAATTTGATAAAATAATAGTTAAAATTCTGAAGGTATTAAATATGCACTGCTTTAGTATCGTAGACTCAATAGTATTCCTATTATAGCATTACAGTCTTTTCCATTTAAAATGGTTTCTTGGCTAGAAAATAATACTCAGAGTAACAATTAGCATGATGAGAATTGGGCACATGCAGGCAAGTCCTGCAAGTGTGTCTTGGGCTGGTGATGAACTGTGCTGAGAATTGCTCTTCTGGCTATGTTGGCCACAATGTTCTCTGAATCATCACAAAACTTCACCCCTTTGTGCCACTGCTGAAGATTTTCATCTGCTTGCAATGGTGTTTTCTTTTTTTTTTTAATTTCTTCACTTCCTCATTTATCATCCTGCAAGATCCTTACTTAAATGTTACCTCCTCTGTGAAGCCTTTTCCATCCCACAAAAAACTACCACTCCCTCTCTCTGATTGCTTTAACATTATTGTTATCCCTCTCACTCATTCAACAAACATTTGAATGCTCAGAGTGGTCACACTGCCTGACAATTTGATTATGTGTCCATTATTCCAGCAGGAATGCAAGCATTTGTATACAAGGATCATTTCCTAATTATCTTTGCACTTCCAGAGCTTAGTACAGAGGTGAACACAGAGTAAGCCTTCAATAAAAATTGACTAGTTTGCTAATGAAGAAAATGAAAGAATAAAGAAAGAAGAATGTCATGGGCTATGAAAATCATATATGGAAGGCTACAGATGAGACAGAGAAGAGGAAGAGAGAGAAGGAGAGGAAGAAGCAGAGAGTAGACTGCAAAGCTCAAGAAAGCACTTGCCCTTAGGAGCTAAAGAGCAAATTGTTCCATTTTCCTGGCGGAAGTTGCCAACACCCATTGCCCAGTAGACACAGGCACCAAGGTCCTCTGACCTCAGTGCATTTTACATTTGTTATCAAATCCTAATCTTTAGATTCCACCAGTAAAGCCATTAATTGCTTTTTAAATTCACTATGGAGTGAATATGAAAGTTCTTGATGCTTGCCAGAGGGAAAAACAAACAGAATCTATGGATTTGTAGGCAAACAAGCTGGTACAAAGGTAGGAAAGCCCATGTACCTAGAGACCAAAAGTGCAGGGGGATCAAAATATAAGAGAGAGAGATCTAGCCTACCTCTGTGTGCCCCAACCTCTGGCTCTGCCATCATGTCCTGCATGTTGGTGGGGAGTTAAAAGTCAGCACCATGAAGATCCTGGTCTTGGTCTTGCTTGCCTACATCTCTCAGGAGGTGTGGAAAGTTATGTATTGGGATTTGGCCTAATTGTGGATTCCAGCCTTCGGGGAGCATGACAAGCTAGGAAAGGGCAAAGGCCTTCCTCTGTAGGTCTCCTGGAACACCAATCAGGTTGACTCTTTTACTGTGAAAGGAACACCCACTGGGGGCTAAGACTTGAAATGGATGGATGGTGTGTGAGTATTTGGGGGGTGGGGTTATGGGTGTGGGTGTTGGCTAAGAAGGAAGGATGCACAATCCTTACCCCAAACTTATAGAAGAGATTGGAAAGAAATAAGATATTTATTCTCTGGAAACAATATATAAACACAATACCCCAAAAATATGATATGGTCTATTCCACACCAGGAATTCTGGAGTGACAGCAGTGGTTAGAATGTGCTAAAATCTGAGAGCATTGCTTATAGAGGGCTTTTCTTGAGTAGAGTACTGGAGAGATTTAAACACTGCAGGTCAGGTCATTGAAGAGATTGCTTTCATGGGGCCAAGACTCATTCCGTTTCTATTTTTGTTTGTTTACCCTATTCTCTGCAGGATCATTCTGAGGAAAGGCAAGTCTATCCGCCAGAGAATGGAGGAGCAGGGTGTACTGGAGACGTTTCTGAGGGACCACCCAAAGGCTGATCCAATTGCCAAGTATTATTTCAATAATGATGCTGTTGCTTATGAGCCCTTCACCAACTACCTGGATGTGAGTGATGGGGCGGGGAATGTCCATAACCCTTGTATAACCACCATTCTTAGATACTCACTTATACTGCTCATTAGCTGTAATTTTTGACTAGTTACTAAACCAAAGTCTCACCCTTTCTATGGAAAGAATCAGAACAAGTTATGAGTTGGTACCATCTAAGAGTATAGTAATTCCTTTTCTTTCCTCCTTTCCTCTCGTTGCTGGCCCATCCTGCTAAAGCCTCATTTACATGATTAAGAGATTCATGGTGGGAATGTTCAAGTCAACTGAGAGATCCAAAGGAAGTCCTGGCAATGAGCTGCAGGGGAAAGAAGGAAAATACATGTGAGGATGTCAGGCAAAAGCTCCAGTGGCTCAGATACTGCATCTCTCCCTCTTTGGAAAGATGCAAAGTCCCCGGAGCAAATGTCTGAATATTCTCAAGCCCACCAAGTCTCATCAGGGCATCTTGACATTCTGCTGTCCTGTGGACTGTCCTTAGTGAGATGTTATGTTGCATGTCTGAGCTGGAAGCCACGTTAGGGATCTTCTATTTCAACACCCACATTTTATAGGTGAAGAAACTAGAGGTAGGTAAGTGACATGACTGGCCCATGTTAACTTAGAGCTTAAACTACCTTCCAGTGAAGAGCTCTTCTTTCTCTCCATGCTGTCTCTTTTCCAGCTGCCTAGCACCCTCTGCTAGTGTGTGACCAGAAGGGAGGAAAATGGTGGTAGAAGTATCTAACATTGAAAGAGAAGGGGAGAAGAGTGTGATGGTGGTGGTGGTGGTGGTGGTGTGTGTGTGTGTGTGTGTGTGTGTGTGTGTCTGGACACCAGGAAAAAAGAAAAAGTGATTGTTTCCCCAATTCTGGGTACTCCAGTATAGCATGATAAATCTGTGAAGATATCAGCTTATTGTAAAAGTAGAAAACACTTTGGAAGAGGATATTGTCTTGCCATACTAAGTCTTAGCTGGCCAAAGGCTTGCAATTAGGGACAAAAAGTAGAATCTTGAAAGGAACTAACTCCAGATGGGAAGGAAAACTTGTGGGATAAGCCTCTCATTCCCCCAAGAAAATGATTTGGGCAGAGGGTGGCTTCCTGTGGGTTAACTGCTTGTCCGTTCTTAAGACAAGGCTTGGTTACTTAATGAAGGTGATAAACCTTTCTTTTGCAGTCTTTCTACTTTGGGGAGATCAGCACTGGGACACCACCCCAAAATTTCCTAGTCCTCTTTGATACGGGTTCCTCCAATCTGTAGCTGCCCTCCATCTACTGCCAGAGCCAAGTCTGCTGTGAGTATGTCACTACCACCCTCCACACCATGAGGGGAGCAGATAGAGGAGTGGAGCTGGGATTTGAGTGCAGGTGAATCATTCTAAGTCCAGAGTTCTTTGTCCATCACGTATCCTCCTTCTGTTTGGAACATTGAGAAATTGCTCTCAGTCTGTCACTTCAGCACCACTTTTCAGAAGTGCTGACTTTTTTGGAGACAGACAGCAGAAACAGACTAAGGCTTCCTTTCCTTCCCCTGAGCGCCCTTCTGTGGCCCAGTGTTTCTGGTAAGTCTGAGGCAATCTTTCTCTCAGGGAATGGTCAGCTGGAAGGAATTTGGGCAAAGTGTGTCATAGACTTTTCTAGGACTAGCACAGTTTGTCTACAAGAAAAGATCTAGGGTGATGCCCTATCCCAGCCTTGGTCTGATGAGCCCAATCCATCAAGGATAAGTAGCCTTCACGTGTTTTGGAAAACTGCAAATGAAATGAATATTCCATTCTGTCTTTCTATAGCCAATCACAACAGGTTCAATCCCAGCCTGTCCTCCACCTTCAGAAACGATGGACAAACCTATGGACTATCCTATGGGAGTGGCAGCCTGAGTGTGTTCCTGGGCTATGACACTGTGACTGTAAGTAATGTTTTCATAGCCTCTGAGGGTCTGTGGTTTGGCTCCCATTTTCTAGAGTCTTACACTATTAGAGAAACCCATGCTTACTAATTAGGTCCAAGCTTCCCAGAAGCTGAGTGTTGGAAGGAACACAAAGACTAATTCAGCCTTCATCCCAGGACGTAAATCGCTTCCACAGCAGTCCTGACTGCAGGAAGCCTTTATGTTGTGCTAAAGTTGTTGTGTCTTCTTGCAGCTTTGCTGTGTGGTCCTAACTCTGCCCTCTGGAAACACACAGATAAGTCTATTGCCTCTTCCACCCAGTTGCACTTCGCATATTTGAAGACAAGCCTTTTTACTATTTTCTTATTTCTTTAGTTCAAACACCTACAATTCCTCTAATCATTCTTGCACATAGATTGTTCAGTATGAAACCATTCAATTCTTTCACTGTCCATGGAAGTGGAAACTATAACTCCAGAAAAAAACTTCTTCCACTTCTCCAACATCCACACTCTTTTTTCCGAGACACACCTGATGAGAAAGGTTGCTCTTTCACCCTCCACTCCCACCCTTGTGGTTGGGTTCTGCATGAAAGAAGCTGATGTTCTCTCCCCAGGAGGGTTTCTGGATTCCATACCCTGTGCACATTAGTCTGGGAAGCCATGCAATTTGTGCACCTGAATTGTCAAGCCATACTGTCTGCTTGCCATAGGTTCATAACATCGTTGTCAATAACCAGGAGTTTGGCCTGAGTGAGAATGAGCCCAGCGACCCCTTTTACTATTCAGACTTTGACGGGATCCTGGGAATGGCCTACCCAAACATGGCAGAGGGGAATTCCCCTACAGTAATGCAGGGGATGCTGCAGCAGAGCCAGCTTACTCAGCCCGTCTTCAGCTTCTACTTCACCTGGTGAGAACCTTCGTCCTGTGAAGGGCTCAGAAAATGAGGGTCCCTGGGGATTCTAGGCAACCCAAGATCAGATGGGGTCCAGGTTATAAGGTGTTCTGACACAATGAGTATAACTTGCTATACAAAATTCATGTATTTCAGAAAATTTGGGAAAAATCTTATTTTAAATACACTTTAACAATTTTAAATTAGGCCAGGCGTGGTGGCTCACACCTGTAATCCCAGCACTTTGGGAGGCCGAGGCAGGCGGATCACGAAGTCAGGAGATTGAGACCACCCTGGCTAACATGGTGAAACCCCATCTCTACTAAAAATACAAAAAAATTAGCCGGTCTTGGTAGTGGGCACCTGTAGTCCCTGATACTCGGGAGGGTGAGGCAGGAGAATGGCGTGAACCTGGGAGGCGGAGCTTGCAGTGAGCCGAGATCACGCCACTGCACTCCAGGCTGGGCGACAGAGTGAGACTCCATCTCAAAAAAAAAAAAAAAAAGAATTTTAAATTATATTAGCTGTAAGCCACAAGATGACCTTTCATAAAATTGAGTAACAGTCCCTCAGTGTTTATTTAGGAAATCTGGAGACTGCTGTATTAGCACTAAAGAACAAGCCACATGAGCATTACTAGTAAAGAGAACTATAATGGAGGAATAATCATAATACTATGTCTGGCTTTATAAAGTGTTCTCCTAGCAATTACTTCAAATGACATCTCAAAAATCCTCATATTAGCCCCATCTTGCCAGGGAGCAAATGGAGGCTCAAACAGCTTGTCAGAATTGATCAAGGTCACTCACAGTAAGTGTGAAGCCAAGACTCAAACTCAAATATCTTGATCACAAATCCAGTACTTTTCTTGCTCCACTTGGCACTGTACTTTTGTGCCAAACTTTATCCCTTGTTCCTTCTTTCCCAAACACATGATCCTCAAAGTACCTAAAGTTCACATGTCTTTCTTCTACGACTGGCCAGCATAAGAAGCACAAAAGGCCAAAGTCCTTCCAGTATTGTCTAGTTAATGACCTGACCATGATGGGAGCATGCCTCTCAGAGCGCCTCGCGGGCTCTCTCAGGCCCCGTTCTAGTTGTCCCTAAAACGGTTTCCTATTGTTCTCACTTCCTCCCAGGGAGGGTTTCTCTGGGATGCTTTTCTAGTTTGTTTTTGGGTGCCTGGTTTCCACTTCCGTCTTCTTTATGGGCATCGTGTCTAGTAGTTTGGTGTTACTCTGAGAAGTCTCCTCCTGTGCCTCAGCAGGCTGAGTCTGAGAGCAACTCAGAGGACAGCGTCCCCTCGTCTGCAGCACCCCTGTGTCTGAGGGAGTGCAGGAAGGAGAGAGGAGAGAGAACTGCCTCACCGACTGTGTGTGGGCACTCACGTTCTTGTACATCTCTTCCTAGCCAGCCAACCCGCCAGTATTGTGGAGAGCTCATCCTTGGAGGTGTGGACCCCAACTTTATTCTGGTCAGATCATCTGGACCCCTGTCAGCCCGTAACTGTACTGGCAGATTGCCATCGAGGAGTAAGTAGAGAGGGCAATTCCTGTGGATTGTGGACACTCGCAGGGTGTTCCTCCAGCTTAACAACATTTCCTGTTCCTCCACATCACACAGGTTTCTTAAATAGAATCACCAGCCTCCAGGCTGAGGTGGTCCTGGAGCTCAGTAGACTCTGGTGTCTAGCTCTGGTCTGAACTTTTTGAACTGGGTACTGAGTCTCAGCATGCTGGCAGGTTGGCCATTCCTAGGCACTGTGAATCTGTTCCTATTCTTGGAAGCTTGATGATTTCCATCAGCATAATCTTTACTACTTCTATCATTAGTGAAAGTAATAGCTGTCATTGATGTTTGATATGTGCCAGGTGCTATGCTAAGTATTTGATTTATTTATTTATTTGAGACAGGGTCTCACTCTGTTGCCCAGGCTGGAGTGCAGTAATGTGATTTCGGCTCATTGCAACCTCTGCCTCCAGGGTTCAAACGATTCCCCTTCCTCAGCCTCCCGAGTAGCTGGGATTACAGGCGCCCACCCCTACACCCAGCTAATTTTTTGTACTTTTAGTAGAGACAGGCTTTCACCATGTTGGCCAGGCTGGTCTCAAACTCCTGACCTCAAATGATCCACCCACCCTGGCCTCCCAAAGTACTGGGATTACAGGTGTGAGCCACCGTGCCCGGCCTAAGTACTTTAAATATATTATTGCATATAATTTCCACAAGAGCACTATAAGGAGGTCAGCAATACGTTTCATTCTATCGATAAAGAAGTCAAGGCTCAGAGGGCTAAGTAACTTGTCCAAAGTCACATTTTATAAAGCCAAAATTTGAGCACAAGCTTATTTGATCCGCGTTGGGATCAGTTAAGCTTGTGCTCAAATCAGTTATTTTTACACCTGAGAATTCTCTATCACATGCCAGTTAAAGACAAAACTCCTTTGATCTGTATTTAAGACCATACAGAATCTCGGCTCCACCTATCAATATAGCTTCTCAGTGCTTCCAGATATTAAGCACAGACTTCAACAAGTCCTTGCACCTGGCCATGATTTTCTTGCTTTTGTTCTTTTAATCATGCCACCTGGAGTGCTTACTTGACTTGTAGGCATTCCTCAAAGCCCAGATTAATTAGTATCTTCTCCTAAAAATCCTCCCAGGGGCCCAGAGCACAGTGATTTCTTTCTCTTTTGATCCTATAATGCTTACCTGTGCTGCTGTCACAATTAACATGTCCTAGTCACTGGGTAAGGCACTGGAGAAACAGCCCAACCTACAAGAGCAGAAAGAGGTAAGAGCTTGGCAGATTATTTGTGCATGGAATGGAGGTGGCTTTTCATATAGCCCAATTCTACTCATCCTTTATCACTTCCTCAGAAAAATCCTTGTTCTGGCTTCCCAAGAAAGATCAAGTCCCCTTTTCTCTGGCACATTGTAATGTGCACCTATCAGGGCTGCAATGAGACATCATTTGTGTGTTTTTGTTAAATGTCTGGGCTCTCCACTAGACTGTGGTGTATGTCTTGTTTACCATTGTATCTCCGAGTGCCTTGCATGATACCTGGCTCATAGACAGATCTCAACACATCTATATGGGATGAAGAGGAAGGGTAGAGCAGTAGAAAAAAGCAAGACAAGGAATCAGAGACTGCATCATGTAAGAGTCTATGTACCACATTACGGGGTTTATCAGCTACTGCCTTACAGTGTTAGTCATGGCTTGATTAATTGTGTTGTTCCATCTCTATTAGAATAAGCTCCTTAAAGCAGTAAGCACTAATTACCCACTCCTTGTATCACCATAAATCCTGAAAGAGTGTCTTCCACATAGTAGGTGCTCAAAATGCAGCTATTTACTGATTACAAGCCCTGACTGTGTTTGGCACTATGTGCTGGACCCCATATAGGTAGATGAAAGAAGATAAGACACAGGCTCTGTCTTCCTAGAGCTTTCAGTCAGAGCTGGAGTGAGCACCAAATCAAGACTGAGGATACGACTCCAATAATGACAAATGGACAGAAGCATTTCATGGGCAGATGTGTAATAGGAGTGGCTTGGCTGCCTGGAAGAAGAAGAACATCAGAGCTGCTGGGTTGGAGGACAAGGGATGACATGGCTCATGTTTTCAGTAGAGGCACTTGATTCCCTTTGTCCTGGTGTCCCCCTCAGATTTGCCATCGGTAACCAGGCCACTGGCTTGTGCTCTGAGGGTTGCCAGGCCATTGTGGATACCGAGACCTTCCTGCTGGCAGTTCCTCAGCAGTACATGCCTCCTTCCTGCAGGCAACAGGACCCCAGCAGGCTCAGAATGGTGACGTGAGTACCAGAAGCCAAGAGGTTTTCTGCACACCCAGGCAGACTCACCACAGGTGCCTGAGTGCAAGGAGTTCACAACAGAGAGGAGGAAGGGTTGGATGGGACCTGAGGCTTTGGCCGGAAAGATGGGTGGGGACACAGCATGGCATTTCTGTCATGAACCTTCAATGCAAGGAAGGGGAAGGGGAGGGAGTAACACCATCTCTACTCAGACTGGTTGAGTATGGGGTGAATGGTTGTCAGGAGGTGCTGTGAATCCACAGTATGTCCTAGGGGCAAATTTCAGCTTTCTGGCCACTATCACTTGACTGCTCTGAAATATTAGAGTCAACACATTTTTCCATTCCTTTTGGTTTCTTTCTCCCATAGGAATACATCTTTGGATTTCACTCTGAGTAGCCTCCTCTCCCCACACCTGCCCGCTTTGTACTCATATCTGTTGTTTGCTTCTCCTTGCATGCAAGAATCTATTCCCAGACTAAATCTTGATTTCTCAGGTTGTGTGTGTGTGTGCACATCTGTACACGTGCATGCATACATGCGTGCACATGCTATGGTGAGTACATGGACGTGTGCACACAAATGTGGATATGAGTGTGTGGGAGAGTATGCTTCCACAAGTGTGTGCCCCATGTCTTTTCTCTGTAATTTTCACTTTCCAAGGCTAGAGACTCTGTTCTAGAATAAGCCTCCTTCTTTATGACCATATCAATACAACCAAAATCCAAAAGCTGAGATGTATTTAAGGAGAGGACTCAAGAAAGCAAGAGGGCCTGGTCAGAGTTATTCCTGGGAAGGCCAGGCCTTCCATGCTCTGAAACAGCCTTTACTGGAAGGTGGAGGGGAAAGTCTTACAGGGAACTCACGGGAACAAAGTGGGCCTTGGGCCTTTTACCTGGGCTTCTAGTCCCCTGGAGTGCCTCAGCTTTGCCTCTTCCCCCTCTCAGTTTGTGGTCAACTGCAGCTACATACAGAGCATGCCCACCATCACCTTCATCATCGGCGGGGCCCAGTTTCCTCTGCCTCCCTCTGAATATGTCTTCAATGTACATATTCACTCCTGGCTTCCAGGGTACTGGGATTTGGTGGGCCCAAACAGGTGTTCCGTGTCCCAGCTCACATCTGGGCACCTATGATGTGAGCGGGGCACCAGGGACCAGGCTGAGACTGAACAAGAATTCGGGGCCCCCTACAGGTGTCACGTAATATAAGGTGGGGAGTCCCTGTGGGGAAAGGTCTCTACAGTACAGCTAGTTATGTCTTCATGTCCTTTGTCTCTTCAGAACAATGGCTACTGCAGGCTTGGAACTGAGGCCACCTGCCTGCCCTCCCGCAGTGGGCAGCCCCTCTGGATTCTGGGGGATGTCTTCCTCAAGGAATATTGCTCTGTCTATGACATGGCCAACAACAGGGTGGGCTTTGCCTTCTCTGCCTAGACTAGCCAGCGACTGCTGTCTCTACCCCTCTCTGCAGGACTCTGGGATTGTTCTGATGTTTCTGTGGGTCCATGGCAGCATTTTTAATGATCCTGACTCCCTCTGCTCACTAGAGTCTTACTTTCTGCAACTAATAAATTGGAAAACTCCAAACACCTTTAATGTTCATTCCCAGATGTCTTTTTTGGTGTGTTCTGCTTTTTGTGGCTTATTCTAAGTTGAAACTTAGCAACAGTTACTACAGGGGATCAGTTAGTTAATCGATGGGAGAGAAAAATAAGGAGGTAATCTCTGCCTGAGTATGGAACTCCAGCATAGGCATTAAGGACACAGTGATATCTCCTTGGGAAGCTCTGGTTGGAGGTTATCACCCACCTACCTCTCTCTCCCCCAATATTGTTTTTGACTATCCTTAGAAAGAACGTGTACCAGAGCAATGGCTGACTCAAGAACAATATAAGGGATGAGGGAAGCAACAACCTTAGAGAGCATTTCAAACAGGTGTTTTGCAGGCCAAATATAATCAGAGAACATTTTTTTTTGAGGGCAGCAGCACAATTTTAATGAATTTGCAGATTAATGGTCATTATCATAGTCCTCATTACTCCCTACTGGTACTCGGGCTACCTCACATGTTCACTTTGCCTGCCTGAATCTGAAAGCATTTGAGTTTAAAATCCCCAGTTTTATTTTACATTGGAAGGAGCCTGAGGCATGGAGAGGTGATCATACAGTTGGTGTTCAAGTCAGATTCAGATTCAATGTAATAATTTTTTAAAGTTATATTTCTATGTAATAAAGTCCACTATGCCATGGGGACATGGAAAATATAAATGAGGCATGGTTTTGATCCTTAGGAATTTTTAATCTGGAATACCTTACTTTTGAGCATTTCCCTGTTTGAAGTGAGCTCAGTGGTTAAATTTGCATTACACAGTCAGTAACCAAAAATCATTTGAAGTGAGGTCGTCTAATTTAGAAGGTTGCCTCAGGGAATTAAAAACTGTCATTGCCTTGGGATCTCAAAAAGGTTTCAATAGTGGAGATATCACATTAATTCCAGTATAATTAGAAAAATGTATCTGGATAAAAACATGCAAAACATTCTCAACTCACCCATGTATGGGGTAGGGGGCAACAGTGTTGAATGTCAGTGTCCATTTTCTTACATAGTTTTATTGGTCCTCTCTACTGACATGTAATAGAGCTGGTCTTATTGAACTAAGTAATGTCTGCATTGGGTCATTTCTTTTTTCTTCAGTGTTGTGTTTATCTTATGGAAGAAATAGATTCTTTTCATCAAAGGGAAGGGCGATGCAGGTCAGCCCCAATGCACCTCCATCCTCCTCCCCCGCCCTGTCAGTCACTGTTCTTGCCTCAGCATCACCTCTGTTTATGCTCTGACTTTTGACCTCAAGCATTGAGAGCAAAGATCTTGAGTTAGAGATATAATTTCTTTTTTTTTTTTTTTTGACATGGGTCACTTACTTTAATAACAATACATATACCATGTTATCACCATGGAATGTAAATTCAGATTAGACAAGAGAAGTTCACAAGTGTAATAGCTTTCTGTATATTATATAAAAGTTTGGGTATACTGTCTGCCAAACCAGCTTGCTCATAAGTCTTTTATCAAATCCGTTATAGGTAATTTGTTCAGTTCAATGTTTACAATTCTTATTGAAAAAATAAGCAACACACACATTTAAAAAGTGTTCATTTACCTTTGCATGAGTGCTTAAAATACATATTTCTGTTTCAAGATGACATTTAAAAATTATTCTAATATATCAGCAGCAAAAATATAATTTGCAATTACAAAAAACTAAACTAGAATCCTTTATTCTCATGTTTACAGTTGTGATTTTTTAATAAATACTACTATTATGCAGCTCTATTGTTTAAGCTTTCTGGATTTGGCTTAAACACATGCACATATATTGTCAATTGTGGGAAGCTTTACAAGTTATATTCCATGCACTTTTTGGACAGAGTTCTAACAGAGCCAGCCAGTCCACAGAACAGGCAGACAAAAGTTGAATTAACTGGGGCAAATAGGACTCTTATACAACATCCAAAATATGTGAGATTCTGCAGCAAACTGGGAGTACCTTCAGGATTGGTCTGTTATCTTCTTTAGAACTAAGTTCATCTTAAAAATTTAAGAAGGTGGACATTTCAACACCATCAAGTGCATTTAGGTGACATGTTTAAGTTAACTTGACTTCCTTGAATGACCTAGTTAGTAAACTAGTCACTAGTAATTCGGTCACCAGGCAAATCAAGCCTGCAAGAAAGGAAGCCAATATTCAAAATGCCATGTTACCATCTAAACCCATACAAATTAGTTTATTTCCAGCAATAATAGGTAACTTCAATAATGAGACGTCTAACTAAAGCAAGCTCCTCCAACAAGACTAAGACAGCATCTCTTCTTCTAAGGCTTAGGTTTTGCCTAGAATTCCCGATACATGAAGTAGCCCATACCAACAGTCATTGCTCCTACAACAAAGCCTTGGGTTGCCATATGCATGTGGATCAGATGAATGGACATTTTAGTATTTCCCTTGCTCTTCAGTTTGTATAATCCATATGCAACAATTGCTGCAAAACCTGCTGCTCCAACAGGTACGAATGGTGCCTCTTTAGTTTTTCGAGTAAGTTTGGATCCCTGATCTTCCTCATGTGAAGGAAGGGAAACACCTGTGTCTGTTGACATAGTGATTGCTTGAAGAATCTCCCTAGAGCGAGAAAACCTTTCACCCACCAACCGGCTTCTGATCCCTGCACGCGCACCCAGTCCTCCCGGCTTCTCCCCACCCCTAGAGATATAATTTCCAGAAAGTTCTCAACACAGTTACTGAGAGATAATCAAATTCAAGTTACTACAAGTCATCTGAGGTTTTTCAGCAGGTACCAGTCTGCTAGAACAATTACAGTATTTGCAAAGCCAGAGTTAGAAAATTCTATCTGCTCCCGTTTTCTAGAAAATAACAACCAACGGCCAGGCGCGGTGTCTCACGCCTGTAATCCCAGCACTCTGGGAGGCCGAGGCGGGTGGATCACAAGGTCAGGAGATCGAGACCATCCTGGCTAACACAGTGAAACCCTGTCTCTACTAAAACTACAAAAAATTAGCCAGGCGTGGTGGCGGGCGCCTGTAGTCCCAGCTACTCGGGAGGCTGAGGCAGGAGAATGGCGTGAACCCGGGAGGTGGAGGTTGTAGTGAGCCGAGATCGTGCCACTGCACTCCAGCCACAACAGAGCAAGACTCCGTCAAAAAAAAAGAAAAAAAAGAAAAAGAAAAAAAGAAAGAGAATAACAACCAACAAAAGCTCCCCCATAGCTTAAGGTCTGTTCCACTTTGCTTATCGTTTGTGGGGTGGGGACAAGACTTATTAATATGTGAGTGTTCCCCACTTTCCTTTAACACCCTTCTGTCTTCATTGTACTAAATAAAGACCTTGGCTGTCCAATTCCTATATTTTTGTGAAAGAGAATTGGGGGACTGCCAAAAACCAACAGATATTGGTGAGAATATGGAGAAAAGGGAACACTTATACACTGTTGGTGGGAAAGTAAATTAGTACAACCACTATAGAAAACAATAGGAGATTTCTGAAATAACTGAAAATAGAACTACCCTTTGATCCAGTAATCCCACTCCCAGGTACCTACCCAGAGGAAAAGAAATCATTATATCAAAAGGACACCTGCATTCACATGTTTATTGCAGTACAATTCACAACAGCAAAGTCATGGAATCAACCTGAGTGTTCATCAACAGATGATTGGATTAAAAAATGTGGTATACACATTTCATGTAACACCACACAGCCAAAAAAAGAATGAAATGTTTTTTGCAGCAACATGGATGGAATCAATGGGAGAGAAAAATAAGGAGGCAGTCTCTGCCTGAGTATGGAATTGCAGCATAGACATTAAGGACACTGTAGTCCTTATCAGAGGCTATTATCACAAGTGAAATGACTCAGAAACAGAAAGTCAAACACCAAATGTTCTCCCTTGTAAAAAGGAGCTAAACATATGGAGTGGAATTGTAGACAATGGAGACTACAAAAGGTGGGAGGGTGGAAGAGGGATGATGGATGAAATACTGCCTATTGGGTGCAATATGCACTATTCAGGCGATGGGTACACTAAAAGCCCATACTTCACCATTACACGGAGGTAACACACCTCCATCTGTATCCCTAAATCTATAAAAATAAAAACAATAAAAATAAAAAACAAAAAGAGAAAGAAAACACATGGATAGCTAATGACAGTTTCAGTTTCCAACACAAAAAAGACAACTTTAAAAACATGAAAAAAATTTGTGGACTGGGTTGAGAGAGAGGGGAAGGTCTGCAGAAGTAGAAGGAAAGATGAGAGAATTAGACAGAAAGAGCTGGAAAATAACAGGGACGTGAAAAGGCATAGAAACTATGAAGGGTGGATGTGAAGACAGGGATTTGGGCTTTATTGGGGGAAATGTCCCAGCCCAACATCTCTGGAGGAGAATGTAGAATGGCAATTTTGAAAAATGTTGCCAATGCTTACATAGTAGACCCCTTTAAATATTCTTTAAGAGATGTAAATAAGCATTGGAATTCCTATTTAATTGCTATTTGTGCAGGTGTAATGTGCTTGTTAAAATATTTTAATTTTTAATTTTTGTGGGTATATAGTAGGTGTATATATTTATGGGCTACATGAGATATTTTGATACAGGCATGCTATGCATAAAAATCACATCAGGGTAAATCAGGTATCCATCACCTCATGAATTTATCCTTTGTGTTTCAAACAATCCAATTATACTCTTTTAGTTATTTTAAAATGAGCAACTGAATTTTTAAAAATATAGTCACCCTGTTGTGCTAGCAAATATTAGATCTTATTTATTCTTTCTACCTATTTTTTTTTTTAACTCATTAATAATCCTTCTTTTCCCTCCCTCCTGACTACCCTTCCCAGCCTCTGGTAACCATCCTTCTATTACTCTATCTCCATGAGTCCAGTTGTTTTAATCTTTAGCTCCCACAAATAAGTGAGAACATGCAATGTTTGTCTTTCTGTGCCTGGATTATTTCACTTAACATAATGACTGCCAGTTTCCTTCATTTTGTTGCAAATGATGGGATCTCATTGATTTTTTATGGATGAATAGTAGTCCATTGTGTATATGCACCACGTTTTCTTTATCCATTTGTCTGTGAATGGACACTTAAGTTGCTTCCACATCTTGGCTATTGTGAATAGTGCTGCAATAAACATGAGAGTGCAGATATGCTTTTGATATGCTGATTTCCTTTCTTTTAGGTATATACCTAGAAGTGGGATTCCTGGATCATATGGTAGCTCTATTTTTAGTTTTTTGAGGAACCTCCAAACTGTTCTCCATAGTGATTGTACTAATTTACATCCCCGCCAATAGTGTATAAGGGTTCTCTTTTCTCCACATCCTTGCTGGCATTTGTTATTGCCTATTTTTTTAAATAAAAGCCATTTTTTAATTAGGGTGAGATGATATCTCATTGTAGTTTTAATTTACATTTCTCTGATGATTAATGATGTGAACACCTTTCCATACCTATTTGCTAGTTGTGTGTCTTCTTTTGAGAGATGTCTGTTCAGATCTTTTGCCCATTTTTAATCAGATTATTAGGTTTTTCCTATAGAATTGTTTGACCTCCTTATATATTCTGGTTATTAATTCCTTGTCAGATGGGTGGTTTGCAAATATTTCTCCCATTTTGTGGGTAGTGTCTTCACTTTGTTGTTTCCTTTGCTGTGCAGAAGCTTTTTAACTTGATGTAATCCCATTTGTTCATTTTTGCTTTGGTTGCCTGTGCTTGTGGGTTATTGCTCAAGAAGTCTCTGCCCAGTCCAATGTCCAGTAGAGTTTCCCCAATGTTTTCTTTTAGTAGTTTCATAGTTTGAGGTTTTGGATTTAAGTCTTTAATCTATTTTGATTTGATTTTTGTATACGGTGAGAGATAGGTATCTTGTTTCATTCTTCTGCATATAGGCAATCTAGTTTTCCCAGCATCTTTGTCAAAAATGAGTTCACTGTAGATGTATGATTTATTTCTGGGTTCTCTATTCTGTTCCACTGTTCTATGTGTCTGTTTTTACGCCAGTACCATGCTGTTTTGGTTACAATAGCTCTGTTGTATAATTTGAAGACAGGTAATGTGGTTTTTCCATTTTTGTTCTTTTTCCTTAGGATAGCTTTGGCTATTTTGGGTCTTTTGTGGTTCTATATACATTTTGAAATTTTTACAAAATTTCTGTGAAGCATGTCGTTGGTAATTTGATAGAGATTGCATTGAATCTATAGATTGTTTGAGAACTATGGACATTTTAACAATATTGATTCTTCCAATTCATGGATGACATGGAATATCTTTCTATTTTTTGGTGTTCTCTTCAGTTTCTTTCATCAGGGTTTTATAGTTTTCATTGAATAGATCTTTCACTTCTTCAGTTTAGTTAATTCCTAGGTATTTAATTTTATTTGTGGCTATTGTAAATGGGATTACTTCTTTGATTTCTTTTCCAGATTGTTCACTGTTGGCATATAGAAATACTACTAATTTTTGTACACTGATTTTGTATCCTGCAACTTTACTGAATTTGTTTACAGTTCTAATAGTCTTTGTGTGTGGAGTATTTGGGTTTTTCCAAATATAAGATTGTATCATCTGCAAACAAGGATAATTTGACATTTTTCTTTCCAATTTGGATGCACTTTCTTTCTCTTGTCTGATTGCTCTAGCTAGGACTTCCAGTACTATGTAGAGTAACAGTGGTAAAAGTGGGCATATCTGTCTTATACCAGATATCAGAGGAAAGCCTTTCAGTTTTTCCCCATTCTGTATGATACTAGCTCTGGGTCTGTCATGTATGGCTTTTATTATGTTGAAATGTGTTCTTTCTATCCCCAGTTTTTTTAGGGTTTTTATAATGAAGGGACGTTGAATTTCAACAAATGCTTTTTCAACATCAGTTGAAATGATCACATGATTTTTGTCCTTCATTCTGTTGATATGATGTATCACACTGATTGAGCCATTCTTGCATCCCTGGGATAAATCCCAGGTGGTCACTATGAATGAATTTTTAATGTGTTGTTGAATTCAGTTTGCCAGTATTTTGTTGAGGACATTTGCATCAATATTCATTGGGGATATTGGCCTGTAGTTTTCTTTTTATATATATGTTTTTGTCTGGTTTTGGTATCAGGATAATACTGACCTTGTAGAATGAGTTTGGAAGTATTCTCTCCTCCTCTATTTTTCAGAATAGTTTGAGTAGGATTGGTATTAGTTCTTTCAATGTTTGGTAGAATTCAGCAGTGAAGCCTTTGGGTCCCAGGCTTTTCTTTGCTGAGAGACTTTTTATTACAGCTTTGATCCTGTTACTTGTTATCGGTCTGTTCAGGTTTTGGATTTCTTCACAGTTCAATCTTGGTAGGTTGTATGTATCTACGAATCTGTCTATTTCTTCTAGATTTTATAATTTATTGGCATATAGTTGCTTATTGTAGCCACTAATGATCTTTTGGATTTTTGAAGTATGAATTGTAATGTCTCCTTTATCGTCTCTGATTTTATTTATTTGGGTCTTCTCTCTATTTTTTAGTCTGGCTAAAGGTTTGTCAATTTTGTTTATATTTTCACAAAACCAATTTTTGTTTCATTGATATTTGTATGTTTTTCCCTTTCAATTTTGTTTATTTCTTCTTTGATCTTTATTATTTCTTTTCTTCTACTAATATTGGGTTTCATTTGCTCTTGCTTTTCTAGTTCTTTAAGATGCATCATTATGTTTTTTTTTAATTTTTTTCTACTTTTTTGAGGTAGGCATTCAATGCTATAGACTTTCCTGTTAGTACTGCTTTAACTGTATCCCATAGGTTTTGGTATGTTGTGTTTACATTTTCATTTGTTTCTTGAAACAAATGAAACATATTATATATTCTGGTTATTAATTCCTTGTCAGATGGATATACTATTCTAGTATAAAAGTTTTTTCCTTCAGCACTTAATAGATTATCTATCCTTGAGTATGATCCATGTGCTGAGGAGAAGAATGTGTATTCTGCAGCCATTGGATAAAATATTCTGTACATATCTATTAGGTCTATTTGGTCTATAGCGCATATTAAGTCCAGTGTTTGTTGATTTTCTGTCTAGATGATCTATCCAATGCTGGCCTTTAAGGTTTCCACTCAGAAGTCTGCTGCCAGATGTACTGGAGCACCTTTGAATATTATTTGTTTCTTTTCTCTTGCTGATTTTAGAATCTTTTCTTACCTTTGACCTCTGGGAGTTTGCTTATTAAATGCCTTGAGGTAGTCTTCCTGGAGTTAAATCTGCTTGTGTTCTATAACCTTCTTGCACTTGGATATTAATATCTTTCTCTAGGTTTGAGACATTTTCTGTTATTATCCCTTTGAATAAACCTTCTGCCCCTATTTCTCTCTACCTCCTTTTTAAGGCTAACTTCATTCTTTTTTGTTCTTTTTTCTTTTGTCTCCTCTGGCTGTGTATTTTCAAATAGCCTGTCTTTGAGCTCACTAATTCTTTCTTCATCTTGATCAATTCTTCTGTTGAGAGAATCTGATGCTTTCTCCAGTATGTCAATTGAACTTTTTAGCTCTAGAATTTCTGCTTGATTTTTTAAAATTATTTCAATCTCTTTGTTAAGTTTATCTGATAGGATTCTGAGTTCCCTCTCTGTGTTGTCTTGATTTTTTTTGTTGTCTCAAAATAGCTATTTCGAATTCTGTTTGAAAGGTCACATATCTCTGTTACTCTGGGATTCATCATTGGTGCCTTATTTAGTTTGCTTGGTGAGGTCATGTTTTCCTGGATGGTCTTGATACTTGTGAATGTTGGTTGATGTCTGGGTATTAAAGAGTTAGGTATTTGTTGTAGTCTTCGCAGTCTGAACTTGTTTGTACATCCTTCTTAAGAAGACTTTCCTGGTACTTGAAGGGACTTGGGCTGGGCGTGGTGGCTCATGCCTATAATCCCAGCACTTTGGGAGGCCAAGGCAGTAGTATCGCCAGAGGTCAGGAGTTCGAAAACAGCCTGACCAACATGGTGAAACCCCGTCTCTACTAAAAAAAACCCAAAGAGACAAAATTAGTCAGGCACGGTGGCATATGCCCATAATCCCAGCTACTTGAGAGGTTGAGGCAGGAGAATCGCTTGAACCCAGGAGGCGGAGGTTGCAGTGAGCCGAGATTTCGCCATTACACTCCAGCCTGGGTGACAGAGTGAGACTCTGTCTCAAAAACACAAACAACAACAACAAAAAAGAAACAAAAAAACCCAAACAAACAAAAACAAAAACAAACCAAAAAAATGAAAGGACTTGGGTGTTGTGATCTAAGTCTTTGGTCACTGCAACTGTGTCTGCATTAGGGGGCAACCCCAACCCAGTAAACTATGTGACTCTTACAGACTTGTAGAGGTCCTGCTTTGGTGGCCTTGGTATGATCCAAGAGAATTATCTGAATTACCAGGTAGAGACTCCTATTCTCTTCTCTTCCCTTACTTTCCCCCAAACAAACAAAGTCTCTTTCCCTCTGTTCTAAGCTCCCTGGAGCTGAGGGAAGGGTGACACAAGCATCTCTGTGGCCACCACCACTGGGACTATACTGGGTCAGACCTGAAGCCAGTACACCCCTGGATCTTGCCCAAGGCCCAGGGTGACCACTGCCTGGCTACCACGGATTTTCACTCAAGGCCCAAGGGCTCTTCAGTCAACAGGTGTGAATCCAGGCAGGCTTGTGTCCTTCCCTTCAAGGTGCTGAGCCCCCTCACAGCCTAGGGTGGGTCCAGAAATGCCATCTAGAAGCCAAGGCCTGGAATTGGGGACCCCCAGGAGCCCACTTGGTGGTCCACCCAACTGTGGCCAAGCTGGTAAACAAGCTGCAATAAAAAGTCCCCTTTATTCTTCCCTCTCCTCTCTTCAAGCAGAAGGAGTCTCTCTCTGTGGCCACCATAGCTGGGAATGTGCTGGGTTACATCTGAAGCCAGCATGTTATTGGGTCTCAGCCTAGGCCTGTGGCGAGTACTGCCCGACTACTGCTGATGTTTATTCAAGGCCCTTGGGCCCTTGAATGAAGGTGATGAATCCTGTCATAGCTGGGTTCTTCCTTTCAAGGCAGGGCATTGCCTTCTGACCCAGGGTGTGTCTAGAAGTGTCATTCAGGAACTGGGGCCTGGAATGGAGGCCTCAGGACTTTGCCTGATGCCTTATCCTATTGGGGCTGAGCTGGTATCCAAGTTGCAAGACAAAGTCCTCTTTGCTCTTTCTTCTTCTCTCCTCAGCAGAAAGAAGGCATCTCTTTCAGAGCTGCAAGCAGTACTGCCTCAGGTTGAGGGAGGGGTGGTGCAAGCACTTCCTTGGCTGCCCCAGCTGGTGTCTCACTGGGTTGTGTGCACCCAGTGCACGTCTGCTGGCTCCAAGCCCAGCACAGCACTAGAACTTGCCCAGGAATTGCAGTCCTTGTAGCCTAGACTGCCTTTCAAGTTTATTTAGGACCCCAGAGCACTTCAGCCTGTGGTGCCAAGGCTAGCTGGAACTCAGTTTCTGACCACTGGGATGGGCAATTTCTCTCTGGCTAGGCCTGGTGCCCACTGAATTCTATCCTGTGTTGGTTTTTGCAGCACTAAGTTCCAGTGCAAAGTCCCACAATCACTGTGCTCTCCCTTCCCCAAGCATATAGATTCCCTCTCTGCACCATGCACTTGCTGCTGCTGCCAGGAGATGCGAGAAGGGTGTGTCAGCAATTCAAGACTGTCTTTCCTATGCTGTTCAGGCCTCTTTCCTTGCTATGATGTTAAAAGCAGGTACTGTAATTGCTCACCTGATTTTTGGTTCTTATGAAGGTCCTTTCTTGTGTGAATAGTTATTTAATTTGGTGTTCTTGTGGGGAGGATGATCATTGGAGGCTTCTGTTTGGCCATCT